>NC_000011.10:59676589-59979619 GCF_000001405.40 Homo sapiens | reverse complement strand
TTTTAGTTATTTTTTCCCAACATAGTCACCATAGGCTGATATGAGGGATAATGTGGGAGAAACAAAAGTGGCAGTTAATAGCAGAAGTTCAGTTTGGAAAGGTTAAGTCTGAAATGCCATTAGATATTCAAACAGATAGTGGGAAATATGCATCTGAAGTTAAAAAAGAATACTCAGACTGGGGATTAAACGTGAGATAATTATGAATGTAAAAAGGATATGTGATATCATGGCACTGGATAGGATAAAACAACAACAACAACAAAAATAGAATAAGAAAGAGTTTCTGAGATTGATTCTTGTATGACCAAGATCAAGCAATGAAGGAGACACTAGAAAACGAAAGAAAAGAAATGTCAGCAAGGCAGGACAAAAGAGAAGAGAACAGTATGACCTACAAGCCAAGTAAAGCAAGTTTTTAGGAGACGAATAATCCATCCCATGGGCTACGACAAAAATCAAGTAAGTGAGGGCTGACAACAGAGCAACTGTCAAATGTTTTAATGTAGAAATCACCAATGTTTCAGGCAAACTTTTGATGGAGTGTTTTTGGTGAATGACTCATTAAAGTTAAATTTTTTTAAAAAAAGAGAGAGAAATAGGAGAGAGTGAATACAGTAACTTTAAAGAGAAGAAAACTGAGGCAGTAACTGGAAGAGGAAGTGGGATCAATAAGGCCAGAGATGTATAGATCATGTCTATGCAATGACACAGAGTTCCAGGATGATATAGTTTCTTAGGAAGAGGAAATGTTAACCTTTCATTAGGACACAAGATGGCTGAAAGTCTGGGAGATTTAAATCATGTGCGTTGGTTACAATGAAGCTATAGGCCAAATTCCCCACAGGTCATTTAGAGTTTATTCAATTTTTACGTAGGAAAGGGCCCCAGGAATACATCTTTGAAATTTTTCCAAACCCGAAATGGAAGTTTCACTATCTATTATACTCACTTGGAACAATGTATCAGCTGCTTTGATATTAAAAAAAAAAAATTGACGCATGTCATTTGACCCAGTTAATATTAGTTTGATATGCCATTTGAAAGTGTGCTCTGAAAAGGAATCATTTACAAATGAAAGCAGCTGACCACTTTGTCCAAACTCTAAGCCACATGGCCAAAGGCATGAACACCTAAACAATCTTCACTCTAGACACTGAGCAGAATCTCCTGATTATCAATTCACTGTGAATATTTCAGACACTACAAAGTGACAAGCATGTCTAAGACAAAAGAAAATAACCCCAGAAAGTCTGCAGATTAAGAAAAAATATGATCCATCTAATTATGGATTCAAGGGGAAATTACAGTAGTACAGATGCATGAATAAACTGAGTGAAAACAGCCAGTAGATATTAGCAGATGATCATCAGATTATGAAACCCCAAAGTCAAAAGTATGTAGCAAAGCACCCCACTGCTTAATATGCCACCCTCCAGAATCTTCTGTTTTTTCTTACTATTTTCAAGAGCATGAGTCGAGGCAAAAAGTATGAGGAGCCCTCCTAAAACTCCAGAGATCTTCATTGCCACAGATCTTAAACCAAGGAATCACAGGAAGTAGGTCTCTGCAGGTGTTTATAAACCTCTTGCCTCTTCAGCTGTGGGTAATGTTCATCATTCTGGAGAGCACCGAGAAGCACTCAGCACCTCATTGGCTTTTCCTCCTTACAGCTGAAGTCATTATAATCATAATTCAGAAAACCTGTGGGAAAATGTGAACAAGGGGGATTCTAGGATGTACTCTCTACCCCAAGCACATGGTGAGGCTGAAATGGTGACTTATATAATATTTGATATGTGTCTGTTGGAATGTTAAGAGCAGGGCTTTGCAGGATGATTTGAGGAGCTTCAAGGGGATAATACAGAAGACTCGTTTATGATTTGATTGATAATATTGTTTACCAATCAAATTAACCACTCTAGGATCTTGTGATTCCCTGGCCTCACAGCCAATGGTTCTGACCCAGTGAGCCCGTTAATGTGTCCTTCCAACAAGCACCAGGAGGCCCTGATTCAGGAAAACAAATTCACAAACCTGTGGTTTCAGCTTTGAAAACCCCAATCTGCTTTAATTTTGCTTTCCCAAAGTATTTTGTCATGAATGTGTATGTCTCCAGGTTGCTGAAGAAAAGTTCATGAGATAATTTTTGTCCAGTAAAACCTAGGAAGGTAAAATCCTGGCAGAGTGAGGGATTATGGATAAGGATAATAATTTGACCTGGCTCAATATTTTGGCAGAAACTATTCATTATAAAAGCTCCATCTCAGAAGCAAGAGTTTAATGAATTAGCTGTAGAAATTACATAACATGTTACATAGATTGTCTCATTTTCTAAATGCAGGATACTTGCTGGTGAATATTATCAAAATTAACTATAGAAATCTTGGGCTGGGTGTGGTGGCTTACGCCTGTAATCCCAACACTTTGGGAGGCAGAAGCGGGCGGATCACCTGAGGTCGGGAGTTCGAGACCAGACTGGCCAACATGGTGAACCGCCCCCCCCGCCCAAATCTCTGCTAAAACTACAAACATTAGCCAGGTGTTGTGGTGCATGCCTATGATCCCAGCTATTCGGGAGGCTGAGGCAGGAAAATCGCTTGAACACAGGAGGCAGAGGTTGCAGTAAGCCGAGATCGTGCCACCGCACTCCAGCCTGGGCAAAGAGTGAGACTTCATCTCAAAAAATAAAATTAAAATAATAAAATAAAATAAAAATCTCCAACACTGTGTGTTGACATAGCAAAAAACAAGTAAAAAGAGATATCTACGACTGTCAGAAACCTCAAGTGACAGTTCTTTCCACTAAATATTTGTATTATACTCAAGTGCTACTTCCACAGTACAGAATGGAACCTAATCAAGGATTAATCTCTACCTGTATTAAGTACCTAGAGCACAGTTTCTTAAACTCATCACTATTGACATTTTAGGCTAACGTATATTTTATTTTTCTTTATGGTTAGTGCTTTTTGTGTTTTCTTTAATAAGTCCTTCTTACACCAAAATCATGAAGAAATTTTCCTCTATTCTCTTCTGAAAGTTTTTTTACAATTAAGCTCTTTATATTTACATTCTTAATACACTTGGAATTAATTTTTCTGAATAGGGCAAGGTAAATGACCATATGTATATTCAAATGAATGTCCAGATATTTCAGTCCCGTTTTTAAAAAGTCTCTCATTATCTACCTCTCTGCAGTCTGTTCATCATAAATCAAGAGTCTATATATGTGTATATTTATTTCTAGATTTTATATTTTACTCATGGGTTTTTTTGTATATTCTTATGCCAATAACACATTATCTTGATTATCAATTTGTACTTCATCTCTATATATGATACATGAAATCCTCCTTCATTTTCTCTGTTTGACAGTATTTGACTGTATTTGACCAATTGCTATCCCATGTAAATTTTAAAACCAGCTTGCCAAATTTCAATTTTTAAAAAGTTGTGATTTTTAGGAGATTAGAATCAATCTAAAATCCATGAGTCTAACAATCAATGAACATATTCTCTATTTATTTTGATCTTTGTTAATCTCTCAGGGTAAATTTTTATAATTTCCTATAGTTTTTGTATGTGTTTTCTTAGATTTACTTCTAAGTATCAGATATTCTCATCCTATTATCATTTTTTCTATTCACTTACTGTTGCTGGTTCAGCAAATTCCAGTTGCTTTTTGTAAATTGATTGTTAACTTTAATAACTTATCTGTAAATCTTCTGTATTTTCTATATATATAATTATTCACCTGTAATGAGTTTCTTAATTGATCGTTAACGAATAACTTATCTGTAAATTCTTTTGTATTTTCTATATACATAATGATTCACCTGTGAATGAGTTTCTTTCTATATTATCTTTTATTCCTTAGTGTTGCTGTATATACTGTATCTAGAACCACCAACAAAGACTTTAATAAAAATAGTAATCATGGGTACCTTTATTTTATTTCTTATCAGAGAGAAAGGTATCAGCATTTTACCCTGTAAAAGCATGATGTTTGATATAGGGTATTTTAAACTTTCCCAAATTAAAGATGTTTCTTTGTATTGTTTGCTCATTTTTATCATCGTCAGCTGATGTATTTTATCAACTATGTTTACTGCATCTACTGAGATTACTATATTATCCATTAATCTGGTATTTTGGTAAAATACTGTGATAAGGCCAAGCGCAGTAGCTAACCCTTGTAATCCCAGCATTTTGGCACACCAAGCCAGGAGAATCACTGGAACTCAGGAGTTCGAGACCAACCTGGGCAATATAGTGAAACCTTATCTCTACTAAAAATTCAAAAACATTAGCCGGGCATGGTGGTGTATGCCTGTAGTCCCAGCTACTTGGGGGGCTGAAGCAGGAAGATTGCTTGAGCCTAGAAAGTTGAGGCTACGGTGAGCCTGATCATCTCACTGCACTCCAGCCTGGGTGACAGAGTGAGGCTCTGTCTCAAAGAAAAAAAGGATACTGTAATAACTTTTTCTAATATCTAGTCCAAATTTCATTATTGATGCAAACCATATTATAAAGTATTATTATTTATATATTTCAGTATTGTTTTTTATTTTGCTTAAAACTTTTACATCTGTATTCATTGGTGAAAATGGCCTGTCATTTCCTTCTCTTAGAAGGTTATTGAGATTAACCTAGCTTCATGAAGTAAGTTGGTAATTATTTCTTTTACAATTTTCTTGAAGAGTTTTAGACTGAAATTATTTTCCTCTTAAATGTCTTGTAGAAATACTACATGAAGCAAACTGGGCCTTGAATTTGGTTTATAGAAGGTTTTTGATAATTATTTTATTGTTATAAAACTACAGTTTTAAAATAATGATTCCATAATTACTTTTGGTGAGTGACGTACTTCCAAGCATTTGTCAATATCTTCTAACATTTCAGATAAATTGGCATATAATTGTTCTTTATGTCCTTAATTATTTAATAAATAAGTAAATCTGTTTATTAAAGTTATTTATTATCTGCCTAACCTGATGCCTCTTTTTCATTTCTGATATTCAAAGAATCACAGTTGGCTTTGTTGAGCTTTGTGATTTGTTTTCAGAAATATTAAAATCTATGCTATTTTTATTTTATTTTTTGCTTCTTTTTTCTTTGAATCTATTTCGCTCTACAAATTTCTTGAAATGGTTTGTTAGTGTATACTTTTCAAGCTTTCCTCTTTTCTAATACATTTCATTCTATAAATCTCTTTCTATATGCTGTTTTAATTACATCTAACAGGTTTGGAACTGTGGCCTTTTTGTAATCATTTTTATTTGAGATATTTTCTGATTATTGTTATGACTTTTTGATCATTGATTATTAAGACATTTATTCCTCAATTTATACATATGATGATATTTAAATATCTTCTTTGTTGTTTTGTAGAGACAGGTTCTCACTTTGTTGCCTAGGCTGGTCTCTAACTCCTGACTTCAAGTGATCCTTCTTACCTCGGCCTCCCAAAGTGGTGGGATTATGAGTTTGAGCCATTATGCCCAGCCTAAAATATCTTTTTTTAATTTTTGAATTATAAAGACATACTTTGTGTCAGAAAATACACAACATTCTATATGATTTTAATCCTTTGAAATGTATTGACTTCTTTTAATGTTAAATATTATCTTTTTTGTGTTGACCTTTACCCTGCACCTTGCTGAATTCATTTATTGGTTCTAGTAGCTTCCCTGTGGATTCTTTGGATTTTCGATACATAAGGTCACGTCATCTGCAAACAAAGATAATTTTACTTCTACCTTTTCAATTTCGATGAGTTTTATTTCTTTTCTTGCCTAGTTTGCCTGGCTAGAACTCTAGTCCTATTGCAATCCTTATTTTGTTTTGCTGTTGGATATCTTCACATCTTCAGAAGTCATCTAAGGTTAATAATATTTTACGTTTATATATTTCCAAAAATATCTGTTTTCTCAAAAATTCTTTCTGAATGTTAATGCTGTTTATCCATAGTCTTCTAGCATTCAAGTTTATAATTCTGTAACAATTTAACTTTTATAACATGTTTCATCTGTATTATTTGAGAGCATGGAATTGTGCTATCAAGGCAAGAAAAGAAAATAGTTAAAAATCAATAAGAAGTAATAAACTTAGATTTAAATAACAGGCAAATTTATAGGATATCTTAAGTACAGAAATATTAGAAGAAGGTTGTGGAACACCACAGAATTAATAAAATCTGTTAAATATAGATGAGTCAGTGTGATGGTTAATTTTATGGGTCAGTCTACCTGGGCCACGGGGTGCCCAGCTATTTGGTTAAACATTGCTTCTCGGTGTGTTTGCAAGGGTGTTTCCAGAGGAGATAAGCATTTGAATAGGTAAGCTAAGTAAAGCAAAGTGCCTTTCCCAACGTGGCTGGGCATCATCCAATCTGTTGAGGGTCTGAATAGAACAAAAAGACAGAGGAACGGACAATTCACTCTTTTTCACTTGACTGCTTGAACTCAGATATTATTGGTCTTCTTCTGCCCTCAGGCTGGGACTCGCACAATTAATGTTCCTGATTGTCAGGATTTTAGACTCAGCTAGAACTATACCATGAGCTTTCCTGGGTCTCCAGCTTGCGGATCTTGGGAATTAGCCCCCGCGATGATCTGAGCCAACACACACATGCCCACACACACACACGTGTGTGTGTGTATATATATTGACCTAACATCTGTATAACATTGCCCACCTATTGGTGATACCTAATATAGTCACATTATGGCCTTCATATGTTTTTTACTCTTCTGTACAAATTCCGTGGCAGTATACCACATGAACTGGTGAGCTGCAGCTCTGGCCAGGGAGCTTGCCTCTGTAACACTCTGATAGAGCAAATGCATGTCACTGACCTTGAGCACCTTGTGTCTAGAGCCGACTTTTTCAGTCCTCAAGTCAGGTTCTTATAATCTCATAATCACAATCAGTGCAGAAAGATGATGCAGCAGAGATAAGGACAGCGCATATTTGAGGATTACAGTAACATGGTCCTTCAATTCTGCCTCTACCCTATCCTAAATGCATTGTCTCTCTTCAAAACCCTTCCCCACTTATTTTCTCTTGCTTTCTTGCTGTCTGTAGACTTAAATGTGGTTGGATCATCTTTCATCTATGACACTTCTGGGAGGGATGGACCAATGTTAATAGGCCCTGCACTGATGATTTCTACAAAGGACACTTATTTGTAGAAAACCTTTTTGCTTTACTTTTAGGCCTGGTATGGTGGCTCATGCATGTAATCCCAGCATTTTGGGAGGCCAAGGTGGACAGATCACCTGAGGTCAGGAGTTCAAGACCAGCCTGACCAACATGGTGAAACCCCATCTCTACTAAAAATAAAAAATTAGCCGGGCATGGTGATGCATGCCTGTAATCCCAGCACTTTGGGAAGCCAAGGTGGGTGGATCATCTGAGGTCAGGAGTTTGAGACCAGCCTGGCCAACATGGTGAAACCCCATCTCTACTAAAAATATTTTTAAAAATTAGCTGGCCATGGTGGTGTGCACCTGTAATCCCAGCTACTAGGGAGGCTGAGGCAGCAGGATCACTTGAACCCGTGAGGCAGAGGTTGCAGTGAGCCAAGATTGTGCCATTGCACTCCAGCCTAGGCAACAAGAGTGAAATGCACAAAAAAAAAAAAAAAAAAAAAAAAAAAACTGCTCTGTAGGATTTCTCAACTCTTGGTTTTCTAAAATTAAAACATAAGCCTAACAAAAAGACACTTAAATTGTTAAATTGAAAGAACTGAGGAAAAGAGAGCATATACGTGTATGAGTCATTCATTGAAACAAGGAATTACAGCAACTCAGTTAAATTATTGTCAAATTTACTTAAAATAGGTAACACATTTCTCTCTAGAGAAAAATGAAAAATGTCTCATGAATTAAAATGAAACTCATGCTCTTATATTCAAGCATTGAAATAGTTCATATTATGTTAGTAAATTCCCTTAGGGGCCTATTTTAAAAGGGGAAAATGCTGTGGGAAATAAACCGAAATAAAGGGCAGTAGAACAGGATAGTATTAGGGGACCATGTTTATTTACTACATTACCCAAGAAAGAACAGCATTTGAGACACATTTGTGGACTTCAACTTTCAATTTTTCTCATAAGAAAATTCAGTCTTTAACCCACTGGTGAGAAGAAACAGTCACCCTACAGCCTTACCTGGATTTTTGCTGTTCTGGAAATCTTCCTGGCCCCAGGCCCTTTACATCTTCTAAACTCTGAGGCAGAGCTTCCTCCCTCTGACTGGTTAAAAAAGGGCAGAGATTTGCAGGAAGCCTTATTTATCCAGGGCTCTAAACTGTTTGACAGCCTTATCAGGACTAGAGTATGCTGCAATTATGACCCCTTGTTACTTTTGTCAACTGATCCATAATCCAGAGATTAGGAGTGAAGAATTTCAAGAGAATCCGTAAAAGCAAAAGATTTTTACATTCTTTTCAAATGCTGCCATTTGCCTTTAGAGATATTTGGACAAGAAAGATTCACTTTTGGTTTGAAACAATCATCAATAATGCAGAAACCAACTGGAATTTTATTTCCTCTCAATTCTAGCCTCTTTATATGACCAGATGGATGAACCTACATTTCCAAACTGATTTGAAATTGCTAACACACAGAAAAGGAAAGTGATCCAGACAGGAAAAAATACAGAAGAGACTGAAATAGGCTATTTTCTGAACAATTTATAAAGAAAATCCTGATTTCATCTTATTTTACACATATCATTAGAAGTCAGTGAAACGGGGAACAACTGGAGAATTAGATTATGATACAGTAGTTCCCTTTATCCATAGGGGATGCATTCCAAGACCACCAGGGGATTCCTGAAATTGTGGTTAGTACCAAACCCTGTATAAACACTATAATTTTCTTATTTATATCTATGATAAAGTTTAATTAGGCACAGTAAGAGATTAACAATAAAATATATCATAAAATATGCTACAACAAAAGTTATGTGAATGTGTCTTTCTTTGGAGTACGTAACAAGTATGAAATGGAATTATGAATTTCCATGAAGATATTAAGAATATTTTAGTATTTTGAGACCACAGTTGACAGCGAGAAACTGAAACCATGGGAAGCAAAACTGAATAAGGAAAGACTACTGTGTATTAGATACTCAATTGCTACCCAAAACAGATGATGATGGGTAAGCCTATTCACAAAATGCAATTGCCTCACACTTTATAATGCTCTGTGAATCAGGACTTAAGTTTTCTTTTAAAAATATAAATAACTATTAAGAATTGTAAAACTTTATTTAAGAATACCTTTATTACAAGTTTAAAATCTGGGAAGGGAAGGCTTTTCTCCCTACCCCAACGGTTCATAAATATGGACAACAGAGCAGGTTTTTTCATTTAAAAATATCACATTTGAAATGATAAAAGACAATATCCAGTGACTAGTCCAACTTCTAAAAGGCAATGAAATCCTCAAGCAGCCAGAGTACCAGGTGAAGTAGGGTAGCCTCATCATCCAGAATGTACAGCTTTGTTCTTACACTTAGGAAGGGATACAATGAGGTAGCTCAACAAGGGAACACTGTTCCTGTAAGGACGGAAAAGAAACAGTTACATTGTTGTACTGATGGGAAACTACCATCTAACTATCCACTGAGGCTCAACAAAGTGGGAACGTGGGAAAAAGGCATCAATTTTAAACCCCAGGGACCATTATAATATTCTAATGATTCAAGTATCACAAATACGATATATACACATGTATACACACATACATATTATGTGTATATGTAGCTATTAGTTAACAAATGCTTAGTAAATGATTATAAATTTTACATGAGGACACCATCTGAAGTTTAGAATTATGAGGGTCGGTTGATACGTGGAATAAGGGCCTGTCCCTCTAGCATACTAAAGTCCAAAGATTATAGCCTATTTGAATATTCTTATGGCTCATTTGAGTTTTCTCTTGCTGACATTTAGTTCTTTTAGAACAAAAAGCTGGAATTAGAGTTAACATAGATATCAATTACTATCTTTACGGGAATCCATGATCCCATTCCATACTTATATGCACCAAAGATGGTTTTTCTCTAGCTCAAGTAAATTAACATAAAAGAACTATTGAGGTTACAATTGCAAATCTGTTTTATGTAAGGAAATAATGAGAAATGCCAAGATAAAATATATCCCTAATAAACATAAAAAATGCAGTATTCCAATGATCCTGAACTAAAATCATATGGGCAATAGTACACAAAATGTGGCATATGCCACCACCTTACTAAACCCTGGCCTTTTTTATATAAATGTACTGTAAACATTTATGGTACTAATTCAAAATACTCTTACACATAGGACACTCTTGGACGGATTTCCAAGTCTTCAAGTTCATGTGATAGTGAGCGGTGCTGTCCCACTGACCTTCTGCATTCACGACGGCTATCATTCTCTCTCCCTCTCATTACTAAGATTATTGGAAACCTTCTGAAAAAGAGAAAAAAATATATTTAAGCTTTGTATATATTATGCTTTTGGAGGTGGAGAAAAAGTTGAAATGTGGAGAAAAACTAAATTAAACAGATCTCTTCCAGCTGTGAGAGAATGCCAAATCAGCTAGCTGAGACAAATATGAAAATGTGTTGTTTCACAGAATATGAGAAAAAATTCACAGATGGTTGCATACGACTTTTCATTATCCCAAAATGTACTATTGTGACCTGAAGCCAATTTCACAGGAATGTCAAATACCAAGAACTCTTAATAAGTGGCTGAAGCAGCTCTTATCTCTAATCATCTCAACAGACATCTACAGAGAATGATTAGAGGCATGCAGTTCTGAGTTCTTAGCCTATGACAGAGGGATAAGTGGGGTCACTAAAATTCTCCCTCCCTTAATGAAGCCAAATAAAGGTGTTTCTATCAGCTTCTCCAACACAGAGTTTCCTACAGCAAGAGGCTGACATTTTACTCCCAACTATCTGCCTGTGCAGTAGAATGACACGAGAGACATGCAGGTGTAGAAAAGGGGACAGAAAGGGCATATTCTCCCACCATGAACTGTAGTATGACTAAGTAATTTCCCCCACAGGTATCAACATTTTAGCTGTATTTCCAGGATTTCACTCAAGAATACCTGTGAACTGGAGAGGGGACCTCAAGAAGTCAAGATATTGGAATAAAAAACAACCAAGACAGAAAATGAGCAGGTTGTGTGGAGGCCTACAGTGGCAGTTGTATGGACGAAGAAGTAAGCCTTGTTTTAGATCGGTCCATCAGGAAATATGCAGTTGTGATGACCACCCCCTTTCTAAGAACTCCAAAAAACTCACACATCCATAATTCGAGATACACTTCTGGGTGAAGGTATGATTATCTAGCCAGCATTGCTGGAAATGGACCACAATTGCACCATGTAACCATGAGATAATTGTGACCCAACCTCTTTCATCCTGTCATATCAGCAAAACATGAAGATAAAAGCAGCAGAGGGAAATGTACTACTCAGATTATACTAAACCCTCTTCTTCTCCAAATCCTTTGTGTGCTCTGTAAAACTCTAGGAGTCTTAAAGAAAACCCAAGTTTGATATAACATTGGAGATAGGGACCTGACTTGATTTTCACTTATGAGAAGGACCAAAGATGCTGTTAATGAATAAGAAAAGTAGATATCACCAAGTATAATTGAAGTCAGTGGTTGTAAGTTAAATATAGCCATTAAATTCTGTGTCTCCAGAGACACAGAGACAACCTTCAAAATTGGTTGGAATGAACACTCTAGGGGCAGAGAGAACACACATGCAACTGGGCCTTGTGAACAGCTCAACCAGGGATTTGACCACAAGCAGAATTGCCTCCACCTTCATCAACAGGCTCTCCTGCTTTACTCTCTCATTGCAGAAAAGTTTCTCCAATAAGGAGAGAATTTTGGTCATTAGCAAGTCTTGATTTTATATATATAA
Organism: Homo sapiens; assembly: GCF_000001405.40. Classification (NCBI taxonomy): domain Eukaryota; kingdom Metazoa; phylum Chordata; class Mammalia; order Primates; family Hominidae; genus Homo; species Homo sapiens. Next base: position 59,967,672 of record NC_000011.10, on the reverse strand, counting down.
AAAAAATTAGATATATATATAAAATACAAAAATTTGTCAGTTTTTGCAGAAACTGACAAATCAAAGACTGATTCAATTCTAGTTTTAAAATTGAGAAAATACTGATTTTGAATCTCTTGGCTCCTCCCCACATCTGCAGAAAGGTGGTATGGTTTGCACAAAAACTTAAGAACTCCTATAATAGCCATGGATGAGACAGTATGGGCAGGTGCAGACAAGGAACACTGCAAAAAAGGAAAGATTACTAACAAAAACTTTCTGACATAATCTCTTTAGTGACTGTAGAATTCAATTCTCATATAACAACTGAGCCTCATCTACTCATGCGGAAACTACATTGAGAGAATCAATTTATTTAGACCTACTCACATGACCAACAGAACACCATAGATCAGATTTGATCCAATGTCCAACCTTAGCATAATGTTCAGCAGTTTAACTGATCAGAACACCTAGAAGGCAAAAATAATATTAGATAGCCTTAATCTCAGTAGTGCACTGCACTTACCTTTGCACATAGCATGATACTGGGATGTGTAAATTGAAGTCAAAATTCGTTGGTTCATATACAATTAAACTTTCAATGAGAATACCTACTCCATGTTCCTAAAGGTGTAAAGGATATAAATTATCTTAATTATATCTCTTTCAAATGCTTTCAAATTCCATTTTAAAAATATAGATTAAAAACAAAATAATTTTTACTTTTATTTTTACTTTATGAAATAAAATAGGTATGAGTGCACGGTCTACAATAGAAGAGCAGAGCTAAGTGATAAAAATCCCTGGTTTTAGAAGACATTAATAGCCCCTGCCATAGTAGCAGGGACATTGTATTTGGCACTTGAGTCTGCATAGACAACTTTTGATCACCACATTTGTTTAACAGTCAAGGTCTGGGCCAGGCACGTTGGCTCACACCTGTAATCCCAGCGCTTTGGAAGGCAGAGGTGGGCAGATCACTAGGTCAAGAGATTGAGACCATCCTGACCAACAAGGTGAAACCCCATCTCTACTAAAAATACAAAAATTAGTTAGGTGTGGTGGTGCATGCCTGTAGTCCCAGCTACTTGGAAGGCTGAGGCAGGAGAATTGCTTGAACACGGGAGGTGGAGGTTGCAGTGAGCCGAGATTGTGCCGCTGCACTCCAGCCTGGTGACAGAGCAAGACTCCATTGCAAAAAGCAAAAAAAAAAAAAGAGTCAGAGTCTGATTTAGGCAGACCTAAATTATTCAGTGTGAATTTTGACTAGATATTTGACAACTTTAGAAAAGCAGTTGAGTCAGCCTCATGCTAAATTGAGTACTTGCCAAATACTAGACTTTTTTTTTTTGAGACTAGAGATACAGCAGCAAACAAATGATAAAGTCATGTACTTGGATCCAAAAATAGAATCAGTTCACCTAAATAATCTTTACTAGAAATAGATGTGATACCAAAAATGAAAAACTAGGCTATAATTACAAAACATAGCAACAATTTAACATAAAGCAAAAAAAAAAAAAGTTTTCTGGTGACTGGAAAGATTGATTTCTCTCTTATTAATACAGGAACTATATAAACTGATATACCCCATTTTCATCAAAATTTTAGGTCAACAACAAGAGTTGGGTATTTGTGGTACTGTTTCAAAACGAAATGTTTCTCTCAAACTAGATTTAACCAGAATATTTTAAAAAACAACAACAACAACAAAAAAAACACTATCACAGGCAAAAGAGATATGTTGCCAAAAAAATATTTTAAAGTAGGAACACACAGTTTTTGGAATCCCAAATCCTATTTGTCTTTCCTACAGATAGAAGCAACATCCAAAAATGTTGAAGAGAATAATCAATACTACATGAACTATTAAATTAACTGACAATTAAAATGTGAATACTGCAGTTTTAGTCATTGGTTTGTGGACCCAAAACAGTCAAAAGATATATTATTGGTTGAAATAATAACTGCTCTTACGCTCACTCTGATGCCACAAAAAGTTAGAAGATACAGGAACCCAAAGAAATCCACCTCGACCATGTTTACAGGACAGCCAATTCCTAGAGAGAGTTCGTTTTGCAAAGGTTGCAGGTCATTTAACAGCGGCGTTCGTCTAAGTTTGACCTGGAGCCAGGATTCAGAACAGGTTATAGACACTGTTGAAAGAAAATTTAAAAAGGGAAAACATCAAATAGTACGTCTGCCCCCAAACAAAGAACTCAGGAAACTTTCAACCTCTTGAGCTGAATCCCCAACTGTAGAGTGAAAATGTTTTGCTCCTATTTGTATATTTTTCCACTGGGAGATCTTGGGTCAATTAATCTCTATGTGTCTCAGTTTTTTCATCAGAATGTGGAAAAACCGTAGAAGTACTTCTTCAGAATTTTTTCTTAATTATACTTTAAGTTTTAGGGTACATGTGCACAACGTGCAGGTTAGTTACATATGTATACATGTGCCATGTTGGTGTGCTGCACCCATTAACTCGTCATTTAACATTAGGTATATCTCCTAATGCTATCCCTCCCCCCTCCCCCCTCCCCCACCCCACAACAGGCCCCGGTGTGTGATGTTCCCCTTCCTGTCTCCATGTGTTCTCATTGTTCAATTCCCACCTATGAGTGAGAACATGCAGTGTTTGGATTTTTGTCCTTGCGATAGTTGAGAATTTCTAAGCTAAATAAGTCAAATATCGCAACATGCACACTTTGTTTTTAGGGATTGTTCAAATTTTACTAACAGGTCTCAGGAATACATGTTTGAAATATATCTAGGTGTAAGTGATATCTATCTGAAATGGAGAAACAAGAAAAAGCTTTACATTTGGCTGCACACAATAGAAAAATATATCACGTGCTTCCACTTAAAATTTTATTTTGCATCAAAATATCTGAGCCAATAAATATTAATTAGTATGTGACACTAAGGATTCAGAAACAAAATAATACTGCAGTTACTCCGATGATAATTTTGATTGCCAACTATGTTAAATTTTGGTTTGAGGTCTTACTTCATTTTCAGTACATTTCTATGGTCAATTTTATTATTATCCCATATTTACACATGGATAAATTTAAGGTCATGTAACTATTAAGTGGCAGATCAGGATTAAAATCTATGCCAAATCTATTCAGAGCCTCAACTCTGAAAAGAATCATATACAATTGAATACAGCTGACTACTCTCTGTCCAAACTTCATACCCCACGGCCAGAAATGTAGACCTAGGTAACCTCCTCTCTTAGGCACTGGGCAGTCTCTCCTGATTTTGCCAGTCACTGTAAGTATTTCACATTCAGCAAAGTAACAAGCTAGTCTCCAGCAGAGAAAGAACCTGGAAATATTTTGCATGTAAAAAAAAATAAAAAACAACAGCACCTTGAGATCAGCTTAGAGGAAAAATTCAAGAGGAAGTACAGGGGTAAAGATAAAACTAGTCTGGCTGTAACTTTGCGATCATTAGTTATTAGCAGTTGATCACTAGGTTATAAAAAAAACAAACTCCCAAAGTCAACAATATGTTAAAAAAAAAAAAAAAAAAAAGCCCTGCTGATTGAAATTGCCACCTCCAAAAATTCCCTCTTTTTCTTACAATCTTGGAGACCATGAATCAACTCGAAAAGCATGAGGAGCTTTCCCAACACACAAGAGATCTTCATTGCTTCAGATTCCAGCCCAAGGTATCACAGGAAACAGAAAACCTAGGGAAGTGGGCCTCCACAGGTGTTTATAAACCTCTTGCCTCCTCAGCTGTGGGTGATGGTTTATCATTCTGGAAAGCACTGAGAACCCCTTAGCATAGTTTTGGCTTTTTGTCCTCACAGCTGAAGTTATTAAGTTGGCGCAAAAGTAATTGCGGTTTTTGCCATTGAAAGGTAAATCAGAAACTCAGGAAAGAACACATGGAAAGTGGTTCTAGGCTGCATCTCCTACCACCATGTCTTTTTTCTCAAGCATGTGGATGTGTCTGAAATTGTGTCTGACATAATATTTGATATGTGTCTATTGAATTGTTAAAGTAGGGCTTTGCAAGATGATTTGAGAAATTCAAGTGGTGATACAGAAGAATTATTTATGAATTGATTAACAATATTGCAATATTGCATATTATATTCACTCTGGGTTCTTGTGAAAAAAGAAAAATAAAAAAGCTTTTGCTCTACCTCCCAACCAATGATTCAGATCCAGTAAACCTGGGACGAGATGCGCTCACTAATCGGTGCTTGTAATCAGCTTCAGGAGGTTTTGATTCAGGTAAACAAATCCACACACCTGTGGTCTAAGCTTTGGCAAAACAATGCTTTCTGGTTTAATTTTGCTTTCCCTACAAGCATTTTATTATGAATGTGCACATATCTAGAGATCTAAAGAAATATTCTCTAAGGGCATTTTTGGACAATTAAATCTAGTAATGAAAAATTGTAAGAAAAAGGGATAATAGATAAGAATAACAGCATCACTTGGTTATACCTTTTGGCAGAAACCAACCTCCAAAAAACTTCCTCTCAAAAAGTAAAAGTAAAAGCCTAATAAATTATTTTTAGAAATTGTGTAGCATATCACATAGATTGCCTCAGCTTCTAAGTACAAAATAATTGTTTTTAGCTATATGAATCTCCAGGATTATGAACTGATGTAACAACGAGGAAGCAAAAAGTAACATCTGTGAACATCAGAAATCTCAAAGTCCTTTCTACTAAACGTTTTTATTATAGTGCATGTTCTTTAAAATTAGTAGGATTTTATGTTAAGGTATCTATCACTTAAATTATATTTGGGAATGAGAACCTTACAGTAGATTAAATTTATGAAGAATATTTCAGTGGTTTTTATTTGAAAATACTTATCTGTTTTCTTATTTAAGAGGTGAATAAATACATTGTTATTTTAAATAGCTAACTACATAGAAGTACATAAAATAATACTGGAATTTCTAATTCCAATAGCTTACATGCTTTCCTCTGTTGAAATAACCACTAATTTTGTAAATGTTAAGTTCACATAAAATTAGCAATTTTGAAGTATATAATTCAGTGGCACTTGGCACATACACATGTGTGAAACCATCACCCCTATAGTTCCAAAATGTTTTCATCATCGCCCCAAAGGAAAACTTATACTTCTTAAGCAACCCTCCACTCCTCCTTTCTCCCAGCCCCTGGCAAGCACCAAGCTACTTTCTATCTCTTTGGATTTACCTATTCTGGACACTTTGTAAAACTTGAATCATACTCTTAACTTTAAAAATCATGCTATTTATTTATTTGTTTACAAATAAAAGAGGCTTTATTTCTTATAAAGGGTTACAGACTGCAAGATGGCCATCCTAACAGGCTGGGATGCATAGCCTCCAGCAAAGCCTGAAAGGCAGGCACATTGCAGGGAGGGAGGAGTGAGATGGGAATTTATGCTGAATGGGTTGGCCAAGCATATGTATTTAACAGGTTATAGGAGGAGCTATGAATATTCACTAACGTGGTTCTAACACATAAGTGCTGAATAAACATGCATGTTATATATGACCCATGTTCACTTTGCGGTGGAGACTTAACATTTAAATCTATTACAATTAGGCCCTGTACATCTAAAGGTCTTTCCAGGATACTAAGTTATACAAGTGTGCAACCTCTGTAAACTGGCCAGAACCAGTTCTTGCTCAGTTGTCTCTTATCAGGAGAAAGTTGCTGAAATGAGTCCCTTGTCCAGTCAAAGCTGTAGTTATGGCTTATGGCACAGGAGAGTCAGTTAGCCTCTGGCAGTGGACAAGCTGTCATTGTTTTAATATTGCTTATCTCAAGGCCAGTGCTTGTTTAGCTGCTGGAAAAGAAAAAGAAAAACCTTGTGGCAGTTAGAACAAAGTTCATTCTTTAAGTGTAGGGGTGTGTGACTTAACCATTATTTGGCATGGCCTTGGGTCCTGTTTATAAGTTGGTATGTTATTGCCACAAAGAGTTTGTTGTGTCAGCCTTATGATCTTTTTTTTTTCTTTTTTTTTGAGACGGAGTCTCACTCTGTTGCCCAGGCTGGAGTGCAGTGGCGCGATCTTGGCTCACTGCAACCTCCACCTCCCTGGTTCAAGCAATTCCCCTGCTTCAGCCTCCCGAGTAGCTGGGATTATAGGCACACACCACCATGCCCGGCTAATTTTTTTTTGTATTTTTAGTAGAGATGGGGTTTAACATGTTGGCCAGACAGGTCTCGAACTCCTGACCTCAACCAATCTGCCCGCCTCAGCCTCCCAAAATGCTGGGATTTATAGGCATGAGCTACTGCACCCAGCCTGATCTCTTTTTTAGCATTAATACTAGTCAGGTGTTGTGTCTAAACCACAGAAGGGAAGTGGTGTAACAAGGCATGTCCAACCCCCCACCCCATGACGTCTGGGAACATAGTTCTTAAGGTTTCTCTGGGGTCCTCTTGGCCAAGATGGGGGTTCATTCAATCAGTTGAAGGCCTAGAATTTTATTTTTAGTTCACATGGTACCATGAATCAGTACTTCATTTCTTTTTATGGCTGTATAGTATTCCGTTGTATAGGTATAGCACATTTTCTTTAGTCATTCATTCATTGATGAACTTTCGGGTTGTTTCCATCTTTGAGAATAATACTACTCTGAAAGCTCTTGTTCAACATTTGTTTGAATTCCTGTTTTCAATTATTTGGGGTATTTGACTCAGCTTTAATCGCCTCCTATTCACCGCCCTGCTGAGGGAGAGATTCCTATCCTAGGGCTATGGTTATACCCAAACACACAACACCTGACACTGAACAGATGCATCCAAAGCAATTTATTGCTGTGTACATTCACAGCCCTGCAGAGGAGAACACCACATAGCACATAGGTCCACGTGAGGACCGCACTTAGGAACAGAGGGAACAACCAGGGACTCTGGGACATAAGCTTTGTAATATCAAGAGGGTGAGGTGACCCCTAGATCCCACAGGAGCGTATGATTGGCTTGTTTGAATAATTCTGCAGGCTGCCAGGGAACTGAAACCCACTGTTGAGAGATAAGCAGGAACTGTATCTGGTCTCCTTGATAAGCAGAGCTGTTTAGTGGGGACCTTATCTTCAGGAGCAGAGGAGGGAGATAAATATGCAGTTATGCCTTTATAGCCCTTCCAGTTTCACCAGATGCCGAGATAGAACATGATACCAGGCTTTAACTATTAGTCCTTACATGACAACCTAGGAGTGAAACTGCCAAACTCCCCCACAGTGGCTGTATTATTTTACATTTCATTTGTTTTGTTTTGTGTGTTTTTTTTTATTTTTTTGAGATGGAGTCTAACGCTGTCGTCCAGGCTGGAGTGCAGTGGCCTGATCTCGACTCACTGCAACCTCCACCTCCTGAGTTCAAGTGATTCTCCTGCCTCAGCCTCCCAAATAGCTGGGACTACAGGCAAGGGCCACCATGCCCGGCTAACTTTTGTATTTTTTGTAGAGATGCGGTTTCACCATGTTGGCCAGGCTGGTCTCGAACTTCTGATCTCAGGTGATCTGCCCACCTCAGCCTCCAAAAGTGTTGGGATTACGGGCATGAGCCACTGCACCTGGCCTTTTGTGTATTTTTTAACTTTTAAGTTCAGGGGTACAAGTGCAGGTTTGTTACATAGGTAAACTTGTGTCATGGGGGTTTGTTGTTCTGATTATTTCATCACCCAAGCATTAAGCCTAGTACCCACTGGTTATTTTTCCTGACCCTCTTCCTCTTCCCACCCTCCACCCTCCAAAAGGCCCCAGTGTGTGTTGTTTCCCTGTATGTGTTCATGTGTTTTCATCATTTAGCTCCCACTTATAAGTGATAACATGTGGTATTTGGTTTTTTTTTTTCTGCATTCATTTGCTAAGGATAATGGCCTCCAGCTCCATCCATGTCCATGCAAAGGACATGATCTTGTTCTTTTTTATGACTGGATAGTATTTCATGGTATATATGTACCACATTTTCTTTATCCAGTCTATCATTGATGGACATTTAGGTTGAATCCATGTCTTTGCTATTGTGAATAGTGCTGCAATGAACATACACATGCATGTCTTTATAATAGAATATATATTATTCTATATTCCTTTGGGTATATACTTAGTAATGGGATTGCTGGATCAAATGGTTTATCTGTCTTTAGGTCTTTGAGGAATCTCCACACCGTCTTCCACAATGGCTGAACTAATTTACACTCCCACCAACAGTGTATAAGCATTCCTTTCTCTCTACAACCTCACCAGCATTTGTTATTTTTTGACTCTTTAATAGTAGCCATTCTGACTAGTGTTAGATGGTGTCTCATTGTGGTTTTAATTTGCATTTCTCTAACGATCAGTGATGTTGAACTTTTTTTCATATGATTGTTGGCTGCATGTATGTCTTCTTTTTTTGTTTGTTTGTTTTTGAGACGAAGTCTTGTTCTGTCACCCAGGCTGCAGTGCAGTGGTGCTATCTTGGCTCACTGCAACCTCCACCTCCTGGGTTCAAGTGATTCTCCTGCCTCAGCCTCCCAAGTAGCTGGGACTACAGGCACATGCCACCACACCTGGCTAATTTTGTATTTTTAGTAGAGATGGGGTTTTGCCATGTTGGACAGGCTGGTCTCGAACTCCTGACCTCAGGTGATTCACCTGCTTCAGCCTCCCCAAGTGCTGGGCGCATGCACTTTGCCCACTTTTTATGGGGTTGTTTTTTTCTTGTAAATTTGTTTAAGTTTCTTATAGATCTGGATATTTGACCTTTGTCAGATGCATAGTTTGCAAAAATTTTCTCCCATTCTGTTTGCTGTTTACTCTGTTGATAGTTTCTTTTGCTGTGCAGAAGCTTGTTAGTTTAATTAGATTCCATTTGTCAATTTTTGCTTTTGCTGCGATTGCTTTTGGCATCTTTGTCATGAAATATTTGCCTGTGCCTATGTTTTGAATGGTATTGCCTAGGTTGTCTTTCGAAGTGTTTATAGTTTTGAGTTTGATGTTTCAGTTAAAGGTGCTATATTCACTCACACCTTTCCTTCCTCTCCGTGAGAGTCATGCACCGTAGCTGCTTCTAATCAGCCATCTTGGCTATGGGTGAAGTAAAACAATCACCATTTTACATTTCTACCAGTAATGTACAAGAGTTCCTATTTCTCTACATTCTGCACCAACACTATTTCTTGTCATTCTTATTATTATTGCATTTGAGCCGTTGTGAAGTGATATCTCATTGTGGGTTTTTACCTACCCATTGCATTACCCTAATGACTAATGATGTTAAGCACCTTTTCATGCACTTATTGGTCATTTTAAAATCTTCTTTGAAGAAATGTATACTCATTCTTCCCCATTTTTTAAAACTGAGTTGTTTGTCTTTGTGTTACTGAGTTGTAAAATTTATTTATATATTATGGATCCTAAACCCTTTACAGATATATGATTTCCAAGTATTTTCTCCCATTCTGCAGGTTGTCTCACTTATTTTTAAAATTGTTCTTTGGTACACAAAAGCTTTAATTTTGATGAAGTCAAATGAACAAGAGATAAAATATGTGTTCAAACATTTATTTAGGCCCCAGTGTTATCATATTGGTGGCTAAGTTATCATTGCTATTCTTTGATTTAACACAGGCTTTTTTCCATTTTTAAGTGAGAGGGTCACTAAGCTCTGTTACCATTCAGGCACCATAATAAGATTATAGATTCTTAGTAGAGGATTTAAATCTAAAAACCTTTACATATAAGTTGCCGCAAAAACATCTTCCCAGTTACATGAGAAATGTTATTACTTGATTAAAACAGAAATTGGTATTCAAGAGCTTGATATAATTAGACCTATTGAACAACTTAATGAAAGTACCAAATGACTCTTAAGTTTCATCTTGGGGTCCTGAAGACATATACAACAACTATCCTCAGGGCTAGTTAAATTCATTCTTTACCTTTTTCATTCTTCTTGCTGATCTAGTTGTAAACCCTAATGTGCCCATCTAGTCTTTGCCATAAAAAATAAGACAGAGAAAATATGAAATACAGGAATTAATGGAACTCCAGGTTGATCCTGATATCAACAGTATATTAAAAGAATTATTAATACATGAATAATGATCTATTTGTCTAAGGATAGCAGGCATCTCCTAATATTTGCAGAGATAAATTATTGTTCTACTAAACAATACAGAATGTGGAATGAAAAGCATCCAGCTCTAGTCAGAACTTAGTGCTTAAGAAAGTGCCCCTTCAGCTCGTTTTCAGAATTTTATTGGAAAATAGGTGGTTGAAGATCCAATGAACACGTATGATGACACATTTTAAAACAGAAACCAGTATCATCATTAAACAGACATTCCAGGATGACATTTAATGTTCTCTCCAAACACAAGTACCTTGGATGGATAAATGAAATTGCAGGGTGTGATGAAGATCTATCATCTCGCTCAACAGCACATGAAATATGCATGAGTCATCGCCTTGGTAATGTTCTTGAGATAAATATTAGCAGATATCTAAAAATAACCTTCACTTTTAAAACCTGAGGGTACAAAATAAATTTTAAGTAGATTCATCAATTACATTACAGTTAAATTTTTACAGAATTCAAAGAAGCATTCAAAGTTTTTAAAAGGAACAAATTTAGGTAAAAGTGAACAGAAAGGCATATTTGTTTTTAAAATTAGATGATCTGTTATATGAAAAAGATACTTGCACACTCATGTTTATAGCCGCACAATTCGCAATTACAAAATCACGGAACAAACCCAAATGCCCATCAATCAACGAGTGGATAAAGAAACTGTTATATATATATATAATGGAATACTACTCAGCCATAAGAAGGAATGAATTAACACTATTCACAGTGACTTGGATGAGATTGGAAACTATTATTCTAAGTGAACTAACTTAGGAATGGCAAACCAAACATTGTATGTTCTCACTTATATGTGGGAACTGAGCTATGAGGACGCAAAGGCATAAGAAAGATACAGTGGACTCTGGGGACTCAGGGAAGAGTGGGAAAGGGGCAAGGGATAAAAGACTGTAAATATAGTGCAGTGTATACTGCTCAGGTGATGGGTGCACCAAAATCTCACGAATCACCACTGAAGAACTTACTCATGTAACCAAGCACCTCCTGTACCCCAATAACCAATGGAAAAAAAAGTCAGAGAAAGAGAAATGGGGTTATAGAACAAGAGGAATGTAAACAAATGAATCTACTTACAGAAAAACAAAAGGCTAAAGCCCACAGTAAGAATCATCTTTTCTTCAAATCAGGGCAGAGGATATACAACAAAATAGGGCTCCTGAGATCTCAGGACTATCTTAAGGCTCTGATGAAAGAAGATGGGAGGGAAACAAGGGGAGACTGGCAGCCCTGCCACTCACGTGATTAACTTAGCCATGACTCCCTGAGGCAAATGTCCTCAGCCAAGGAAACTGCTATTGCTATCATGCTTTTGGTTCACAACCCACCTTGAACTAATACATTTGACAATGAAAATGAATTACTTTAAAAAAAAAAAGAAGAAGAAGAAGGAAAGGAGAGAGGAGAGGAAGGGAAGGAGGAAAGAAAACTGCAAGCCTAATGATGGCATTCTTGGATATCCAATTGCTACAAAAGTAGTTCACCCTCCATTTCTATATCCGCTGGTCACAGATTGGTGTACTAGTCCATTAATCACATGTCATTCTTTGAGTGGCACTGTCTCACAGCACCTAGCACAGCTCCACGTACTTTGTTCTATTCAATAAATGGAATAAATGAAAATAAATAAATAAAAATAGATGATCTGGCCAGGCACAGTGGCCCATGCCTGTAATCCCAGCACTTTGGGAGGCCGAAATAGGAGGATCAGTTGAGCCCAGGAGTCAAGACCAACCTGGGCAACATGGCATAAATCTACCTCTACAAAAAATACAAAGATTAGTCAGTTGTGATAGTGTGAGCATGTAGTCCCAGCTACTCAGAGACTGAGAAGTGGGAGGATTGCTTGAGCCCACTGAGCACTGTTGAGATGTTGAGGCTGCAGTGAGCCATAGGCATGCCTCTGCACTCCAGCCCAGGCAACAGAGCAAGACCTGTCTCAAAGAAAAAAAAAAAATAGATGATCTATTAAACTTGGCACACTGTGTAGGAAAGCAGGAACCCCTAGTAAGTTTTAATTTAATCTAAATCTATTGCTTCTATGATACAACATAATTATTCAAATACCATTATTTAAAAAGCAATTAAATCATTTATTGTATAATTGGGCTTATTCTTTGTTTAAATTTTGTATTTTCCCTGAATATCTTACTATTTCTATCTTCCTAAAAGTCATGGTTTCCTATGAAACGAGACAATGCCAGATTCATAGTATTGTAGTATTAGACAAAAAAAACCATAAAGATATGAAAAATTCATAAAGATATTGGCCCTTAAGAAGTCAATATAAATAATATCCACAATTAGACTGAAAGGATTTAAAAAGATAGTTCATGGTTGATGAAATGCTTTAATAAGCACATTCACTGAAATATTTTATTTTCTATATAATATTGGGTCCTAGATTTCCTTTGGCCAGTTGACGAATTTTATCTCATTCTAATGTAAACCATAATGTGTTTTTTTGTGCTTTCTTCCCAGAAGGTATGCAAATTCTAAAGTATTAGGAAAAAATAGGTAAATAATAATAAAAGTTCTCATGATACCACTACTAGATACAGGCTTAGTTTCATGTTTGTATAGCACCTCTAAATGTTCTCTTTGTCTAACAAAAGGATTCTTGATTTCTGAGATAAATTCTTACAATTTTTTTACATGTTAAAAAAAAGAAGAAGAAAACCAAAGGAGAGCCTGATTAAAGAAAAAAAGGCCTACACCTAAATTGGGCTTCAGAATTTGACAAGTATAGAGGTATACTCAGATAATTCTATATGAGGATCATACATGAATCCTCAAAACTACAGTTTTCTCCCTCCAACCCTCGAGAAGCTTAGTATAAACCCAGGGAAAGAGTAAACTCAATGAAAGATGCTATTATTTTTGTAGAAGAATATGTAGATAGATGATTAGATAGATAGATAGATAGATAGATAGATAGATAGATAGATAAAGTCCCTTCACTTTTCTCTGGTGGAAAATGGACTGAACTTCTACAATTTCAATAATTACATGGAATTTAAAACTACTAGATGAGTGATTTTGCTGTAAATAGAGAAATAAAAACGATACTCTCTGCAGAACTGTCAACATATTCAGAGCAAGTTCTGTGTTCAATTTAACTTAGCATCCCATGGAGCAGGGTTCAGCAAACTACAGCCCACAAGCCAAATCTAGCCCACTACCTATTTTGGTAAAAAAAAAAATTTATTAGAATACATGTGGCCATGCTTATTTGTTTACGTACTGCACATGTCTGCTTTCATGGAACAAGGGCAGAGCTGAGTAGTTGCAACAGAAACTTTATGATCTACAAAGCCTAAAATGCATACAGTTACATTGCACAATGATATTTTGGTCAAGAAGAGACCACATACATGACTGTGTTCCCATGAGATTATAATGGAGCTTCTCTATACACGTGTACCCTGTTTATCTTTTCTATGTTTACATATGTTTTGATACACAGATACCAATGTGATACAGTTGCCTGCAGTATCCAGCACAGTAACATGCTGTTCAGGTTTGTATCCTAGAAGCAACAGGCTATTCCATATAGCCTAGGTGTAAAATGGGCTATGCCATCTAGGTTTGTGTAAGTACACTCTATGAAGTTTGCACAATGATGAAATCACCTAGCAATGCATTTCTCAGAACATATTCCGATTAGTAAGCAACTCATGACTATATTATGGAGACTTTTACAGAACAAGTTTGCCAATCCCTATCCTAGAGCTCAATATGCTTAAGAGGTTTAATTCATTGACTGACAGGCAAGGAACTATTATCTATATTACATGTCGATTTCCTATGTTCTGAAAAAATATATTTGTAAAAATCAGATTAGCCTTGCTTTACAAGGACCTTCTCTGAGGCAGCTGATTTCTGGGCTGCCCAAACAACCCAACCAAGAAAAATAGCAATTGCTCTTGTCTGAGATTTGATGCCACCATCAGTTGTAGGGTACAGAAACATACAAAAAGTCTTGCCATACATTGGTTACAGAACACCCACTTTCCAGAGACTCCGCATTAGAAAGCACATACCAATCATCAACTGTCAGTGCTTTAATTTTGACATGAAGTGAATCAAGAGTACAGTATATGTCAAAGTCTGAAAGATCCAACAAGAACACATCAGTACATTTCTGTCTTAGGAAACAGTTCAGAATCATCTTCCTAGAGAGAAAAAATATATATATATATGAGATCTAAGAGAAATCTTAGAAACAGAAGCAAGGCAGCAAAGTCAGGAGACCAGAGCCTGAGTAGCAGGAAACTGAGCAACAAGGAAGCCAACAGGGGAAAAGTTGCTCTGGGCCCAATTCCTCTAGCAAAAGTCCTTTGTAAGTACTAAAACTCACAACAGCAGGTAGGGAAGCTTAATCTGGGACTCCTGCTCTAAGCCAGAATAATCAAGGGGCTGAAGTAGTTCCTAAGACGAAGGACATTTTCTAGCCATAGGCAGAAGGAAAATCAAACTCACTGGAGGAAATGGTCATGCTTAAAGCATGAAAACAGAAAAATGTAAAAATAAACCAATAGAAAAAGACAGCATACATACTAACCAGAGGAAAATGTGTATTAATATAGCTTCATTAGACATAATGGAAAATGGGAAGGGGCAAGTTCTAACTTACCTAAGAATGCCAACTAATAGAAGGAACGATTGAATGGGGGCAAAGGTGGGGCAGAAATCAATATTTGCAGCCACCACATTAATAATTACTTGGAACAAAAATCAGTGGATGCTAAAACTAGTAAAAATTTGACAAGAAACAGGAATTTTTTGGTTTCAATAGCTTTGGGGGTACAAGTGATTTTTTTGTTAGATAGATGAATTAGATAGTGGTGAATTCTGAGATTTTAGTGCACCCAGGACCAAGTAGTGTACATTGTACCTAACATGTCATGTTTTATTCCTAGCACCCCTCCCAACTTCCCCCTCTTCTGAGTCTCTAAAGTCCATTATATCACTCTGCATGTCTTTGTGTACTAATAGCTTGGCTCCCACTTATAAGTGAGAACAGAGGGTTTTTAGTTTGTCACTCATGTGTTACTTCACTTAGAATAATTGCCTCCAGCTCCATCCAAGTTCCTGCAAAAGACATTATGCCATTCCTTTTAATGACCAAGTTGTATTCCATGGTATATATATGGACCACATTTTTTTTTACCACTCATTTGTCAGTGGGCACTTAGGTTGGTTCCACATCTTTGCAATTGTGAATTGTGTGGCTATAAGCATACATGTCTTCTTCATATAATGACTTATTTTCCTTTGGGTAGATACCAAGTAGTAAGATTGGTAGATCAAATAGATTTACTTTTAGCTCTTTAAGGAATCTCCATATTGAAGAAATAGGATATTTAAGCATCCTCCCAACAAAATACTATTTTTTGCCTCTGATAAATAACTTTATAATAAATAACAAATAACTTTACAACATGACAGGTACCACCTTAACCAAATGCTTTTATAGTAGGTCTTGATATCTAGTGCTCCATTTTAAATATTGATTCATGTTATACCATTGATTCCATTCCATTGATTCATATTATACCAAATATAACATGAATCAGTGAAATGTTAAAAATATTTTTTCTCTTAGCTATTGATTCAAATTAAAGTAAGAAATTACTTGGCTGACCAATCAATCCTTTGGAACTAATCAGGCTGATGAATTTTTGCATTCTGACGAGTTAGGAAGTTTGACTTCTTTTTAAATTATAAAGATGGAAGCATGATTTTGGAAACTTGTCCAAATAGTGGTTGTCAGCTAAAAAAAAAAAAAAAAAAAAAAAAAAACTGTGCCACTGCACTCTAGCCTGGCGACAGAATGAGACTCCATCTCAAAAAAAAAAAAAAAAATGCAGTTCATTTCTTCGACACGCACATTGAGCCTGTCAACAAAAACCATCTCTTTGAGCAAATGTCTGAAATGTATGATTTATACTGCTTGGTTCTCCACACCCAGAAAAATCACAGCAACAAGGAGATGAGCTAAAGCTAACTCCAAGAGAGCCTTCATGATACCAGATCCAAAGCAACAACCTCTCAGGATGCAGACCACAAAATGAAGCCCACCCGCTGCCTCGTGTGACTTTATAGCTCGCAATGAATTCAGGCGCTGTATATGCACACCTTCTAATGCTTTACCATGTACTCAGCCCAATTTTCTAAAAATCCTAGCCTTTCCTGATTACCTGGGCTCTAAAGTTCAAGAGAGTAGGTAAAGTAAGCATGAAAACTGTGCTCAGCGATCTGTCTCTTTTTCAGGTCTATGGTAGTGACAGAAAAGTAAATGTGTATAATTTCATGCCATGTTTTTTTTTTTTAATTTTAGGATCTGTTATTGTGGAGGTAATTTGAGCAATACGAGGTTACCCCACCTGACTTACTGATGTGCCTCAACCTTCTACCCACCTTTTTTTATATTCAGCATTTCAGCAATCCATCTTATCCCTCCACCTGTACACTAGTTTGGATTTTTTTGCAATTTGATAATTTATCATAAATAGCTGTAGTGATTATTATAAATGTTTGGGACTTTTTACTATCATATGATAGTAATGCAGGCAGTTTTTATTTAAGGACACAACTCTGAAGCCAAAATTTCTTAATCATTTCTTAAACATCTGGATCTCTTTAAAAAGTATTCAGAAATTCATGGTAATCTATAAAAAAAAAACTATTACCATGTGCAGGTACTTATCTTATACACTAGTTTCTGTCTCCACTTTCCCCTACAATGACCCCATTTCTATTTTTCTCTTTACAGCCGTACTCCTAGAAAAAGCCACCTGTACTCATACCTTTGGGTTTCTTTCTTCTCATACTTCCTTAAAGCTGACTCAACCAATTTTCACCCATACCTCTCCACCAAAACTGTCTTTTATCAAAGTCATCAATGCCCCTCACATTGCTGGATCTAATGGACAACGCTTAGTTCTCATCCCACTTAACTTTTCAGCAACAGAAGATACAGCTGACAACTCCACCTGCACGGCTCCCAGGACCCCACTCTGCCCTGGTTTTACTTCCAATTGACCTTACTGTCTTCTCTTTGGCTCATTCAAAGGCTCTGCCTTCTCTCAGCAACCTCTTAACATTGGATATGCCAAGACCCAAACCTTGGACTGATTGTCTTCATTTTCCTTACTTCTTTGCTTTGAACTCATGCAATCTTACTGGCTTTAAGTATTAGTATGTACTGATGAATCCTAATGTTCTACATCCAGTCTGGACCTTCTCCCTCTGAACTCTAGACCTCTATATTCAACTACTCACTTGCTCTCTCCTCTTGGAGATCTAAGCAGCATCTTAAACATGGCATTTTCAAAATAAGGTTTCCGAACCAACATCTTCCACATTTTTATCCAAGACAGTAGCATCTCCCACTTTGTAGTAGCTCATAAATCCTAAACTCTCCAGATTCCTCTAACATATTTCATATCTAGCTGTCTGCAAATCTTTAGATCAATTGACCTGAACTCTTCCTATGAAATCCATGCTACATCTAAACCAGG
Source organism: Homo sapiens (assembly GCF_000001405.40). Taxonomy (NCBI): domain Eukaryota; kingdom Metazoa; phylum Chordata; class Mammalia; order Primates; family Hominidae; genus Homo; species Homo sapiens. The sequence continues at coordinate 59,950,052 of NC_000011.10, read as the reverse complement.
GTTCTCATCCTCAGTGCTATTGACTCTGGGCCCGGAAATCTCTTTGTCATCAGTGGCTGTCTTAGGCACTGTAGATGTTCAGCAGCATCCCTGGGTCTATACAGATGCCAGTAGGACACTAACACCATCACTGTAATGAACAAAGCTGCTTCCAGATACATCCCCCAGAGGGTAAAATTGCCCCTAGCTGAGGACCATTGGCCTTGTAGTCATCACTACCTAATCCTTCTCCCTACTTCAGTCGCTGCTTCCTCTTGGTATCCATTCTCCATCCAGCAGCCAGGGTGATCCTGATCATAAAAATCCAAGTCAGATCATGTCACTCCTCCATTTGGAGCTTTCCAGGGGGTGCCCATCTTATTTCAAACAAAAGCCAAGTGTGTCAATCAACTTTGAGACATTAGATGAGGTACTCCACTCATTGTTTTAGATGTTTCAGTTGTTGTTTTAAGACCTCACCTGTATGACTTTCCCTCTCCAATCATGCTGGCCTTGTTCTGCAAACACTCAGTGACTTTACATCAGCTGTTCCCATATTCTTTTTTTTTTAATTTTATTATTATTATACTTTAAGTTTTAGGGTACATGTGTGAACGGCCTTCCCTCCAGGATCTGCGGGGCTCATTTTCTCACTTCCTTGAGCTCTTTCCTCAATCATCACCTTTGACGGATGCCTTCCCTGATGCCATATTAAGGACCACAACCCTCACCCAAGTATTCCCTGTCTTCTTACTCTGCCTCTGTTCCCTAAGGTGCATTTACTCTTTCTTAAAATACCATAGAGTATGTTTTTTGTGTATACTCTGCCTCCTCCTACTAAAGTGTGAACTCCATGAGGGATTCTTTGTGGAATAAATGAATGATTAGGCACTGTTACCAGGACCAACCACAACTAAGCCTTAGCTAAGGGCATGAATCAGCAACTGAGAAGAGTTAGTAACTGTACCCTTAAAAACCTATTTCTAATGAGCATTGAAGCTTAAAATTACATACAAGTCAGTCTTGCAATAACTAGAAACAGATATATAGTAGTATAAACTTTATTCATAAATAAAACTTCATAAAGTTAAGAGCAGTGGCAGTTCCTATTTTAAAAAGGGAATAGTGGAAGGCAGCCTGCTTTTTATTTAAAATCACAATTTAGGTTTTTCAGATGGATAACAGTTGAGAGCATTAAATCCCCTTCCTGCTTCTCAGATTTTCACAAAATAGCACATTAAATCCTCAGTCCTAAGCAATCATGGCAGAGATTCCAAATTGCCTCTCAATATCAAAGGGGACAGAACAGTTTCTTCTCTTGCAATAAAGGTACTCATTTGATGAACGAGGGAGTGTAGCAGTCAGATTCTTACCAAAATGGAAGAAAGACAGTAAAATATACGTCCCAATGTAAACATTACTTCCCTACTTCTAAGAGCCTGTTATTCATAAGTAAAGCAAAGTATATGTATGGAAATGAAGGAGAAGGTGTAAGTGGGAGGTAAGGGAGGAGAAGAAAGAAAGTATATGTTCTATCCTTGAGACTAATCCTTAAGTGTTTAATGATTCAAGTGTGATGTGTGTATAAGTGAATAAGGATACTTTTGCCCTCTAAGCTATGAAGTACATCCCAAATGTTCTAGGTATCCTGTTTACTCTCTATTAAACACAGCTCCATCCTTTTATTAATAGCCAGATATTAATGTGTGTGGATTTTTCATAATATACCTTCATATGGGGCTCAAGAATGAAAAACTGTACTACCTTACAGTCATTTGGTACTTCCTGGGAAAAGCTGCAACACAGACTTATGACACTTCTGAGTTCACTTTCCCAGGGATCATCAACATATCTAAGCCACTTTGTAGGCTCAGTGTTAATACTCATTTATTACAATTCAGAACTTTATTGATATTGAAATTGATAGGTATTTTCTTTTTAAGTTAATTATAGTATTTCACATAATACCCAAAATGGATAGCTCTTAGTTATATGGGGTTCCCAGTTAGTAACAGATTATCAAGACCACCATGATCAATAAAATCTCCAACAAACATAGGAAATCATGAATTTGCATTCTTGAACCGGAAACATTTTAGGCACAATGCACCTTAACACAAATGTGTGCCATTTCCTTGACAATTGTATTGACTGGTATCTAGGACATACCTGGACAAAAATCATAAGATGCCAGTTTTGAAGGGTTCTTACCAAGATTGTGTTGCAGAAGTTACTGCCCATGTCTTCATTCGCAATGTGTATCCTCACCTCTATCTCCCATTCATTAACATTGTCAGTTTCCCCATCTCTCATTTCAACTGCATTTAAAAGATGATGCTGACTAAAATAAGAGAAGATAGAAAAATATCACATAGTGGTTAAGATCTACTCAGATCCTAGCATTTACAAGGCTGAACTTGGGGCCAAATTCCTGTTATTAGTAGATGTATTGATTTCTGCTTCCCGCCACCACTCCCCAACACACCCCACCCCAGAACATCACAGGCAGTATTTGTGGTGCTAAGAAGCAAAGACTTAAAAAACAGACTTCTGGGTTCACTTCTTGATTCCACCATCTACCAGCAAATGATGTTGACCAAGTAACTTAATTTCTCTGTTTCAATTTTCTCATCCTGAATTTGGCATAATAGTATCTACCACCATAGCTGGGTGCCTATAGTCCCAGCTACGTGGAGACTGAGGAGAGAGACTTCCTTGAACCCAGAAGTTCAAGATCGGCCTGAACAAAATAAGGAGGCTCAACCACTTAAAAATCAAAAAAAAAGAAGAAGAATATCTACCTCATTGAGTTAGCAGAAGGAAAAAATACATTCATACAAGCACAGTGTAGGCATATGGTAAGTGATTAATAAATGTTAGCTGCTATTATAATTATCTGTGGGAAGAGCTCTATGTAATATGGCTCTTCTGTAATTACTCAGGGAAAAAAAATTTCAGTTCAGGATTTTAACCAGAAAAACCTAATTGAAAAATTGTCCAAAGTCCTGCCAAATATATCACACTTTTGCTAAGACCTAATCAAAATGGTTATTAATTTTCTAAATTTTTTTATTTTTAGTTTTTGTGGGTACAGAGTAGATAGACAGATAGATAGATAGATAGATAGATAGATAGATAGATAGATAGATAGATAGATATGGTAGATGAGATATTTTGATACAGGCATATAATATGAAATAAGCACTTAGACTTTCTCAAGATGTCAATTAATAAAAAAAAAAAAAAAGACCCAATCTTAACCCACAAATCCTGTTTTAAGATGTCTCTCTCCCAACACTGTCAGCCCTGCATAGTACATGCTGATCTTGACAACCTGATGAGTTCAGTGTCTTTTAGACTTCATTATGCTTTCTCTATTGCCTTCAGGAAACTTGCATATGGGTTCAAGTTTAAATAACTGAAATAACTTGATTTGGTTGGTGAAAACCTATCAGGTTTTCAGGGACCCTGACACTTATATAGAAAAATAAGTCATCATTTCATTTTTCAATAATATTCCTAGTATTCCTATGTTCTAGGGGACAGTTGTAACAACTTTTGAAGAATACAAGACCAAGTGATATGGTTTGGAATCTGTGTCCCCACTCGAATCTCATGTTCATTGTAATCCCCAATATTGGAGATGGAACCTGGTGGGAGGTGATGGGGTCACGGAGGTGGACCCTTCACGAATGGTTTAGCACGGCAGTCCCCAAACGTTTTGGCACCAGGGGCCAATTTTGTGGAAGACAATTTTTGCACTGATAGGGGGTGATGGTTTGGGGATGCAACTGTTCCACCTCAGATCACCAGGCATTAGATTCTCATAAGGAGTGCGCAACCTAGATCCCTCACATGCGAAGTTCACAATAGGGTTCGTGCTCCTATGAGAATCCAATGCCACTACTAATCTGAGAGGAGGTACAGCTCAGGTGGTAATGCTGGCTTGCTGCTCACCTCCTTCTGTGCTGCCAGGTTCCTGACAGGCAAGGGACCACTGCATGTCCATGGCTCAGGGGTTATGGACCCCTAGTTTAGCACCATCCCTTTGGTGCTGGTCTCATGATACAGTTCTCGGGAGATGTGGTTTTTTAAAAGTGTGCAGCACCTCCCCCGACCACTTCCTCCTGCTCCAGCCACGTGAGTATGCCTGCTCCAGCTTTGCCTTCTGTTGCCTTCCGTTGCCTTCCGCCATGAGTAAAAACTCTGAGGTCTCCCCAGCCATGCTTCCTGCACAGCTTGCAGAACAATGAGCCAATTAAACTTCTTTTCTTATAAATTACCCAGTCTCTGACATTTTTTTTTTTTTTTTTTTTTTTTTTTGAGACAGAGTCTCGCTCTGTCACCCAGGCTGGAGTGCAATGGCACGATTTCAGCTCACTGCAAGCTCTGCCTCCTGGGTTCACGCCATTCTGCTGCCTCAAGCTCCCAAGTAGCTGGGACTACAGGCAACCCCCCACCATGCCCAGCTAATTTTTTTTTTTTTTGGTATTTTTAGTAGAGACAGGGTTTCACCGTGTTAGCCAGGATGGTCCCGATCTTCTGACCTCATGATCCTCCCACCTCGGCCTCCCAAAGTGCTGGGATTACAGGTGTGAGCCACCGTGCCCAGCCAGCATTTCTCTTTATAGCAATGCAACAGAGGACTAAGACACCAAGGATCAAGAGATCTGTGTTCCCATTAGGGTTTGGTGTCTCCCCAACTCCCATCACTGGTTGTACCATTTAACCTTTCAGGTTTGGCATTTTTGTCTGGACAGTAAATGAAGCCAGGGGCTAGGACAGGGGTTTGGCATTCCATACTCACTTGTGGACGACACACGACAGAGGCATTTCAGATCGGACAGTAGAGTCTCTTGAGATATACCTGATTTTAGTTTTAAGCAGAAGAACTTCCTGGAGAGGCTACAAGACAAAGAGAGGTTTTAAACCCATGTTTGTCTCAAGTATCTCAGGAAACTTACAGGCATTTAAATAGGAATTTATAGATACATCAAGCTTTCTAAAAATGGTCACACTCTCACTCAACTATAAATAGCATCTGTTCACAGGAAACAGGACCATTTTCCAAACTGACAGATGGGTTAAAATCTGGCACAGTGCTTGCACATAAAAGGCAAGCAATACTTGTTAGTTAAAAGAGAAAGGAGCTTTGTGATTCACATTCAAGAAAGCAATTGACACCTCTTTTTGAGACACACAGTTGTAGTGATACATTGCTTATTCAAAGCGAGCATGGGCTTTGAGATCATATGAATCACATTTGGAATCTTGGAGCTGCCTCTATTCATCATGAATCCTTGGAAACCGTGTTTAAACAATTAAGTCTGTTTTCTTATTTCTAAAAAAAGCAATAATTATGGTGGTAAAGAATAATAGTGATTAAGTTATCAGCATATAGTAAATACCTAACAGGAAGTATAGCTGTTTTCAGGGGGGTGGGGTGGAATGGAGTTAAGACAATTAATAGTAAAATATTTTTCTAAGAACATTTAGCATATGGTTCTCAATATAAGGCCCAATCTTTGACAGCATAGGAGGATATGATGATTCAGAGATACCCATATTCATTACATAATTTTAAATGTTCCCGTCTCAGATATATCCTGCTCTCATTGGATAATTTGAAAATATAAGCATAGATAAAATGAAATTAACATACTACCACCACCCAGATTATTCAGTTAACATTTGAATATTCCCTGCCCCCCCCCCGCAGTTTATATCAAGGTTGATAGTGCCCCCCTAATACCTGCTGTGGTGTATTAGACCTGTAATGTGCTTCCCAGATCCCCTAAGGGCTTGTTGACCCAGCTGCTAGGAATGCTGTTACCAGATAGCCTTCAGCCTTCAGCTCTCACCCCCTCCAGGAATTATGTAGCTGCTGAGGGCTGTCTTACCCCTGGCCACACCCCTCTCCCAGGGTGGCCCACTTCTGATCACCTACCCAGCAGGAATGTGAAGCCCTGTGCAGGGTCAGCCAAAGCTGTCTCTAAGCCTGCATCACAGCTCAGCTTTGCCCTTTGCCCAATCTTCTTTCTCCCAAAAACACTTCTTAATAAATATTCCGCACACTCAACTCTACCTCAAATTTTGCTTTTGCTTTCTGTGTTACCCAATCTGTGGAATTTATCTAAACCTGATCAAGTTCTATTACTTCTTTTAGCGTTTTATTTGGGATAATGAAAAAAATAAGTAATATCATAGCAAGATTTTACTAACTTTAAAAACTTTTTAAATTAAGTCAAAATTCCAGTTATACTTTTATCAGTGATATGCACAATGACTTAGTTAACCCAAAATATCTGGTGAGTAGGGGCTAGGGCTGGGAGATCACTGAATATTTACTTTGAAAAGGCTTCTGATGCTTGATTAGTGTTACTCCCTCATTCTGGTCGCAATTGACCAAACTTCATGAATTATAATAAATAATTAGTTAGAGAAACTGTTGAAAAACTTTCTGATGCATGGAAAATACTTTCTTCCTTCAAAACCTTCAACTCTCCCGCCTGCTCCATCACTAAATGAATAATTAGTGTTTGCAATTACCACCTAACAAGAGAAAAGCATTTAGCATCTCCTTTCTTAACTGCTTCTGTCCTAAATGTGATCATTAAAGAGTCTAGCCATATTACAAATAGACACTTAATGACTTCTAGTTTGTAGGTATGTTGAAGGAACCATAAGACACTTGGGTTTTTTTGTTGGTTTTTTTTTTATACTTTAAGTTTTAGGGTACGTGTGCACAACGTGCAGGTTTGTTACATATGTATACATGTGCCATGTTGGTGTGCTGCACCCATTAACTCGTCATTTAACATTAGTTATATCTCCTAATGCTATCCCTCTCCCCTCCCCCCACCCCACAACAGGCCCCATGAAGCTAGAAACCATCATTCTTAGCAAACTATCGCAAGGACAAAAAACCAAACACCACATGTTCTCACTCATAGGTGGGAATTGAGCAATGAGAACACATGGACACAGGAAGGGGAACATCACACACCTGGACACTTGGGTTTTAAGTAAGATAGCCATTTCTTACTTGAGTTACAATACCACAGTCATGAGGATGGTAGAAAAACTCATAGTAGACATTTGGCAAAACATGGGTTACATGGCAGCCATCTCCTAGAAACACTTCATCGGGGTTCACATACAAATTGTAAAATATCGTGGGTTTAATCCTGGCAAAGAACCAAAACTGGGTGCAGTGTACTTGAATAGCTGAAAAGCAGGAAAAAGAAATTTTGTTAGTATGCAATTACATAGATCAGCTCAAAAAAATTTAGCATACCCTGTTAATACAAATGAAGAGATCATCCCTTACTAAAACAAAATGTCTTAAGAGGTGAACAAGTTTGCAAAACATGGTCTCTGAATTATTACTTCATCCCCTAAAAATATCCACACATATACTCATTCTTCAAATACATTCTTTAGTGAATCTATATATAGGGGGGAAAAAATCAATACAAAATAAGATTTCATCTAACCCTCCAAAGTCACTTATTGTAGAGCTAGAATCACAAGACTATATCTATATTATAATGTTTATACTAAGTATAGAGCATTTTCTGTCTCCCTTGTTCAACTGAAGCTCTTTGACGCAAGCCCTTCCATTTCTATGGAAGCAAGCAGTTTCCATTTTTATACCCACAGTTTCATGATATATAAAGACTTGTCCACAAAACTCAAGCTAGCAAGCAGGCTTTTATAGAAATTGAGTAAAAACAGTGCTATCCTTTCCCTTCTATCTTGAAATATCTGGACATTAAGTTTTTTTACTCTGGAAATGGAAATAATTTTCTGATACAATCTGCTGCTTGAATTAGGTCCCAGGGAAAGAGAATTAGATCAAACTAGAAATTATGAGACTGGGTAGGCATGAGTTTTTTTGTTTTTGATTTTTTAAGAGTAAGTTTGGCTATTCTTCTAGACTTCACTAAAGGAAAATTTTATCAGTTGCTCTTAAGATACTAGAAGGAGCCTGAGTTCTCAGGAGATACTGAAAACTCAGCGGAGAAACCAAAGGAATATAAATCTGCAATCCTTTCACAGAAGGGGCTATACATATTGCAAATAACTATATGAAAAGATGTTTAATATCATCAGCCATTATGGAAATCCAAATTCAAATCACGATATTACTACACACCTATCACAATGGCTAAGATGAATAATAGTGAAGACACCAAACGCTGGTGAGGATGCCGAGAAACTGGGTCACTCATACATTGCTGGGACAATGTGAAATGTATCAACCACACTAGAAAACAGTTTGTCAATTTCTTTAAAAACTAAACATACAACAACCATATGACTCAACAATTAAACTCTTCGGCATTTATCCCAGGGAAATAAAAATGTATGTTCACATAAAATGTACATAAATGGGCTGGGCGAGGTGGCTCACTCCTGTAATCCCAGCACTTTAGGAGGGCGAGCCGGGTGGATCACGAGGTCAGGAGTTCAAGACCAGTCTGATCAACATGGTAAAACCCCATCTCTACAAAAAATACAAAAATTAGCCAGGCATGGTGGCACGTGCCTGTAATCCCAGCTACTCAGGAGGCTGAGGCAGGAGAATCATGTGAACCTGGGAGGCAGAGGTTGCAGTGAGCCGAGATGGTGCCACTGCACTCCAGCCTGGGCGACAAAGCTAGACTCTGTCTCAAAAAAAAAAAAAGTACATAAATGCTAACAATAGCTTCATTTATAATAGTCAAAAACTGAAGACAGCCCAGATGTCTTTTGGTGGGTGAATGGTTAAACAAACCATGGTACAATCATGCCATGGAATTCCACTCAGCAATAAAAAGAATCAAGTGTTGATACACGCAACATCTTGGATGAATCTTCAAGGAATTACACTGAGTGAAAAAAAACGCCAATTCCAAAAGGTTACAAACTCTGAGCCCATTTATATAACACCCTTGAAATGACAAAATTGTAGAAATGGAGAACAGATCTGTGCTTGACAAAAATTAAGGAAAACGGAGACAGAAGGTTTGGCATTAGTGGTTCAGGAGGAAAGTAGAAGTGGCTCTAAAAGTGGCATCCTGATTACAATAGAAATGTCTGTCCTTTGGCTACATCAATATTAATATCCCAATGTAATACTGTATTATATTTCTGCAAGATGTTACCATTGTGTGAAGCTGAATAAATAGTATAATTGATCTCTGTATTATTTCTTACACTGCATGTGAATCTACAATTACCTAAAAATAAGACGTTCCTTAAATGTAAAACCAGTTATTCATATCCACATTAGCAAAAAGTAAGACATCTGTGAGCACCAATTAGAATTAAAGAACAATTGAGCAAGAGAGTTACTTTTCAGATCTGTACCTGTGGCCTCACAGTCCCATTCCTAGATATGCACACACAAAAAGAAACCACTCAAATACAAACATTATTTGTAACGGCCCCACACTAGAAAAATTCTATCAATGTGAGAACAGAAACAATTTGCAATGCATTTATTCACTGGACTGCTAAATAGTAATTAAAATATACCAAAGCTACAAATGTAAATCTCCAAGTGATGGACAACAAAAAAGCTGTAGAATTAAATAGAAATAGAAGATAAATGCCTGCGAAACATATTTACAGATCCACAAATTTGACGTAAAATTGTAAAACACACAGGAAAATGAATAATTACCAAACTCACATATGGGCAAAGAGGGAAGAGAATAGGATCAGGAATGACCACAGGGACTTCAACTCTACCTGAACTTTTACTTCTATTAGAAAATAAAATGTAAGCAAATGTAGCAAATTATGGATTTAATAAAGCTGAAGAGCAGGTCAGTGAATATTGATATTATTCCTTATAGTTACCTGCTTTTTTAAACTTAGTTATCCATTTTAAATAGTTCCTAATAAAAGAAAGCATAATGAATACACTAAGATTCTAACATGTACCCATGTCAGGTCTAGGTTGTCTTGTTGAACGGGTAGCTTGACAAGTATACACAACCTTTCACTGCAATTCCGAAATCTTAACCTTAGAAATTGACAGCCCAGGCAGGAAGCAGTGGCTCACGCCTTTAATCCTAAAGCTTTGGGAAGCCAAGGTGGGAGGATTCCTTGAGGTCAAGAGTTGGAGACTAGCCTGGGCAACATAGCAAGTCTCTACAAAAAATTTTTTTTTAATTAGCAGTTCACAGCTGCAGTGAGCTACGATGGCACCACTGCACTCCAGCCTGAGTGACAAAGAAAGAAAGAAAACAAAAGAAAGAGAAAGAAGAGAAAGAGAAGAGAAAGAGAAAAAGAAAAGAAAGAGAAAGATGAGAAAGAGAAGGGGAAAGAAGAGAAAAAGAAAAAAGAGAAAAAGAAGAGAAAGAGAAAGAGGAAGGGAAGAGCAAGGGACGAGGAAGAGGGAACAGGAAGAGAAGAGGAAGAGAAAGAAGAGGAAGAGAAAGGGAAGAGTAATAGAAAGGGAAGAGGAAGAGAAAGGGAAGAAAAAAAAGAAAAAGAGAGAAGGAGAGAAAGAAAAGAAAACAGAAAAAAGCATTCAGCACAGTGGCTCATACCTGTTATACCAGCACTTTGGGAGACCGAGGTGGGCAGATCACTTGAGGCCAGGAGTTTGAGACCAGCCTGGCCAATATGGTAAAACCCCGTCTCTACTAAAAATACAAAAATTAGCTGGATGTGGTGGTGCACATCTGCAGTGCCAGCTACTTGGGAGGCTGAGGCACAAGAATCACATGAACCCGGGAGGCAGAGGCTGTAGTGAGCCCAGATCATACCACTGCACTCCAGCCTCGGTGACAGCGAGACTCTTGTCCCAAAAAAAAAAGAAAGGAAGAAAAGAAGGAAAGGAGGAAGGAAGGGAAAGAAAAGAAAGAGGGAGGGAGGAGGGAACGAGGGAGAAAGAGAAAGAAAGGAAGAAAGAAGGGAGGAGAGAAAGAAAGGAAAAGAGAAAGAGAAGCAGAAATAGAGGAAGAGAAACTGACAGCCCAAGTTTATACTCAGGGCTACCAATCATTCTGGTTTGCTCCGAACAGGAGGTTTTTGGGGCCGACGCAGGAAAAGTACTGGGAAAACCTGGACCACTGCTCACCTCACTTAGGGGGCACTGACTGCTCCCTCTGAAATGAAAAGGATCTATGAAGTATAAGGTAAAGAAAGGCTAAGCCTTATAAGGCTTTCTTCCTGTATGTGACACACCACAGAGTCCCAAGTTCCTACCACCACCCACTCCTCTGTTTTCCAGGCCACTCCACACTCTTTATATTAAACCCACTTCAAGTACTTGATCCCCAAGAATTGATATGGTCAGAATAAGATCAAAAGGAAAGGGGAGTTGGAGAAAGACAGTCTCAGGTTAGGGCACATTCCCTAGTCTCAGTGCCGGTATGCAAGAGAAAAACATGGTATCTCAAGATTGCACATCGAAAAGAGGCACCACCCCTCCATGTGTCCTTGGCTATTATTAAGATTCAACCAGACCACAACTGTAAAGAATCCAAAGCCACATCTTTCAGCTCTCTTTAAGAAACTTCTATTCCCCAAGTGATAAGTTATACCTGACCAGTCCCCAGCGCAGGTCCATATCAAGGAATGCAGATAAAAGAGCCCTTTGAACCCCAGAATGGTCTTCATTTGCCCAGATTGAAAACCAAACCTCACTCAGGAAACAGGAAGTTGGGGAGAATAGCCTTATATGCCAAAATGCCTGAAGCCACACATAGGTGTGGGTAATTAATTACAACTTTGGACAGCACACACGTGCCATAAATATAATTTTGTTTCATTTTCTAAGATGTTACACTTTTTACTCAAATGTCAAAAAACAAGAGCAAAGATAAAGCAAAATGTGCAATAGAAGTACAACAGAAGGCTTCACTTGTTTTAGAGTCCAAAGCATCAGATATAGTTATTTTTATGCACTAAGGTTTACTTTATTAAAACTTCCTAATATCCTATAACATCTGTCTCCACATCTGAACACGAAAGAAATAACTGGATGATAATTTACTTGTTCTGTGCATCTCAGAAGGCCAAGCCCTGAGAACATGGGAATTGAAAGATTTCATCTACTTTCACCTGTTTTCACCAACTAAACAGTGGTACTCAAACTTAATAGATATCAGAATCACCGGGAGAGCTTATTGAAGCACAGCTGAGTGTCATTTAGTTTTCTGATTCACTAAGACTGGGCTGGGACCTGAGAATTGATGTTTCTCACAAGTTCCCAGGCGATGCTCATACTGACCACCCAGGGACCACACTTTGAGAATCCCTGGTCTACAGGGTTTTGCCTTCAGAGTGCATGCTGTGTTGATGCCCATTAGCAGCGATGTTTGCTTCTCAAACTTTAAGGAGCATATACATCACTTGAGGCTCTCTTTACAATGCAGATTCTAATTCGGAATGTCTGGGGTGAAGGCTAAGATTCTGCATTTTAAGATTGCAGGGATGTTGCTCTGGAGACTACGTTGTGAGTAGCAATGCCTGTAAATGGTTACTCACATTTAGATTCCTTTCTTCAAAACAGAAGATGCCAACTTAAAAATGAGAAATTCAAAATCTCATTACCAAAACAAGCCTAAATGAATGTTTGGTTCAAATATATTCTGATTTTTTTCGCTAATAACCAGTTATTAGAGTTTAGCAACTGTGTCCTACGTTAATAGAACGTGGAAAGTAGGAGCTTACCAAAAACAAATAGAAAAGACTATATAAATGCATTTAACTATCCTTGATATTATCTGAATTTTATCATTAAATTTAGTCTGTTCTAAAAGTTCTAAAATGCCATTAAATGATGAGCTCTTCAAAGGTTGAGATCATTCCTCTGTATTTTTGTGTGTCCTAACTTTCACAAAATGGGTGCCCAATAAAAGATGGCAGGAGAAAGAAAAAAAATAGAATTAGTTAGCATTTGTTCCTTTTAAAAATTTTTGTTTGTTTTTGTTTTGTTTTTGTTTTTTTGAGATGGAGTTTAGCTCTTGTCACCCAGGCTAGAATGCAATGGCACGATCTCCGCTCCCCGCACTCTCTGCCTCCTGGGTTCTAGCGATTCTCCTGCTTAGACTCCCAAGCAGCTAGGATTACAGGCGCCCGCCACTATGGCCAGCTAATTTCTGTGTTTTTAGTAGAGATGTGGTTTCGCCAAGTTGGCCAGGCTGGTCTCGAACTCCTGACCTCAAGTGGTCTGCCTGCCTCGCCCTCCCAAAATGCTGGGATTACTGGTGTGAGCCACTGAGCATGGCCTCTTTTTAAGTTTTTGAAATGTTTACATTTCACTTGTGTTAAAGACACAAATATATTTTAATTTTAATAATTATGCTTTTTTAATTTAATGTGTATTGAGATTAAAGGTATATTAAAACATTTCAGATACATTGCTATCTAGATGGACAGTGCTAAGGTTCAGTCCAAATGAATGTCAAAACCTTGTCCACAGGTACCTAAGGATGCACAAGGCAATGTCTCTGACTTTCAGCCACCCAGTCTTAGCCTCGTGTATCTGACAATCTGCGAAACTACTATTGTTATCAAATCGTCAATAAACTAGTAAAGAATAGGTGGCTTGAATCTTAAAAATTACCTGGTTAAATCACTGGAAGAGCAATACTTTCAAGGTGAGGATGGAAGCATTGAAGAGGTGACAGGGTCTCTTCATAGAGACAGGGTTTTGCCATGTTGGCCAGAATGGTCTCAAACTCCTGACCTCAGGTGATCTGCCTGCCTCAGCCTCCCAAAGTGCTAAGATTATAGGCTTGAGCCACCAAGCCCAGACTGCCATGTGTATATCCTTTTAAGGAAGTATCTATTCAAATATTTTATTCATTTTTATTGAGTTATTTCTCATCTTATTGAGTTGTACCTCATGACTTTTGTTTTGTATGGAAATGTCTTTTCAGAAGAGTCTTGGCTAGCTATCTTGAGTAAAGACTCTCATTCAGAATCTGATTATTTCCTCACAATTAGACTCGAACCTTTTTGGCAAGAATAAATGAAGTTAAAAATGTTATAATCTTAAGAACATTTCTATAGCTTTTCCGTTGTTTTAGAGCTCTTTATATATTAGGGAGATTATCCTTTTATCCGCGATATAAGATGCAAATATTTTCCTCCTAGGCAGTCATTTGTCTTTTGATTTTGCTTGTGGTATTTTTGCCTCAAAGTTTGTTTAATTTTTGCTTCAGATTCTATTTGGTCACATTTTACTTATTCCTTCTGGAATCTGAGTCATAATTACAACAGACTCGCTTACACCTATTTAATATAATAATTAATAGAAGCAGGCTAAATACACATTGAGCATTTTACTTCGACTGGAGTATGACCAGTACAGGGCTGGTAATTCACTATTAACTGTGTCATTTGTTTGTCTCTATCCAGTGGGATCCCCAGACACCTAACTAATTCAAATTAACTCTCAGCTAAATGGCTAGCAACACTAAAATATGGCAGTTATGTCCCCATTTACACATGTATTCAGACAGAAAAAAATAAGAAAGAATCCTCTCACTAGCTAAGGTGTCCAATGGTCTGGCCTACAGAAGTGTCTCCCTGACTAAGAGAAACAGGATACTTCAGTCTCACTCTCAATAAATCTCTGGACCGGGGCTCAACCAGCCTTCCCTTTCAGAGGCTGAAGATACTGAGTAATTCTCCTATACGCATCTGCATTCTCTTTTCTTGCCTTGGGTTTAGAGAATTACACTTCTATCTTGCCAAATTTTCTTTTTTTTACAAAAAGAATTATTTCCCTTAGAAAATTTTTAGGATATGTGACTAGTTATAGCAGAGGGTCCCAAACATTCACCTAGTTCTCTTAATGATACAGTAACTTTTGTTGTTTGTTTGCTTTTTATGGCATCCTTTCATGAAAAGAAATACATAACAGCTTCATTTATTATGTTGTTACATCAAAATAACTTCAGTATTTTTGTGCTGACAACTTAGTAGCCATTTGAAAACACATACATTGGAAGAAAATATTTTTATTTTATTCTTTAACCACAATTATGAATAATATGTGTATAACTGTTTGACGCTGCACAGCATCTCAGCTCTTGAAATCAGATTGGGCATCACCATCTTCATTCCTTATTCCACATGGATTTTTCCCACAGTAACTGCTTTGGCTATTCATCACAGCAACCACTAGATCCCAAGTTGCACAAAGTTGTGGACTAATAGAAAAGAATGTAGTGCCACCAAAGTGGAACTGTGGACTACCTTGAGCTGGTAATTTGCATCATGTCTGACAGTTGTCAAGTATCACTCACTGTCTCCCCGAAATTTTTAAAATATCCCCTGGTATCCCTGTGTGTTCACTGCAGTGCCTCTGGGGGATCTTCAGCACAGAGAATACAAACTGTGCTGATAAGATTAGTGTTTTTATAGAGAAATGTGACCTATTAATGACCTCTTTAATGGAACAGTAAATTCTCACAAACAGGTATTTTAGAATATTAATGAAAATAACTAAATGTGGTACACTTTGTTTTCTATTCTCTTCTCACAATTTATCAATTCGATTATTCAAAGATATCTATTAAGCAAATGATATGTCAGGGGCATGTCTCAAATAAATGAAAATTTATTTTCACACAAAAGCCTGTACACCAATATTCCTAGCAGTTGTATTCATAGTCGCAAAATACTGGAAACAATCTAGATGCCCTTTTTTTAAATGAATGGCTAAACGAACCATAGTAATCTATACCATGGGATACTATTTAGCAAGAAAAAGAACAAATTATTGCTTCATTGGAACATTCTGCATGAATCTCCATGGAATTATGCTGAGTGAAAACAGCCAATCCCAAAAGGTAATATGCTATACTATTCCATTTATATAACATCCTTGAAATGAAAAAGTGGAAACAGAGAGTAAATTAGTGGTTACCAGGGTTTACGAGGGGATGGGGACAGGAGGGAAGTAGATGTAGCTCTTAAAAGGTCATATTATGGATCACTGTGGTGATGGAAATGTTCTGTGTCTTGACTGTATCAATGTCAATATCTTGGTTGTGATATTGTGTTTTAGTTTTGCAAGATGTTACCATTGGGGAAAATTGGGTGAAAAGTACATAGGATCTCTCTGTGTTGTTTCTTACAACTGTGTATGAATTTACAGTTACCTCTAAATGATTTTTAATGTAACAAAAAAGACCTAAAAACCAACCAATGACTATTTTAGTAAATTAACTGGAGAAGACCATTTTCAATGACATAAAAATCAAACCCATAAGGAAAAAACAACTCAGGGATGGGTCTGCCTTTATGAAAGGGATCTGTGCTACAAAAAAACTTGCTGAGCAAAAACAATAGGCAAAAAAATATTAAATTTAAATAAATAGTTATCATTTGCATCCTTCTGAGGAAAAATGTTTAAGAGGTTTGTTAACATTCAGTCATGACAGTTTTCTTAGAAAAGAAATAATGTCATTTACTTCCTATGATGAAGTAAATTGATAAATTTTCAGGGACAATTTAGCAATAAATACTGTTTTTAGTATGTTTATTCTTTATCACAATTCCTAATGTATTATTTTGTCCCATAGAAATACTGATATGAGATTGCAACAGTTTATCTTAAAAGATATCAATTACTGTATTCTTTGCAATATTAGCAAAATAGAATCAACTCAACAATCCATAATTTGGTATGAGTTAAATCAATTGTGGTATATGGATACAATGCACTGATATTCAGCAATTAAAAATAACAAAATAAATCTATATACCTACAGTATATATATAACATATATAACATATATGCCTATCACACATACCTATGGTATACATATATATACAGTACACATACACAGATATATACAAAGTTTTCTAAAGTATGTATACATATTTCTTAGCAAGAGCTATGTTGTTAATTTTATATATATTATGTATTACATATAATGTATTATATATAATATAGTGAATATTAATATATTAAATGTTAACATACAAGATATAATTAATATATAAATTAGTCTATATAACTTGTATATAAATTTTATATTAATTTTATATATATGCATACATACACTATGAAAACCTTTAGAAAAATTGAGCACAATGGCTATCACCAAGGAATGTATTAGATGAGACTTTAATTTTTTATGTTTAACATTTTTGTCTTGTTTGCATTTTATATTATTTCATGAATTTTCTTAAAGCCACCTGTCTTCAATAGTACTTCCCCTGCCCCCAACTTCTGACTGAAATATACTTAAAACTTAGGTACTGGATTTGCTTCACCTGATATAGCTTTTAAGTCATTTTCTAAAATTAAGGACATTTTCAGATCTACTTATCTGATGCTTTTTAACTATTTCTGAAATGAAAAAAGATAAACAACATAGTGTATAGGGTTATAGCTGGAAGCAGCATGCTTAAAATATAGTTTTATTGTAATTATTCATAGGCATCTTCCTTTCCTTTCTACAACAGCATCCTTTTAATTTACCTTTTAAATAACATTTTAAATTGTCCAAATAAGTCATTAAAAAACTCTCTTAATAGACTGTCTGGGAAATTTTGCCATATCCATTCTTTGACTATATTGTGGTACAATTGATGGTGGCAGCCACTCCAGTTCGCCTGCCATCATCCCGGCTGCAGCAAGGAGGCACAACTAGGGCTGTGTGCTCCACACAGCAGGCAGGAGCCCTGCCCTCCTGGGTGGGACTGCAACTGCCCAAACTGTGGCTGCAGCCTCAGGCATGCCTGCACTCTTGGGGCCTGGGAAAGGTCCCCCACTCTGCTCTCACAGGCTAGAAAGTGCCTGCCCCTGCCATCTGGCTTCTCCCTGCTGTCGGCACCTGCTCCAATCTCAGAGCAAAGTCAGGCCAAGCCCAGGCACCATGAACAGCAGGAGGCAGACAGAGTTCCAAGTGGAAGGGGGTGGGTTTCCAGTAAGGTCCCTCCTTCAGGCCAGGGAGGGCCTGAAGTTTGGGGACCAGGCTGCCAGTCCCACAGACCCAACAGGGAGCTGGTGCCTTTTCCAGTCCCACCCACGGCCACCCATGGGCCAACTGGCATGCACTTCCTCCCCTCTGAGGCCCATAAAAGCCCTGGGTTCAGCCAGAGTTGAACAGACACAGGATGACCAGCTGCAGAGAGGAGCTACCCTCTCTGCTGAGAGCTTCAGAGACCTACAGAGACAACCAAACAACCTGCCTGTGAAGAGGAGCTACCCTCTCCAGGACCTCCTCTCTGCTGAGAGCAGTAGCCATCCAGAGGACCAGCTGCAGAGAGAAGCTACCCTCCCTGCTGAAAGTGGAATGCTCCACAAGTGACCTGCCTGCCTACAGAGGGGAGCTACCTACTGTTGGTCTCCACTGAGCTGTTCTAACACTAAATAAAGTTCCTTGTGGTCTTCCTCACCCTTCACTTGTCTGTGCACCTCATTCTTCCTCAACATAGGACAAGAACCCAGGCAAAGGCACCACCAGCCACAGAAATTTCTGGAAATAAAATTGACACCCCAAAGATCCCAAAACACAGTGACAGCATATTCTTGAGCCTGTACAAATCTCAGTGTAGAAAAAGGAACACTACTGGAGGAATTAATAAATATTTTCGTAGGAATCAACTTAAAGGAAACTTAAGCTTTTCATAGATTAGGAATTTTGAGAATCTTCAGATTAAACAGACTCTTCAGGAGATACACATTGTCCACCTAGAAGCATCCGTCAGTGCCTCGCACACCACAGTGTCTCTGGGATATGTAAATCCTTTTTAGAAAAGAAAAAGAAATCTAAGGGTTAGACTCGAGGAGGACATTCAGAAATCACTTAAGTGAGTGGGACTCTTCAAGGATGATTTTTGCAAATATTAGGTAAATTCTGCAGCTACTGGTGCAGCTCCTACTAGCATTCTAAGTAAGTTTTTTTTTTTTTTTTTTTGAGATGGAGTCTCACTCTGTCACCCAGGCTAGAGTGCAGTGGTGCGATCTCTGCTCACTGCCAGCTCCGCCTTCTGGGTTCAAGCCATTCTCCTACCTCAGCCTCCCGAGTAGCTGAGACTACAGGCACCTACCACCACGCTTGGCTAATTTTTTGTATTTTTAGTAGAGATGGGGTTTCACCATGTTAGACAGGATGGTCTCGATCTCCTGACCTCATGATCCGCCCGCCTCAGCCTCCCAAAATGCTGAGATTACACGCGTGAGCCACCATGCCAGGACTCTAAGTAAGCTCTTAATCTTACAGGGGGGGTGTTTATGTAAGATTAATATATGTTATTATTATAGAGATAGATACAATATAATTCAGAGACTGTGAAAAATGGCTCTAGCAGTGGGTAGTGAAGTACAAGTACATCATCAGGTCAAAGTTTTGTTGCATCTCTAAATGAGCTTATATAGTATTAAAAATTGGCCAGCAAATGACATCTATTTAAGCATTTCAAAAGTGCTTAAATAACAGTTCTATGGGCACTACATAACACTTTGTTGTGTCCCCTTATTATAACACTATGGTTTCCTATACCAAAGTGATCAAGAAAAGGCTAGGGGGTGGAGTTGACAATATGTGAAAGATTTTCTCTCTTGTCTCTGAAAATTAGATTAATTGAATACATCTGAGTGTGGCACTGGCTCTAAAAACACTTCAGGCTTCCTAGCACCTTCCAACTGCTGTTGCCTCAGGAGGTCTTAGTCCATGATCCAGCATAATGAAGACCCTGGAGGTATTAGGAGGACTGCTATTTCTACTTGTTTCCTTGACTTGGATGTGTTCTCGGCAGGGTATAAGAGTGGACCTTGACTTATGGTGCCTTGAAGGGGTAGTTTCTCAGTGACCATGAGTCATGGGGCTTGTAGTTGCTAGAACCTGATGGCTCCATCCTAAAGGTTTGGAACTCAATAATTCTTCTTAGTCCCATGCTTTTTTTCCCCTTGGGTCCAGCTAATACCATTGAGTGAAAGAGAGTGTTCCACTCAAGTTTCTCTTATTTTCTCTGAGGTTTCTCAGAATTAGTATTTCCTCTTCTCCTCCTACTTTGTCCTACTTGTCAGCTACTAGAATTTCCTACCAAGTCATCCTTGGACTCTCTGCTCTTCCACATGACACTCTCTTACCATTGCTGGTATCTCAACCACACATTCTTAACTGGCC
The DNA here is from genome assembly GCF_000001405.40 of Homo sapiens. Lineage (NCBI taxonomy): Eukaryota > Metazoa > Chordata > Mammalia > Primates > Hominidae > Homo > Homo sapiens. The sequence continues at coordinate 59,929,974 of NC_000011.10, read as the reverse complement.
TCCTTTATCCAATTCCCTCTCTTTCCCTCCAAAACATCATTGCATATTTTTTTAAGATACAACTCTGACCAAATCGTATCTTGACACCAATTTCCATCACTGCTTAAGGATTATGCATCAGATGAGCTACTTAGTCATTTTCAGGAAGTTGGGACTAATTATTCCATAGGCTGTCTTCCACTTGAGAAAATAATTTACTTTTAAATGAAATGGCCAGGTGCTGAGACCAGCTCAGTCAGGGAGACCCTAACCCAGTGGTTCTAGAGGAATTAAAGACACACACACAGAAATATAGAGGTGTGAAGTGGGAAATCAGGGGTCTCACAGCCTTTAGAGCTGAGAGCCCTGAACAGAGATTTACACACATATTTATTAACAGCAAACCAGCCATTAGCATTGTTCCTATAGATATTAAATTAACTAAAAGCTCCCTTACAGGAAATGAAGCGATGGGCCGAATTAATTGCAGCAGGAACATGCCCTTAAGACACAGATCACTCATGCTTTTGTTTGTGGCTTAAAAATGCCTTTAAGCGGTTTTCTGCCCTGGGCGGGCCAGGTGTTCCTTGCCCTCATTTCCATAAACCCACAACCTTCCAGCTTGGGTGTTAGGGCCATTATGGACATGTTACAGTGCTGCAGAGATTTTATGTATGGCCAGCTTTGGGGCCAGTTTATGGCCAGATTTTGAGAGGCTTCCTCCCAATATGTCTCCCTTCTTTGATTTGCAAAGAGATAAAAGCAAGGGCAGCTTTGTCACGGTGAGCTACTTCTCGCAGGAGTCGGGATCTGAATCTGCAGACTACATAAAGACAAACAACATAGATTAAAAGCACCATTATCATTGTAATCACAGAGCTTTTAAGTGTTTTTATCCATTTTAATGGGTTAACTAGCTGCTAATTTGTCTGCAGCTCCTTTAAGCACTCCAGTTCCTGGCATTAAGGTCAGGTGTGCCTGGGATGCTTTAAATATTTGTTTTTTTTTAAATTTTGTTATACTCAAAAACAAGTTTGTAGAGTGTCCTTCTAGATGCTTTTTTATTCTTTCCCAAATTTTGATCTTATTAAGAGCATTTAATAGTTTCCACAAATCCTTATGTTTTGCTCCTAGAGCAGGCCATATCATTTGAGGTTGAGATGCCACTATATCACCATGGTTCCAGATAATAGGAACTTTTGCTGTACTTTTTATTATAGCTATCATCTGACCATTTTGTTCAGATCATCTGAACATAGTGTGACCATGGCATGCAGACTGAGAGGTGCAATTCAAGCTAAACATCCCCTTAGGGGACCAATTAATAATGATTCCATAGGAATCATTGTGCAGCACCTCTGCCTGTTCTGCAAAGCAATCTTCCTAAACGAGTACGTTCATTTTTTTTTAACTGGGTCCAATCCTGTTTACAAATAGGTTTTTGAGGGCAGTATGCCTCAATTATAGGAGCAGATTTATTATGGTAAATACTGAGATCAGAAAGCATGTGTAACTGTGTCATAGAGTGACTGCATCCAGGCATTATTGCCAGCCCTTTATGAAGGAATATTTAATGGCAGTGGTGATAACCACTATCATAGCTACCATTAAATTATTCATCGTGACTGGTTGTCCTGCTTTCCTCAGGTTTTCTTCTGTCATCTGTACAGCTTCTTGATCTGTGCCCAGGTGGGTGGCTGTGTTTGACGGCGTTGCTCATGGCAGCTGGGGTCCTCCTCAGCATCAGTCTCAACATGGCTGCAACCGGGAGGTCCTCGGGAACCTCCTGGAATCTCTTCTTTGGCATCTGGCTCATGATAAGGTTTTAGGTGTCCTGATGGTATCAAAATCGGCTGTTGATTTTGGCCTGGAGAAATACAAGCATAACCTTTACTCCAAGTTATTATTTTACCTATTTCCCAACTTTTTGTTATTGGATCTTTTCGCCAAATAATGCTGATTCAATTGTGTATGGGCTGTCCTGTAATCCCTATTTTTCCTCCTTTTTTGTTTTTGTCATTAGTTGTTTATCTGTATGAAATCGTTACTGAGCATTTTCAATTAACTGTGTGGAATGAACCACATATGAAGAATCAGAAATCACATTAATAGGCATATCAAAAGCAGTCAATATCTCAATTACAGCTACAAGCTCCACTTTTTGAGCTGAAGTATAGGACGTCTGAAAAACTTTACTTTTTGAGCCAGAATAAGAAGCTTTACCATTACTAGACCTATCTGTAAAAACATTCTCAGCACCTTCAATTCGGTTAAATTTAGTTATTTTAGGGAGAATCCAATTAGTTAATTTCAAAAACAGAAACAGCTTCGTTTTAGGAAAATGGTTATCGAGAATACCCACAAAGTCAGCTACTTTTTGCCAAGTAAGACTATTTATAAAAATTTGCTGTATTTGTGCTTTCATGAGAGGGACAATAATTTTTCTAAGATCATATCCATGTAATTTAACAATCCGAGTTCTCCCAATCCCTATCATAGTAGTGATTTGATCTAAATAAGGAGTTAGAGTATATGAATTAGTATGTGGAAGAAAAAGCCACTCAGTATACTAAGTCCTGTTCTTGGACAGTAACACCAGTAGGTGAACGCTGAGTTGAAAAGATTAGCAAATCTAGAGTCTTCTCTGGATCTATTCTATTTATCTGAGCTTTATAGACTTACTTCTCAATCAGTTGTTTAACTCTGCCTCCGCCTCCTTTGTTAATTGCCGAGGGCTAGTGAGACTAGGATTTCCTCTAAGGATAGAAAACAGATTACTCATGGCATAGGTAGGAATGCCTAGAGCAGGTCGTATCCAATTAATATTCCCTAGTAATTTCTGAAAGTCATTTAATGTTTTTAGTTGATCCCTATGTATGGTTACTTCATGTGGCACAATGGTAGTGTCATTTACTAAGGCGCTCAAGTAGGAGTAAGGAGTAGTAGTCTGAATTTTGTCAGGAGCTATAATTAAACCAGCATGAGAAATCAAATTTTGCAAGTGATCATAACATTGGAGTAATATTTCTCGAGTGGGGGTAGCACAAATTATATCATCCATATAGCGAATAATGTAACACTGTGAAAATTTTTTACAAGTAGGTTCAATTGCTTGCCCCACGTATGTCTGGCAAATTGTTGGGCTGTTTGACATGCCCTGCGGCAACACTTTCCAATGATAACACTTAACAGGCTGCAGGTTGTTTACTGCAGGATTGTAAATGCAAACCATTCACAGTCTTGCTCAGCCAAGGGGATAGTAAAGAAACAGTCTTTTAAATCTATGACTATTAAAGGTCAATTTTTTGGAATTATAGCAGGAGAAGGCAATCCTGGCTGTAATGCTCCCATAGGTTGTGTAACTGAATTGATGGCTCTTAAGTCAGTTAACATTTTCCATTTACCTGATTTTTTTCTTAATTACAAAAACTGGAGAATTCCAAGGGGAAAATGTTGGAGCTCTGTGCCCATTTTCTAATTGTTCAGCAACTAATTTCTCTAAAGCCTCCAATTTCTCTTTACCTAGCAGCCATTATTCTATCCAAATTGGCTTATCTGTTAACCATTTTAAAGGTATAGGTTCTGGAGGCTTAACAATGGCCACCATCAAAAATTATTTCCTAATCTTTGGCGGGAACTTTGTTTTTCTGCTTGAAGCGGTTCTTTCAAACCTTGCAAATTTTTTTCTAGTCCCATAGCAGGGACATACCTCATTTCATGCATTGTATTTTGACTTTAAGGGCTATATGATTGTTCTGGAATTAGAACTTGTGCTCCCCATTGTTGTAATAAATCTCTTCCCCATAAATTTATAGGTACAGAAGTTATAATTGGTTGAATAGTTCCAGGTTGTCTGTTGGGCCCTTCACAATGCAAAATATAACCACTTTGATATACTTAGCAGCTTTACCAACTCCAACTATGTTAAATTGAGTGGGCTGAATTGGCCACATGGACGGCCTGTGCTGTAGAGAAATGATTGAAATGTCCACTCCTGTATCTACCAAACCTTTAAATTTCTTACCTTGAATAGTTATTTCCCAGGTAGGACATTTATCAGTAATTTGATTTACCCAATAAGCTGCTTTGCCTTGTTTATTTGTGCTTCCAAATCTTCCTGTTCATTTAATTTCACTTCTTCCCATTCCCACATACAGCACAATCAGGAGCTGTGCTATGCACTCTCCTGGCTCTGCTTTCCAGGGAACAGAAGTAGATACAACAATTTGAATTTCCCCATTGCAATCTGAATCAATGACTCCTGTATGTATTTGTACACCTTTTAAACTTAAACTAGACCTTCCTAAAAGTAATCCTATAGTCCCTGCTGGCAAGGGTCCATAGACTCCTGTTGGGACCTTTTGCAGGGGTTCCCCAGGCAGAAGGCTCACAGCTTTTGTGCAGCATAAATCTATTGTGGCACTACTGGCTGTGGCAGGGGACAGACATTTTATGGGGTGAGGGAATGGCCTGAGATGGAAATGCCCTGGTTTAGAATGGGGCCTGGGATGGGCCCCTCATGGCGTTTCCTGAATTGGGTTCCTTCTTTATCAAACTTAGAGTGATACTGACTAGCTCAATGTTTTCCTTTTTTACATTTTGGACATATCTCAGGCTCAACAGTTTTCTTTTTTCACCTATCTGGCGGCCTGACTTGCTGATTTTTTCTACATTCTTTTTTAGTATGACCATGCTTCCCACAGTTAAAACAAGCTCCAGGAAATGGAGTATTTCCTTTATCCACTCTCAGTCCTGCCATTGCCTGTGCCAACAAAGTAGCTTTATGCAGATTACCTCCGATACCATCACAGGCCTTGATATAATCAACTAAATGTGCTTTCCCTCTAATAGGTCACAGAGCAGCCTGGCAATTGGGATTAGCATTGTCAAAAGCTAATAACTGCAACACTATATCCTGAGCAGCCAAATCTGCAATCATCTTTTCAAGAGACTCCTGTAACCAAGCTATAAAATCAACATGTGGTTCCCTAGGTCCCTGTTTTATAGCACTAAAGGAAGGGTATTGTTCCCCACCTGAAGTGATTTTTTCCCAAGCTCTAATGCACACTCCTCTAAGCTGTTCTATGGCATCATCCTGCATGATGAGTTGTGCACCTAGCCCAGCCACCAACCCCCAAAAGTTGGTCTGCAGTTATATTAATTTGAGGTTGGTCCTGGGCATTGCAAGCAGCCTGAATGGAAGCTTCATCTGCCCACCAAGCTTTAAATTGTAAGAACTGAGCAGGAGTTAGACAAGCTTGAGTAAGAGCATCCCAGTCAGTAGGAATCATCCGACTGGAAACAGTAACATTCTTTAACAGTCCCATTACAAAAGGAGAACCTGGTCCATACTCATTTATAGCTTGTTTTAATTCTTTGAGTAATTTAAAAGAAAAAGGCTCAAATGCAGCTGTAATATTTCCCTCTTAATCTGGGGGGGTGTATTCTAACAGGGAACTGTGAAGCCTCTAAGTCACCCTCTTGTCTAGCTTGCTGAATTCCTGCCTGAATAGAACTAAGAGCTGTTGCTCGAGGCACTGCTGAAACAGTCACTGGGGCAACTACTTTTTGCCCAGTGTCCTCCAGAAAAGAAAGATCTCAGGGGTCATTTTCTTCAAAATAATAATGAGGGGGTGCAGAAGGGTAGGGATGAACCTCTCCTTCCTTTGCCACTTTAGCTTTAGCTGGCAAATAAACATGCTCTGTAACCTCTTCTGTTACTTTGCTATACTCTTGTTCTTTCTCCTCATCACTGTGAAAAAGTTCCAAGGTGGAACAAACCAGACCCCAAACCTGTCCCATTGTTACCCTGATACTTCTGAGCTCCCCTTCTTACTCACCATGGGGATTGCTTTAAGAGTACTTGGGTGTCTTCCGTTCCAACCATCACTCCAGCGACCCTTCGACCTGGATTTGAGCCCCATGTTAGGCGCCACTTGCTGAGACCAGCTTAGTCAGGGAGACCCTAACCCAGTGGCGCTAGAGGAATTAAAGACACTCACAAAGAAATATAGATGTGTGAAGTGGGAAATCAGGGGTCTCACAGCCTTCATAGCTGAGAGCCCTAAACAGAGATTTACCCACATATTTATTAACAGCAAACCAGTCATTAGCATTGTTTCTATAGCTTTAAGTTAACTAAAAGTATCCCGTATGGGAAATGAAGGGATGGGCTGAATTAATTGCAGCAGGAACATGCCCTTAAGACACAGATTGCTCATGCTTTTGTTTGTGGCTTAAAAATGCCTTTAAGCAGTTTTCCACCCTGGGCAAGCCAGGTGTTCCTTGCCCTCATTCCCATAAACCCACAACCTTCCAGCTTGTGCATTAGGGTCATTATGGACATGTTACAGTGCTGCAGAAATTTTACTTATGGCCAGTTTTGAGGCCAGTTTATGGCCAGATTTTGGGGGCTTACTCCCAATAGCCAGGTACCTTTTCACAATCCCTTTTTAGTAGGCACTCTCTTCATTTTTAACTTTATATAAGACAATGTTTATGAATAAAGTTTATTTTATCTCATTAGATGTCTATCATTACAGTCTATAATTTAGTAAAAGTTGGATTAAGTGTTAAAGGCTGAGCTCTGGGGCCTTCTAATGTTAGGGGTCAGGGAGATGAACAGGAACCAGCAAACACTAAGAAGAAGTCGGTGAGGTTATACTGGAGGAAATGAAGAAAGTGTGGCAGCCTGGAAGTCAAGATAGAATACTAGTAGTGAAAATAGACAAGTGCTACTGATAGATAAAGCAAGATGAGGATTGCAAAGCAATCCCTGGACTTAGCAAATGTGGAGAGTAATTGCTGAAGCAATGTGAAGAGCAATTGCTGATTTTAATAAAAAGCAGTTTGGGTGCAGGGTGGGAGTGAAAGTCCAATTGAAATGAGTTTAAGAGAGAAGGGGAAGAAAGGAATTGGAAAGAGCATTGGCAACATTCAGAGTAGTGTAGCTATAACAGGAGGAAAGAAAGAGAGTGAGCCCAAGTAAAAGCTCACTCTCTCTCTCTACCCACTCTCCCTCCTCTTCCTCTGCCTCTCCAAACAAATCTGCCTGGTGGAAACTTTTAGGTTGGGATGTTGGTATGAAATAGAAATTTGCATGCTCATAAAAAGCATTTATCAGTTTAGTTACTGTCCCTGATTCTAATCGAGTGATACTTTGGTTACCCATTTTCTCAGTTCCCAGTGCTGAAGCAAGAATTAAACCTTTCTGGAGCCATAGCTCTAACACTCACAAGTTCCCACCTGAAACCTGCAGTCCTTCTTAAATGCTCTGTGCCAAGGGTAGTATTTCTGCTAGAGATGATACCCCAAACTCAAGGACACAGTATGCAGCTGCTGCCTGGATCTGGTCAATCAGAAACTGCATTTACTTGGAACAGACAACACTATACATGTATAGTGTTATCTCAAAGATATATTAACACTCCTACCCCCTCCCATAATATATTCCAAAGATTCCTGGGCCATGTGAACATATCAAGGAATATCACAGTGGCACACTATACTGACAATATTGTACTAACTGAGCTGGATAAGCAAGAAGTAGCTGGTACATTGGGAGAATTGGTAAGACACCTGAGTTCCAAAGAGAGGAGATAAACCCTATAAAATTTCAGAGGCCCAAACAGATTGAAATTTTTGTGTCCGGTGGTCTGGGACATGCTGGGACATTTCCTGTAAAGGACAAATAATTGTGTCTTGCATCTCCCACCATGAAGATGAAAGCATAACCCTTGTTAATATCCACCAAGGAGCATCCACCATGGAAGAATTTCTATACAAATAGGTGGACAAAATGACTTGGCCAGTTGACATTGGCCAGTTTCTGTCATTAGCCATGCCATTGTTAGCACAAGAGAACCCAAACAGAATAGCTGTGGTGGCAAGGATGGAGGCTATATCTGGCTTAATAGCATGGGTTCTGACTTAACAAAACTAATCGAGTTACCGCTGTTACCAAATGTCCAACCTGACAATAACCCTAAGTCCCTGAGATCACATATCACTGGAAGAGACCAATCAGCAACTTGGTGACAATTTGACCACATCATATGCCTACCAGGTATAGGTTTGTCTGCAGGGCCTTAGTCAACACTACTATCCAAGGGCTTAGAGTATTTAATTCACCACCAGCATGATACCAGATAACATCATGCCAGACCAATGGACTCATTTATAACAAGAAGTGCAGGGCAGGACACATGATCAAGAGTTCCACAGGTCATATCATAAACCAGACCATCCAGAAGCTGCCCACCTGATGGAGAAATGCAATGCCTATACAAGGTGCAACTAAAGTGCCAGTGCAAAGACAATTTTCCTGCTGCAAACAAGAAATATAAAAAGATTCCCAAGCTTTTTTTAAAAAGACACTGATATGGCTTGGATTTGTGGCCCTCCCAAACTCATGTCAAATTGTAATCCCCAGTGCTGGAGGAGGGGCCTGGTGGGGAGGTGATTCAATCATGGTAATGTATTTCCCCCTTGCTGCTTTCATGATAGTGAGTGAGTTCTCACAAGATCTGGTTGTTTAAAGGTGTGTAGCACCTCCCCCTTCACTCTTTCTTTCTCCTGCTCCCACCATGTAAGACATGCTTGCTTCCCCTTCGCCTTCTGCCATGATTGTAAGTTTCCTGATGCCTCCCAGCCATATTTCCTGTACTGCCTGCAGAACTTCTTTTCTTTATAAGTAACCAGTTTCAGATATGTATTTATAGTAGTGTGAGAACAGACTAATATAGACACATTACAATTGGAGAGTAATAAGAATGAAGGCTGATGTATCAGAAGGAAATAGGGAGAACAGTAGACAAAAATTCATGTTCAAAATGCTGACTTAAAAAATAACAATCTAGGCTTCAATATCCAGTGAAAATTACAATTTCTAGTGAATATAAACCGAATAAAAAAGAATAATCATATGACCACCTCAGTAGATGCCTTTTCCCAAAGGCATCATAAGATACCCAGTCATTTTTGGAGAAGGTGTTCCTAGCTATCAATGTCCTGTTTCCATACATTTTCTCCAAGAAAGCACAGCCTTGTTAAGAAACTGCAGTTTCCCAGATCACATATTTCTATGGAACTAAATTTTAAGTATGTGATATTTGTTACTGACATTTTACTATCTTAAAGGCATTTCTGTGCAAGAAAATTTTAATTTTATTTTGTTCTAATAAGTATTATATTGATGAAACATATGTAAAACTTTTTAAAGTATCTCAACCTATAAATCCTATTTTTTCAAGTATTAAAATCATTACTTTTTTTACTTTTTCTTTGATTAATGTACAATTAATCCAAGTTTACAAATGATGTCTTCCCTACTCATCTGATGCAATTTAATGTCAATATCCTCAGATATTTTAAGTATAGTTACATATTTAATATATCTGATTCTCTCAAATGTTTCAAATTTCTAACAAAGCAGACTTACTAATTAGAATAAACTCTCCCAATGACTTAAATCACACTCATAAATACAAACTGAAACTTAGATATTTAGTAGCTCAAATCCCCTTAAGCATCTTAAGTCACAGCACCCATAAAGCAGCATAGTGACTGGAAAATGTTTCACCACATCCCTATAAACACAACATGCACACTTTATACCTATTTTTTTCCACATGTTCCTGGGGTTACAAGTTTACTCAACCAAACAAGGAAAGCAAAATCATCACCTAAGTTCCAGCCAAGGTTACATTGTCAGAAACCAGGACTGGCAGTCAAAGAAGGAAGAATGCAGCAGAGGGCACCGGGGGAAGGAAGAAAGTCCATGAGAGGCACAAAAGAGAGAGATGCAATTCCTTTATTGCATGTAGAGATTATTAAACAAAGCTCTTGAAAAGAGATGCACTGCAGGAATGTAGGCATCACTTTAATTGTAAAACTGATTTTATGGTCACAAAAGCACCTACATGGAAATGAAAAAAAAATACCTTTTCAACACCCTCACCATCTAAAAGGTAAAGTACAGTATCTACAACCACTGCATGAGCATTCAGACAGCACGTAGGCCTGAGATTCCATCAGTAGTAAAATCAGCATCTCTGATGCCCAAATTCACTCTTGTTCCATTATGACTGGGGGCATATAAAATGCCATTAATACGGAACTAAAAATTAAAATTACAAATAAGCATTATATGGGTTTTAGGCTAGTTGAGATGCTAGTGACCTGGAACTGACCCAGAGACCAAAATGTAATTATAGGGCTGGATTTAGCAGCAGCAGCCTTTTCCATTTATTAACCCCTAATACTCATATGGAGCTGTCATGCCATCCCCCATCTCCAACACCCACGTGCTAATTTAGGATAATGGATTGTGGCAGAGACCTTGTTCTCTGCTAAACTGCTGTGGTTAATGGAGAGTCCAGGCCTCTAAAATAGCTTTGCCATCATACCATATCATTATAATTTCTTATTAGATAGAAACAGTTCGTTTAAACAGGACAGTCTTAGGCTTTGCCTAAAAGTTTAGTTACTAGAACACAAGAAAGTTAATGTAGGTCTTTCTCAATCCAGCTTTTCCTAGTGGCTGTTAGCCAGAAAAATATAGGCTGCACAAACATTTTAACTCTTTCTCTCTCTTTCCTTTATCTATCTGATGTGCCGACTCAGTCTTGCCTAAAGATAATAACTGCTTATCTTAGATCTGACTCATGGATGGGTCAGAATAAACTTCTAGTTTTAAGAGATACTCACAGAGAGCTGAATGGTGGCATTGCCAATTTTTTTACCTTGTTATTGTTCTTCTAATATTTAAACATGATGTCATGAGCTGCCTTCCCTGCAGATGGCACTGTTTAATGGGTTTAGAGGAAGGAAGCCACAGGGCCCTTTGGAAGGAAAAAAAAAGTCTGGGGTGAATTTTTATTCACTCATCTAACAAATATTTGAGCATCTCCTCCCATTTTTCATTGAATCTAAGCTTTAACTATACCACTATTTTTCATACGAAGATTAAGGAAACTTTATATCTTTAGGATTAAAGAAACTACCAATGAATCAGGCACATTTTACTACTTAGTCTTTGAATTTTATAAAAATTGAAAGAGCTCTTATGGACATCTTTAATCATATCACTCTTGTGCTGTATACAAAAGCAAGTGTAACAAAAAGCAAGTATAAACAAAATTAATTGGTTGAAGTAACCCTAAAATATTTTTACAGTGAGTCTCACTCTTCTAAATCACTTCTTGGATCGCAGTCATCAATGTTCCTGTTTCCCCACAAATATATCTCTCTTTGAGCCATCACCACCATTGGTGATGCAATATCTCTTAAAAGAATGCTTCATTCTTCTCTCCAGATTGTATGCCAATTGGTGGTACTTATTTCTCAAATTTTTATGCCAGCACTCTCTGACCTTACCAAGAGGCGCCAACAGAAAGTTTCAGACCAAGTTCTCCATGTGCAAATGATGACAGCTACAGCATTCCTGTCCACTGACCAATCATTATATATAGCTGATTATAAACTTTCTAGAATTCTGATTTTTTTACTGTGTAAAAAACTGTCCATGTCAGAGTAAATGAAATATATCATGTGCCAGTTCTCTTCTATGCACTGGAAACCTCATGTAGGTGACATTATAAGGAAAGAATACAGAAAATAAAAAATAAGCAAATTATATATCACATTAGATGGTGATAAATACTGTGAAAGAATAAGGCAGGTAAAAAGTTTAATGTAGGACAGAGGATAGGATTTTAAGTAATTTTTTGAGTCAGGGAAGGCCTCATTTAAGCAGAGTTCTTTAGTTGTCAAAGGAACTGATCATAGAGGAAAAGGTGTGACATGGGTTGGCTGTGTCCCCACCCAAATCTTATCTTGTACTGTAATTCCCACATGTTGTGGGAGGAACCTGGTGAGAGGTAAGTGAATCATGGGGGCAGGTCTTTCCTGTGCTGTTCTTGTGATAGTGAATAAGTCTCACGCGATTTGATGGTTTTAAAAATGGGAGTTTCCCCACACAAGATCTCTTCTCTTGCCTGCCACCATGTGAGACCTGCCTTTCACCTTCCACAATGATTGTGAGGCCTCCCCAGCCATGTGGAACTGTAAGTCTATTAAACCTCTTTCTTTTGTACATTGCCCAGTCTTGGGGCATGTCTTTATCAGCAGCATGAAATGGGCTTATACAGTTAATTGGTACCAGTAGAGTGGGGCACTGCTGAAAAGATACCTGAAAATGTGGAAGCAACTTTGGAACTGGGCAACAGGCAGAGGTTGGAACAGTTTGGAGGGCTCAGAAGACAGGAAAATGTGGGAACGTTTGGAACTCCCTAGAGTCTTGCTGAATGGCTTTGACCAAAATACTGATAATGATATGGACAAGGAATTCCAGGCTGAGGTGATCTCAGATGGAGATGAGGAACTTGTTGAGAACTGGAGCAAAGGTGACTCTGGAGCAAAGGTGACTCTTAACATTTTAGCAAAGAGACTGGCAGCATTTTGCCCCTGCTCTAGAGATTCGTGGAACTTTGAACTTGAAAGAGATGATTTAGGGTATCTGGCAGAAGAAATTTCTAGCAGCAAAACATTCAAGAGATGACTTGCATACTGTTAAAGGCATTCAGTTTTATAACAGAAGCACAGCATAAAAGTTTGGAAAATTTGCAGCCTTACAATGTGATAGAAAAGAAAATCCCATTTTCTGAGGAGAAATTCAAGCCGGCTGCAGAAATATGTATAATTAATGAGGAGCCAAGTGTTAATCCCCAAGACAATGTGGAAAATGTCTCTAGGGCATATCAGAGGTTTTCACCACAGCCCCTGCCATAACAGGCCCAGTGGCCTAGGAGGAAAAAGTGGTTTTGTGGGCTGGGGGCCCAGGGTTCCCATGCTCTGTGCAGTTTAGGGACTTGGTGCCCTGCATCCCAGCCACTCCAGCCATGGCTGAATGCAGAGTTTTGGCATGGCTTCAGAGGATGCAAGCCCCAAGCCTTGGCAGCTTCCATGTGGTGTTGAGCCTGTGAGTGCACAGAAGTCAAGGACTGGGATTTGGAAACTTCCACCTACATTTCAGAAGATGTGTGGAAACATCTAGTTACCCAGGCAAAAGTTTGCTGCAGAAGCAGGGTCTTCATAGAGAACATCTGCTAGGGCAGTGCAGAAGGGAAATGTGGGGTCAGAGCCCCCACACAGAGTCCCTACTGGGGCAACACCTAGTGGAGCTGTGAGAAGAAGGCCACCATCCTACAGATCCCAGAATGTTAGATCCACCAACAGCTTGCACTGTGTACCTGGAAAAGCCACAGATACTCAACGCCAGCCCATGAAAGCAGCCAGGAGGGAGGCTGTACCCTGCAAAGCCACAGAGGCAGAGCTGCCCAATACTGTGGGAGCCCACCTCTTGCATCAATGTGACCTGGATTTGAGACATAGAGTCAAAGGAGATCATTTTGGAGCTTTAAGATTTGACTGCCCTGTTGGATTTGGGACTTGCGTGGGGCCTATATCTCCTTTGTCTTGGCCAATTTCTCCCATTTGGAATGACTGTATTTACCCAATGCCTGTACCCCCATTGTATCTAGGAAGTAACTAACTTGCTTTAGATTTTACAGGATCATAGGCAGAAGGGGCTTGCCTTGTCTCAAATGAGACTTTGGACTGTGGACTTTTGAGTTAATACTGAAATGAGATAAGACTTTGGAGGACTGTAGGGAAGGCATGATTGGTTTTGAAATGTGAGGACATGAGATTTGGGAGGGCCCAGGGGTGGAATGATATGGTTTGGCTGTGTCCCCACCCAAATCTCATCTTGAATTGTAACTCCCAGAATTTCCAAGTGTCATGGAAGGAACCTGGTGGGAGGTAAGTGAATCATGGGAGAGGGTCTTTCTCATGCTGTTCTCATTATAGTAAATAAGACTCATGAGATCTGATGGTTTTAGAAACGGGAGTTTCCTGCACAAACTCTTGTCTGCTGCCATGTTAGATGTGCCTTGGCCGAGCGCGGTGGCTCAAGCCTGTAATCCCAGCACTTTGGGAAGCCGAGGCGGGTGGATCACAAGGTCAGGAGATCGAGACCATCCTGGCTAACACGGTGAAACCCCATCTCTACTAAAAAATACAAAAAAACTTAGCCGGGTGTGGTGGCGGGCGCCTGTAGTCCCAGCTACTCAGGAGGCTGAAGCAGGAGAATGGCGTGAACCCGGGAGGCGGAGCTTGCAGTGAGCCGAGATCGCGCCACTGCACTCCAGCCTGGGGGACAGAGCGAGACTCCATCTCAAAAAAAAAAAAAAAAAACGATGTGCCTTTCACATTCTGACATGATTGTGAGGCCTCCCCACACACGTGGAACTGTAAGTCTATTAAACCTCTTTCTTTTGTAAATTGCCCAGTCTCAGGTATGTATTTATCAGCAGCATGAAAACAGACTAATACAGAGGGCCAAGGAGAATTCCAGGCAGAAGGAACATCAGATGCAAAGGTTCTAAGGCAGGAGCATGCATTCAATGAATGGCAAGGACATCAGGTAATTAAAGTTGAGTTAGGAGGATGGAGCAGCAAGGTAGATAAGGGATGGCACTTTCTAGCCCTCTTCCCTGGGAGACAATACAGAGTGCTAGGGCTTTGTGGGCCATAATAAAGACCATATGACTTTTACTGTGACCTGGATAGATATAGAATGAGGGGTCTTCTGCAGAGGATGCCATGATCTAACTTGGTATTATAGATTGAATTGTGTCTCCCAAAAAGATATATTGAAGTCCTAACCCCTAGTACTTTAGAATATGACCTTGTTTGGAAATAGGGTCATTGCCTATGTGATTAGTTAAGATGAGGTCATGCAGGAGTAGGGTGGGCACTTAATCCAATGTAACTGATGCCCTTATAAGAAGAAGGAGCACAGCCTCATGAAGACGCAGACACACAAAGGAAAGCACTATGTGATAAGTGGCAGAGATTGCAGTGATATGGCTGCAGGGTAAGGAAGCCAAGGATTGGAGGAACAATTGGAAATTAGGAAGAAGGAAGAAAGGACTCTGCTAAGATTCTCAGGGGAATCATGGCCCTGCTGACACCTTTATTTTGGACTTCTAGCCTTCAGAACTGTGAAAGAATAAGCCCCCCAGTTTTTTTAAGCACCCTGTGTTGTTTTAAGCCCCCCAATTTGTGGTGCTTTGTTACAGCAGATTTGGAAAATAAATACACTGGGTATTAACAGAATGGCTCTGGCTGCTGTCTTGAGAATATTTAATAGATTCTCAAGGACCAAGGAAAAAATACCAGTTAGGCAACAGCTGCAATTATCTGAGAAATACAGCAGCCTGTCACAAGTTAGTAGTGGTAGAAGCCACAGAACTTTCTGCCAGACTGAATATGGTGTAGAGATGAAAACAGCTGCCGTGTACTGAGATACAGGAGGGGAGCCAGGAGGGGATCCAGGAGGGGAGCAGGCTGGGGCTGGGGACAAAATTATAAATTCAGTCAGTTCTGAACTTTTTTTTTTGAGACAGAGTCTTGCTCTGACGCCAGGCTAAAGTGCAGTGGCGTGATCTCGGTTCACTGCAACCTCCGCCTCCTGGGTTCAAGCGATTCTGCTGCCTCAGCCTCCTGAGTAGCTGGGACTACAGGTGTGTGCCACCACATCCAGTTAATTTTTGCATTTTTAGTAGAGACAGGGTTTCACCATGTTGGCCAGGATTGTCTCGATCTTTTGACCTTGAGTGATCTGCCCGCCGTGGCCTCCCAAAGGCTGGGATTACAGGCGTGAGCCACCACGCCTGGCCTCAGCTCTCAAATTCTTAAGATGCCTGCTACTTCTCAGTGGAGATGCCAATTAGGCAATTCTTTTAGAGTTTATCCTGTTATTTCTCCTGGTTCTACAACCTGAGTTTGTTTGTTTGTTTTCTCCTTTTTATGGCCTGTAAGTATTCTCTGCCACCACTCAAACTAGATGCTCCACTGACCACACTTTGAGGAACACTAGCAATAGGATCACAAAATCACAATTAGTGGGCCAGACACTAGGCAAATGTGTCATTGTTATTGACAAGGTGCACCATTGTCAAAAGCTAAAGGTGCCTGGCAAGGTGGCTCATGCTTGTAATCCCAGCATTTTAGGAGGCCGAGGTGGATGGATCACCTGAGGCAGGAGTTCAAGACCAGCCTGGCCAACATGGTGAAACCCAGTCTCTAATAAAAGTACAAAAAAATTAGCCAGGTGTGGTGACAGGCACCTGTAATCCCAGCCACTCAGGAGGCTGAGATGGAAGAATCACTTGAACCCAGGAGGCGGAGGTTGCAGTGAGCCCAGATCGCACCACTGCACTCTAGCCTGGGCACGACAGAGCAAGACTCTACCACAGAAAAAGAAAAAAAAAAGTAGGTTAAAGGAGAATGGCCTGTCTTTACGCCACTGCCACCTCCAGCCCTCTCTGCACTGCCTACTAAGCAAGTCTCATCTCATGGCAGCTCCCCTTTCTCTCCATGATCCCACCATACTCTTTATCTTGCACCACCTCACATACATCCCCACCTCAGGGCTCTTGTACCTTCTGTTCCCACTGCCTGGCACTTGCCTCCCATCCACTCCCCTGCACATCAACCAACTCAACTCTCGCTTTTGCTGAAGATCTTAACTCATCATTTCCCAAGGAGAATGGTCCTTCCAGAGTGGGTCAAGCCTCCTGTTGAAGTGTCCACATTTCCCTGTACTCTGATCCTTAGCAGTTTACATATGGATGATTCAATTAATGTCTGTCTCCCCTACTAGACTGCAAACTCCCCTAAGACAGGAGCCACACCTTTTTGAATTCCAAGCACTGAGCATGGTACCTGACATGTCACGAGTACTCAAGTATTTTCTGAATGAGTCTGAGAGTGCAAAAAGGAAGTAATTAATGAATCCTCCAATTAGTCCATGGCAGTCTCCTAAAAAAATAATTTTCCAGGTTCAAAGGAAGGGTTGAAAACATGCTGATGGCACCTGAGTTCTCTCTTTAGCCAGAGTTTCTTTAGCTACCTGAGAGAGATCACTCACACCTCACCAAATCACAAAATATTGTGACGGCCTTAGAGGAACAGTCAGACATTTGGTGTCAAAGGGAGGAAGATTTAAAGTAGAAGTTTGATCAGAGCACTAAAATGGAAAACCAAGGAAAGGAGATGGGCTAAGAACATAGTTCAAAAGAATTCAGGAAGGTGTTAAAAAGGAGGATGAGGCATAAACCAAATAGAGTGATGAACTTGAAAAAAACACCGTTTTCCAAAGACATTAACCAGTTAACTGGTCAGACTGAGACCCTCTGGTCTTGGATATTAGCAACAAATGATCCTGTCAATAACACCAGACTAGAAACCCCATCCCTTGGCAGTCATGCAATCAAACCACCATAAACCCAAGTTTCTCATCTACCTGACAATAGCCCAGAAGTAGTAAAAACCAAGGAAAGAAAAAGAATCCACCCTTTTAACCACATAGAGGTCTTCATCTTGCTAAGGCTCGCAGCAAAGACTGTTCAGGAAACAGAAGGAGGTTAAGGTTTGGGATGCCTCACATGATTTTATGCCTGTCACATTGTTCAAGTATAAGAAATTACCTCCTACAGCAAGCACACACCAAAAGAAAACTTTTACAGCACTATCACTTAGCCTCTAGAAAAATAACATTTTATGACAACTTTGGTACTAAAAAGTAAATGTGCATCCCATACAATTAAATAGCTGCTTTCAGTGCCCATGAATCTCAAGCCTTCTTGGGGACTTTGGAAATACCTGAGAGGATGTCATGCACAGGTCAACTGACTCACAGGGCCCTTTGTGGGATCAGTTTAGGGATGCAATAGAGTTTTGTCTTCATTGATGGAGTTCTTTGATAATGCACTTGAAGTCATTATTTCAAATTTAAGGTGAGCCCTCCAGAAAGGTCAGTATGCCAACTCATAGAAATAGAATAGTGGTTACCAGACTTGTGGGGAGGGACACAGGGAAAGGGGAGATATATTAGTCAAGGGGTACAAAATTCAGCTAGGAAGAGTAAGTTCAGGTGTTCCATTTGCACAGCATAGTGACTGTAGTTAATAATAACGTATTCTATATTTCAAAGTTACTAAAATATCAGATTTTAAATGTTCTCACCATTTCTTATCAAAGAAATGATAAGTATGTGATAGATATGTTTATTAGCCTGATTATATCATTCCATAATGTATACAGGTATCAAAACATCACATTGTACCCCACAAATATATATATTTACCAATTAAAAGTAAAATTAAAAAAGACAAAACTGCATGATTTTATTTATATATAGAATCTTAAAAAGTCAAACTCATAGAAGCAAAGTGTAGAGTAATGGTTTCCATGGGGCAACGGTGGGAGGAAAGGGACTGGGGAGATGTTGGTCAAAGGATACAAAATTTCAGTTTGACAAGAGGAATAAGTTCAGGAGATCTATTGTACAACATGGTGACTATAACAATGTCACAATGTACTGCGTACTTGAAAATTGTATACAATTATATAATTATTAATAACAAGGTATTGTATACTTGAAAATTGCTGAGCATTTTACTATATTTTCTTTTTTGACAACTAAATATTGTACATGTTTATCATATACAACATGATGTTTTAAAACATATATGTAGTCTGTGACCACACCACCCCAAACGTGCCTAAAATATGTATTAGTTTGGTGCAAAAGTAATTGCAGTGTTTTGCCATTACTTTCAATGGCAAAGAAAAAAAAACGCAATTACTTATGCATCAACCTAAAATATGGAATGACTACACTGAGCTAATTAACATACCTCATACACATTTCCTTATACACTTATGCTTTGCAGCAAAACACATTTAAAATCTACTCTCAGTGATTTTCAAAATACAATACATTGTTATTAACTGTAGTCACCATGTTGTACAATATATCTCTTGAAATTATTCCTCCTATCTACTTGAAATTTTAGAAAGAAGATTTTAAATTTTATGACTACAATAAAGGTTAGTATGTGGAACTAAGAATATGTTAATTAACTCAATTTAGCCATTCTACAATGTATACATATATCAAAACATCACTTTGTATACCACAAATATATACAATTTTTGTCCATTAAAAATAAATAGGAGGCAGGACTAGATTGCAGCTCTGGACAGAGCAGCGTGCGGAGGCTCACATTGTGAATTTAAGCTCCAGATCAACAGCAAGAACAAACCGGCAATCTTGAGAGGACCCACAGACCCTCTGAAAGAAGCAACTGCTCCTGCAGGACCCAGGAGACACTCCAAATACTGCACTGGTATCCACAGCTGAGAGCCCATAGATGGTTCACCTCACAGGACTCTGTGCAGACAACCCCCAGTACCAGCCCGGATCTGGGTAGATTTGCTGGGTGGCTAGACCCAGGAGAGACAAGAATCAATCACAGCAGTTCAGCTCACAGGAAGCCACATTCATAGGAAAAAGGGGAGAGTACTACATCAAGGGAACACCCGGTGGGGCAACAGAATCTGAACAACAGCCTTCAGCCCTAGACCTTCCCTCTGGCACAACCTACCCAAATGAGAAGGAACCACAACCCTGGTAATATGACAAAATAAGGCTCTTTAACACCCCCCAAAAATCGTACCATTTTACTAGCAATGGATTCAAACCAAGAAGAAATCCCTGATTCACTTGAAAAAGAATTCAGAAGGTTAGTTATTAAGCTAATCAGGGAGGCACCAGAGAAGGGTGAAGCCCAGTGCAAGGAAACCAAAAAAAAAAATACAAAAGTGAAGGGAGAAATATTCAAGTAAATAGATAGCTTAAAGAAAACACAATCAAATATTCAGGAAAGTTTGGACACACTTTTAGAAATGCAAAATGCTCTGGAAAGTCTCAGCAATAGAATTGAACAAGTAGAAGAAAGCAATTCAGAGCTCAAAGACAATGTCTTCAAATTAATCCAATCCAACAGAGACAAAGAAAAAAGAATAAGAAAATATCAACAAAGCCTCCAAGAAGTCTAGGACTACGTTAAACGACCAAACCTAAGAATAATCAGTGTTCCTGAGGAAGAAAAGAATTCTAAAAGCTTAGAAAACAGATTTGGGGGAATAATTGAGGAAAACTTCCCCAGCCTTGCTAGAGACCTAGATATCCAAATACAAGAAGCACAAAGAACACCTGGGAAATTCATCTCAAAAAGATCATTGCCTGGCTGGACACATTGTCATCAGCTTATCCAAAGTTGAGATGAAGGAAAGAATTTTAAGAGCTGTGAGACAGAAGCACCAGGTAACCTATAAAGGAAAACCTACACGATTAAGAGCAGATTTGTGAGAGGAAACCCCACAAGCTAGAAGGGATTGAGGCCCTACCTTCAGCCTCCTCAAACAAAACAATCATCAGCCAAGAATTTTGTATCCACCGAAACTAAGCATCATATATGAAGGGAAGATATCGTTCTCAGACAAACAAACGCTGAGGGAATTTGCCACTACCAAGCCACCACTACAAGAATTGCTAAAAAGAGCTCTAAATCTTGAAACAAATCCTAGAAACACATCAAAACAGAACCTTTTTAAAGCATAAATCACACAGGACCTATAAAACAAAAATACAAGTTAAAAAACACAAACAAACAAAAACAACGTACACAGGCAACGAATAGCAAGATGAATGCAAGGGTACCTCACATTTCAATATTAACATAGAATGTAAATGGCCTAAGTACTCCACATGAAAGAAACAGAACTGCAGAATGGATAAGAATTCACCAATAAACTATCTGCTGCCTTCAGGAGACTCACCTAACACATAAGGACTTGCAAAAACTTAAAGTAAAGGGGTGGAAAAAGGCATTTCATGCAAATGGACACCAAAGGCAGAGCAGGAGTAGCTATTCTTATATCAGATAAAACAAAATTTAAAGCAACAGCTGTTAAAAGAGACAAACAGGGACATTATATAATGGTAAGAGGCCTTGTCCAACAGGAAAATACCACAATCCTAAACATATATGCACCTAACACTGGAGCTCCCAAATTATAAAACAATTGCTAAAAGACCTAAAAAATGACACAGACAGTAACACAATAATAGTGGGGGAACCTCAATACTCCACTGACAGCACTAGACAGATCATCAACATAGAAGGTGAACGAAGAAACGATGGATTTATACTATACCTTGGAACAAATAGACTTAACAGATATATACAGAACATTTCATTCAACAACTGCAGAATACACATTCTATCCAACAGTGCATGGACCTTTCTCCAAAATAGACCATGTGATAGTCCATAAAACAAGCTTCAATAAATTTAAAACGTTTGAAGTTATATCAAGCATTCTCTCAGACCAGAGTGGAATAAAACTGGAAATCAACTCCAAAAGGAATCTTCAAAACCATGCCAATACAAGGGAATTAAATAACTTGCTCCTGAATGAACATTGGGTCAAAAATGAAATCAAGATGGAAATTTAAAAATTCTTCGAACTGAATGACAATAATGACACAACCTACCAAAACCTCTGGGATACAGCAAAGGCGGTGCTAAGAGGGAAGTTCATAGCCCGAAAAACCTACATCAAAAAGACTGAAAGAACACAAACTGACATTCTAAGGTCACACCTCAAGGGACTAGAGAAACAAGAACAAACCAAACCCAAACCAGACTAATAACAGCAGAAGAAAGGAATTAACCAAGATCAGAGCAGAACTAAAAGTAATTGGAACAAAAAAAAGCAATACAGAAGAGAAATGAAACAAAAAGCTGCTTCTTTGAAAAGATAAATAAAACTGATAGACTATTAGCAAGATTAACCAAGAAAAGAAGAGAGAAAATCCAAATAACCTCACTAAGAAATTAAACAGGAGATATTATAACTGACACCACTGAAATACAAAAGATCATTCAAGGCTACTATGAACACCTTTACACATATAAACTAGAAAACCTAGAAGACATGAATAAATTCCTGGAAAACTACAACCCTTCTAGCTTAAATCAGGAAGAATTACATACCGGGAACCGACCAATAATAAGCAGCAAGATTGAAATGGTAATTTAAAAATTACCAACAAAAAATGTCCGGGACAAGATGGATTCACAGCAGAATTCTACCAGACATTCAAAGAAGAATTGGTACCAATCCTTTTGACACTACTCCACAATATGGAGAAAGAAGAAACCCACCCTAACTCATTCTATGAAGCCAGCAACACCCTAATCCCAAAACCAGGGAAGGACATAACAAAAATATAAAGCTACAGACTGATATCCTTGATGAACATAGGTGCTAAAATCCTTAACAAAATACTAGCTAACTGAATTCAACAACATATCAAAAAAAAATTCACAATGATCAAGTCAGTTTCATACCACGGTTGCAGGGATGGTTTAACATAAGCAAGTCAATAAATGTCATACACCACATAAACAGAATTAAAAACAAAAATCACATGATCATCTCAATAGATGCAGAAAAAGCATTTGACAAAATCCAGCATCGCTTTAGGATTAAAACTCTTAGCAAAATTGGCATACAAGGGACATATCTTAATGTAATAAAAGCCATCCATGACAAACCCACAGCCAACAATACTGAATGGAGAAAAGTTGAAAGCATTCCCTCTGAGAATTGGAACAAGACAAGAATGTCCACACTCACCACTCCTCTTCAACATAGTTCTGGAAGTCCTAGCCAGAGCAATCAGACAAGAGAAAGAAATAAAGGGCATCCAAATTGGTAAAGAGGAAGTCAAACTGTCACTGTTTGCTGACAACATGGTCGTTTGCCTTGAAAACCCTAAAGACTTCTCCAGAAAGCTTCTAGAACTGATAAAAGAATTCAGCAATGTTTCTGGATACAAGATTAATGTACACAAATCAGTAGCTCTTCTATACACCAACAGCGACCAAGTGGAGAATCAAATCAAGAACTCAACCCCTTTTACAATAGCTGCAAAAAAAATTAAAATACTTATGAATATACCTAACCAAGGTGCTGAAAGACCTTTACAAGGAAAACTATAAAACACTGCTGAAAGAAATCATAGACAACACAAACAAATGGAAACACATCCCCTGCTCATGGATGGGTAGAATCAATACTGTGAAAATGACCATACTGCCAAAAGCAATATACAAATTGAATGCAATTCCCATCAAAATACCACCTTCATTCTTCACAGAACTAGAAAAAACAATTCTAAAATTAATATGAAACCAAAAAAGAGCCTGCATAGCCAAGGCAAGACTAACCAAAAAGAACAAATCTGGAGACATCACATTACCTGATTTCAAACTATACTATTAGGCCATAGTCACCAAAACAGTGTGTTACTGGTATGAAAATAGGCGCATAGACCAATGGAACAGAATAGAGAACCCAGAAATAAACCCAAATACTTACAGCCAACTGATCTTCAACAAAGCAAACAAAAACATAAAGTGGTGAAAGGACAGCCTTTGCAACAAATGCCACATGTAGAAGAACGAAACTGCATCCTCATCTCTCACCTTATACAAAAATCAACTCAAGGTGGATTAAAGGCTTAAACCTAAGCCCTGAAACTAAAAATTCTAGAAGATAACATTTGAAAAATCCTTCTAGACATGAGCTTAGGCAAGGATTTCATGACCAAGAACCAAAAAGCAAATACAATAAAAACATAGATAAATAGCTGGGACCTAATTAAACTAAAGAGCTTTTGCACGGCAAAAGGAACAGTCAGCAGAGTAAACAGACAACCTACAGAGTGGGAGAAAATCTTCACAATCTATACATCTGACAAAGGATTAATATCCAGAATCTACAACGAACTCAAACAAATCAGTAAGAAAAACAAACAAAGAATCCCATCAAAAAGTGGGCTAAGGACATAAATAGACAATTCTCAAAAGAAGATATACAAATGGCCAACAAACGTGTGAAAAAATGTTCAACATCACTAATGATCACGGAAATGCAAATCAAAACCACAGTGCAATACCACCCTACTCCTGCAAGAACGGCCATAATCAAAAAGTCAAAAACAGATGTTGGCATGGTGATCAGGGAACACTTCTACACTGCTAGGGGGAATATAAACTTGTACAGCCATTATAGAAAACGGTCTGGAGAGTCCTTAAAGAACTAAAAGTAGAACTACTCTTTGATCCAGCAATCCCACTACTGGGTATCTACCCAAGGGAAAAGAAGTAATTATTTAAAAAAGATTCTTACACACGCATGTTTATAGCAGCACAATCACAATTGCAAAATCATAGAACCAACCCAAACGTCTGTAAATCAACAAGTGGATAAAGATATGATGGAATGCTACTTTGCCATAAAAAGGAATGAGTTAACAGTATTTGCAGAGACCTGGATGAGACTGGAGACTATTATTCTAAGTACCTCAGGAATGGAAAACCAAACATCATTACGTTCTTGCTAATACGTGGGAGCTAAGCTATGAGGACAAAAAGGCATAAGAATGATACAATGGGCCGGGCACCGTGGCTCATGCCTGTCATCCCAGCACTTTGGGAGGCCAAGGCGGGCAGATCACGAGGTCAGGAGATGGAGACCATCCTGGCTAACACAGTGAAACACCGTCTCTACTAAACATAACAAAAAAATTAGCCAAGAGTGGTGGTGGGCGCCTGCGGTCCCAGCTACTTGGGAGGCTGAAGCAGGAGAATGGCATGAACCAGAGAGGTGGAGCTGGCAGTGAGCCGAGACCGCACCACTGCACCCTAGCCTGGGTTACAGAGCAAGACTCCATCTCAAAAAAAAAAAAAAAAAAAAAAAAGAATGATACAATGGACTTTGGGGACTTGGGGCGAAGAGTGGGGAGGGAGGCAAGGGATAAAAGACTACAAATATGGTGCAGTACATACTGCTCAGGTGATGGGTACACCAAAATTTCACAAATCCCTACTAATACCCGCTGTACCCCAATAACTTATGGATAAATAAATAAGCCAGGTAAGGTGGCACACACCTGTAGTCTCAGCTACTTGGGAAGCTGAGGTGGGAGGATCACTTGAGCCCACAAGTTCAAAGCTGCAGTGAGCTATGATGGCCCCACTGTACTCCAGCCTGGGCAACAGAATGAGACCCTGTCTCTTGAAAAACAAAATTAAAAATATATAAAAGTAAATAAATAAGAAATTCTGTAGTCTCACCTGCCCTCAGAGGTAATCACTATTATCAGCTTGATATATGGCCTTTTATAGACATAGCTGTCTTCATAAAAACATGATGCCATACTATTCTGCCATCTGCAATTACTACTTTGTTGACATCACTCTGAACCAGTAGCTAAGTATCCACCACTTTTTAAAAGTCGTATAAAAATATATGGTAGAGATATTTGACTAACCCATGATCTCTTGGTGAATATTTCAGCAATTTTCAAATTTTCATTATACATTAATATCCTAAAATATATTTTGTTGGACATCTATATAACTGTTTCCACAGAACAAAGTCCATTGCACCTGGCTCATCCATTGATTCTAATTAGCCAATAATTACATAGTATTTCATTACATATTTAGTTCTGTTCCTGAAGTTTCTTTGCTCTTTTGAGTATCTATTCTTGCATCACTATTAAAGTGTGTAAACACTCTAGTTTTATAATATATTTTAATATAGAAAAAAGCCTCGCTTCTTTTTAAAAAAATTTATTGGAACTTCTGCCATGTTTATTCTTTTGAATCAACTTTACAACCATTGTATTAGTTTCCTCCAAAAGTTCCCATTGTTATTTTTATTGGAATTCTATAAAATTTTTAGATTTATTAAAGAAAATTTGGTGTATTTATATGGTATTTCCTATCCAGTAGCAATGTATTATCTCTCTTTATTCAATCTTGTTATATTCCAGATTTTTTTATATTTTTTTTTTATTATACTTTAAGTTTCAGGGTACATGTGCACAACGTGCAGGTTAGTTACATATGTATACATGTGCCATGTTGGTGTGCTGCACCCATTAACTCGTCATTTACATTAGGTATATCTCCTAATGCTATCCCTCCCCCCTCCCCCCTCCCCCAAAACAGGATCCGGTGTGTGATGTTCCCCTTCCTGTGTCCAAGTGTTCTTCTCATTGTTCAATTCCCACATATGAGTGAGAACACACGGTGTTTGGTTTTTTGTCCTTGCGATAGTTTGCTGAGAATGATGGTTTCCAGCTTCATACATGTCCCTACAAAGGACATGAACTCATCATTTTTTATGGCTGCATAGTATTCCATGGTGTATATGTGCCACATTTTCTTAATCTAGTCTATCATTGATGGACATTTGGGTTGGTTCCAAGTATTTGCTATTGTGAACTAGAAATACCCTTTGACCCAGCCATCCCATATTCCAGATTTTTTAAGACTTCCTCTTTAAAGGTGCTACATGTGTCTTATATTTCTTTTCTAAATGTTGTATGTTTGTTTGCCACTGTGACCAAAATTTCATTTCTGCAATATTTGTAACCTATAACAAACATGAAACGTACTTATTATGCTTGTGATCATTGTATGTATTTTCTATATATAGTACATATCATACATATCATGCATTTTCTATATTTTATGTTTAATATGCATGTATATTAAGTACATTAATTCTATTGAGTGTCATTACTTTTAAAATGATAATTTACTGATTTCTCTTACTATTTTAAATTTACTTAAAGCCAGTCCCTTTGGCTGTTCCAGATATGTATATTACTATAAAAAAATTATTTTGCCTCATTCTTTTAAATGTAAGACAGACATTGAATTACCTCAACTATCATAAGCTGATGGCTTTCTGTGACTAAACTCTGTCACCCAGTGATTGGAGGGATTAGATACTGAAATCAGATGACTCTGGAGACCTGTTACATGTTTTCCTACTCATTGCAAATGATGCAGCACCTTATATGAGGAAGCTTCAAGCCAGAATGGCACAGGGGGAGCGTCTTCTCCTGGAAGGTTCCATAGGTAAACTCGCTGGAGTGTCTGGAGCTACTTACATGAATATATCAGGCAATAGTAGGGCAAAGCAAGCAAAGCATGTTCCACTTCTACACATGGCCAGTTTCTTAAAAGAGTAAAGGGTCAAAAAGTAGAAAGATACAACATGAATAGTTGGCAAAGAATGTGATGTTTTGTGTTACATGTTCTCTGAAGGGCCATCATAGACTCACAGAGCTCCTTAGAGAAATGGAAACTTCAAGGCAGACAATAAAGCGAATACTCCCAGAGTCCGCCTGAGTGTGAAGGGAAGTTCAGGGCTTAGCAACTAAAACAGCTGTCCTGCAGTCAGCAAGTATTTTGGAACTAGTGTGCAAAAGAGAAGTAACATGTATTGAGCAGCTACCATATGACAGTCATTTTGCTTCATTTATTCTATTATCAAAGATCAAATATTGGTAACTCTTTCCTATTACTATTGCTTTTTAAATGTTTTATAACTAACATTAAAAAGCAGGAAATTTTATACTAACCTTCTGCATTCTTTTGAAAATTAGAAGATGTACGTTTGTGCTTTGGCTAAATATGGACTATACCCTCAAAAAATGGTTTAGGCTTTCCAAACTACCTCAGTTTTCATCATTTTTCTTTTTTTTATGTTACCTATCTACATGCTATTTATTTCTGAAATTTTTATTATTTTATAAACCTATCTTTCAAAAATGGAAGATATGTACATAAATGTATAAGATATAGATAACTTCCCATGGATGGGACTAATCCAGGGGGGCAGGGGATCAATGGAAGTGCTTTTTTTCTCTCTTTAGAACTTTTTTTATATATATTTACTTTTTTCTGTTTTAAGGTCCTCTTTAATGTATCAGCTCATTTTGAGAGATCTCACTTATCAATGGTTCTTGAGTTTTCAGGTACTTTATGCAAATGTTGCAGCCTCCTTAAACCAAATATCTATTAAACTACGTACAAAAATATCTACAAAGGCATTTTTGTAGGAATTCTAGCAATAACCACACATTGAAGTAAAAATATAATACAGAACACAGCTTGGCAGAGACAAAATAATCCATGCTTACTGTAAGCAAATGTTAGTGTGTAGGATGAGCTTCAACAAAAACAAAGGCTATTTCCAGCACACTTTTTCAATCAGTAGTTAATCCAGGCAAGGCTGCTAATGAGGTAGTTCAATGTCATTCCCCCTAACTTAGTGGTAGTAGAAAATGAAAGATTACGGCTATTCAACTAAGCCAACAGGAAAATCATGACTCTCCACCTCTAAGCTTTTTCTGGATCCTTGTGAAGAATTTGCAAACTCCCTGATGCTCTCCCTTTAGGTACGTGGAATATTTTCACCAATACAAAAAAAAAAAAAACAGTACTGATTCTGACATTGCAAGCACAGCACAATTCTCAATTATTTCCCATAGGTGAAGCTTTCACCAAAGGCCATGCTACTTTGTTCTGAATCCCTTTCAGGACATCACTATTTCCTCTTTTATCTTTGCCTAGAAATGTAATGTTTGGACAAAGAAGGAAAAGGGAAAGTAAGAAGCAGGAATGAGTCAGAGAGAGACAGCAGGAAAAGGAAACGGGTGGGAAACTGAACACTGCAGCTTTCTCACAACCCCTGACAGGGTGTGTCATTGAGCATGCTCATTACTTAACAGTACAATGAGATTCCAGAACATCAGCCAAATCCCTAGTCTAACCTGGGCATAAAATTGCATGCTAAAAATAAAATACATTTTTCCCCAAAAATTTATTTAAAATTAAGCGTGACATTCACGTGGAAATTAAGACCAAACTGCAATATGCTTTTCATTTCCAATGTACAAAGAGTTTTTTTTCTGAGAATGGCAAATTCTAAATAAGTAAAATAAATATGGCATTTATTTAAATAGACTGGGCCACAGATTAATCTTAATTAAGTGGTGTTAATTGTTGGGAGAGAAAATGTTCTATCAAAATTGCTGCAAGAACTTTTGAATGTTCTTGACATGCATGTATTTAAAGATATTAAAAAGATTTTTAGTTTAACAGTTTTGGGTTACAGCTCCAGGGATGGGGCGGGGATGATTGACTACGCATTTGATATGTGTCTTATTAATCATAAGGTTCTTTCCCCCATAGCAAAGTACACATAAATGCAAAGCTTTAGTGCTTGGCTGACTGTAACAGGACATCTGCATAAAAGGAATAAACTTAACACCTCAGCCAATAAGCCGGAAGATGTTATGCTGCACAAACGTGCAGTTTTTACTGTGTTGCCCAGGCTACAGTATTATTTTTCAAGTTTTGGGTTTTCTTTTATACCATGCATTTATTTCCCTCTGAATTAATCACAGGTATTTTCTTTAACATAAGCTATTTTAAATATAAACTTCATTCCTGAATATCTTCAGATACATTCTGTTAGTTCAAATAAACTCAGGCAGACATTAATCCAATTTAAATAACTACATATGAATGAGGCTACTGTATTATTCAATCCAGAGTGTGTCATTTCCATTCAAGAAGGCTTGCTATGCATAAATATATTTTATGTTCTGATGCTTTCACTTTTGAAGTGCTCCCTTCAAAGGACATAAAAGAAATATTAAATAAAGAAGCTTTCAAAACGTTCCATTAGGCTATGATTCGAGGGGGAGATGAGTGGAAATGGCTATTGATAGTTATGTAACTGGAGATCTTTGTGGTAATGCATGAAAGTATAAATTAACTCCAGCAAACTCATTTTTCCCCGAAACTTTTGGTGTAAAACTATATATTATTATTATTTTGAGACAGGGTCTTGCCCTGTTGCCCAGGCTGGAGTGCAGTGGTGTGATCTTGACTCACTGCACGCTTAACCTCCCAGGCTCAAGCGATCCTTCCACCTCAGCCCACCTGCAAGGAGCTGGGACTACAGGTGCCTGCCACCACTCTTGGCAAATTTTTATATTTTTTGATGGAGACAGGGTTTCGCCATCTTGCCCAGGCTGGTCTCCAACTCCTGGGCC
This sequence comes from Homo sapiens, assembly GCF_000001405.40. Lineage (NCBI taxonomy): Eukaryota > Metazoa > Chordata > Mammalia > Primates > Hominidae > Homo > Homo sapiens. Next base: position 59,900,081 of record NC_000011.10, on the reverse strand, counting down.
CCAGCGATCTGCCCACCTCGGCCTCCCGAAATGCTGGGATTACAGGTGTGAGTCACTGCACTCAGCCTTTTATTATTTTCAAAGTTTATTCTGCTTTTACTGAAATGCAACAAATATTTATTGAGCACCTGCTGTATTATTATATAGTCCATTCCTACCAGGCTGTTACAGCCATTGATGATTTTATTGAAAGATTCTCCCCAGGGCCTGAAAGCTTAGGGGGATGAGTAACTCCTCCCTCCTCAGGCCCAGTCCCAAGGCGCAAGGCCACTTGCACCAGCACTGTGCCTCAGCAAGATAGAAGAAGCAGGAAGTGAGCTGGCCAGAAGACATGTGCCCCCTGCAGATCGAGAGAGAGGCCATCCGGGTACCACGTAGCAGTTACGTCAGACTGGGACACTTCCTGTTTATAGGAAACTATAAAACCCCTGCCCCGTCTTCACTTAGGGCTGACACCATTTTACGCCTCAGCCCGTCTGCACCCAGGTGCTCATTAAAACAGCCTGTTGCTCCACACCGCCTTGTGGTGTTTGTTGGCACGTTCTCGGGTTTCGAACCAATACAAGAGCCTTGCACTTATCTCTTCCTTTGTGTATGTGTGTGTGTGTGCATGTGTGACACTGTTTATATATTTTTGGTTAGTTTGCTTGTGAAGCAGCTTGGAGAAGTCTCATCTACTTTTTACCGGTTGGTTTTTATAGAGTATCTCAGAAAGTGGACACAGAAATCGCAGATCTGCCATTAGTATTTCTTCTTTGAAGACACTGGAGATTCATTTTCTTGAGTGGCACTGCCATGCTCATTCAGTGAAAACTTGTGGGGCATAGAAATGGAACAGAGAGTTTCAAGCAGTTCTGCAGAAACTGTACTTTGGACTCCAGACTTCACTGTCCTTAGGCATGGAAACCATCACCTAGTTTGCATTCTTCATGACTGAGGTTGACTTAAAACAAAAATGATAGGAAAGCTTTCCTATGCTTCGGGTAGGAGACAAATTTACTTTTGTAGAATTTGTGGCTGAGAAAGGCAGGCAGGGCCGGATTGAAGAAGACATATGTCACCACTATTCACCAAGTTGTGGAACCCAAAGGTGACAGCCATGGAAATGTAGATCATCAGATCTGCTAAGTAGTCAGGGGAAGAAAACATTCAAACCAGTCTCCAAATGGGATTCTGTGGTTACAGTGAATGACCACTCCTGCTTTATTTACCCTGAGATTGCCGAGAATGACATGGCACTTATACTGATGGGCAGATGGCCAGATGAATATCATCATCCCGAGAATATGGAACCACCGCACTTGCATCAGTAGCTTTTTCCCTGTTACATAGGCATTCCTGCTATCCATTGGCACTTGGCTCAGCACAGATAGGCCGACAAGGACATAGTAGGCAAGTCCAAAACAGTATTGCACGATGTGAGTCGTGCCATTGGAGAAGACACTGACTTAGAAGCACTCTTCGTAAGCTGCGCAGCCACGGAAATACCAGCACTAAGAACGCAGACAGCGCCAGCTTCCCTCCCTGGAACTGTGCTGCCCTGAGAATTCTGAGCAAACCATAAAGCCAGCTTGGAAAAGATGCTGCCAGGAACAGAGATGGAGTAAGGCACCAAAGCAGGAAGCCATTCCACAGCACTGAGATGATATAGAAGTGGGAGAAGTAGGAAAAAATATCTCTTGGGGACATCAAAGGTGCGACAGGCGGCGGGGCGCGGAGGCCCCCCAACACTTGTTTTCCCAAAGCGGATCAGGTCCTGGAAGAATGCGCGGCCCAGGAGCAGGCCGAGCGGCAGAAGCTGCAACAGCAGGGTCAGCAGGAAGGCGGCGGCCGGCGTGAGCCACAGCAAGCGCAGCGGGTTCAGCGCCCAGAGCTCAGCTCTCCCTGAGGAAGCCATGGCTTAGGCGCCCGCGTTCCGCGCTGCCAGCGCCGCCACCGTCAGCCCGCGGAGTAGTGGCCACTGGCGCGTCGTGCGCCCATCTTAGCCATCTTAGAACTTTAAATCTTTTTTTTTTTTTAGAAGGAGTTTCACTCTTGTTGCCCAGGCTGGAGTGCAATGGCGCTATGTCGGCTCACCGCAACCTCCGCCTCCCGGGTTCAAGCGATTCTCCTGCCTCAGACTCCCAAGTAGCTGAGATTACAGGCATGCACCGCCACTCCCGGCTAATTTTGTATTTTTAGTAGAGGCGGGGTCTCTCCATGTTGATCGGACTGGTCTCTAATTCCCGATCTCAGGTGATCTGCCCGCCTTGGCCTCCCAAAGTGCTGGGATTACAAGCGTGAGCCATCACGCCTGGCAATCCTCCTTTCAAGAATGAAGCATCACAGCTCTGGGACAGTGATTAGGGTTATCACTCTCTGTCTGCCTTTACCACCGCTGGCTCCTATTCTGGACTTGGTGGGCTTTTGACTTTAAGGGACAATGGAAAAACAGAAATATTTTATGAATGAAAGTAATAAGTTCATTCCAAATGAATGCTATCTATGAAAGAGAGAGATTAAATACACAAACTCTATCCATTCTTGGTCCTAATTAATACAAAAATTCTTGCATGTCTTCATTGCTGAAATGGAAACTACCCACTTTTATCGCCATTTTCTGAGTTTTCCAGTTTGTTTTCATTCTTAAATTACCGGGGTTTTTTGAAGAAGGACACGAGGAGTCTGAATATACTGTTTATATTTAAAGGATGATGAAAATGTCTAGTAATGTTTTCAACAAAAGTAACAGGGATTCGTTCATTTCAAATGAATACTAGATATGAAAGAGAGAGAGGCAGGGAGGAAGAAAGGGAGAATGAATAAGTGAACTGTAACCAACTTTAGTCCTAATTAACACACAAATCCTTACTGGTCCCCTTACTAAAATAGAAAGCAGTAGCGCTGTTGGTGCAGCAAGCCTATGTGTGTTGCTTACCTGTTGTCTCACTACCACATGTGCCTCTCTCTGCCCTACAATGTTGGAGCCAAGAGTTCAAAAATTAGATTTTCAAGCCTCACCTTTAGGTTCTGCCAGCAGGAAACACTGATGGAGATTAAAAGATGTCTACCTTCACCCAGTTATTTGAAATAACAAGTATCTAGTCAATAAACCCTATTGCCTAAGGTTTCCCAATATGAAGAATAGAATCACACAGGCAGGACTTGAGGTTTTGTTAGAAACATCTCAAGATCCTCATGAGCATGTTTCAGAATGATGTTCTTACTAACTGGAGAGTGGTCATTGAAATAAAGAAGGATGGTCCTAAGGGATCACTAAAGGTTTAGTTCCTAGAGTGCCAAGAATAAAAACTAGTCTCACCCTATTGATCTTGAAGAAAGATACGGAAATATTCTGCTATCGCTGTTTCCCAAGGCCATGGGCCTAGAGGAGGTCAAACTTTCTACTCTATTTCCTGGTTGATCCAATGGTGCTCATTTCTATCATGGATACTAAATCTTTCTTAAAGGAATTAAACAACTATGTAGGATTATTCTCAGTCTACTGTATTTAAAACATGACTTGTACACTAACAGCAGGTGGAGGACAGAGACCCTTCCATGCCTACATCCCAGCCTAGGTTCTGTTTTGAGATTATAACCCAGTCATCAAGAAGTATAGCCAAAGGGACAGCACATTTTATTTGTAAGATCAACTCCACATACAAATTATACATAGACATTGTATTATAAGAGACTATGCAAGGGTATAATGGCCTATGTTTAAAAGGAGCACTTTTTAAAAACATATGAAGCACTGGGCTCTATCCCAACCCAATGTCCTCTCAGGAAGTGGCACCAAAAAGTGATAAATCTGTAGTGAGTGGTTCAAAAATTAAATTTTAAGTAAGCTGTAGCAACAGAGTTTTCAGGATTGCCATGGAAGAACCTAGAATATAGCTACATTTGCACTCTCATGGACTAATGGATGAGACATATTAAGTAGAAGTGACTGATGAGATGCCTCTACCTACAGAGAAAAAAGAAAGGTAGTTAATAAAAAGTTTCCAATGTAACCCCTTGATAAACTTGGCACAGTAAACACATTGACTAATATATTGACTAGTGAACACGGAGAACCTACTATGTGCCAGGGATTAGAGGGAAGGGTTGAAAGAGTTGAAAATTTTTATTCAAGTGTCTGAGCACTATTTAAAGTAAGTGGTTTATCAACTCAGATTATGTTTAAACTATACTAGAGATTTTCTTTTATTTGTCATAACTAGGGTAAAGGGAGACTTATTGACAAGACCAGGATATATGTAGACACATGGAAGTAGCATTTTTTCTAAACAGGATTGAAATGTAATGTGAGACCCATCATGTAGTTAAACACTATTTAAACAACAAATACCCTCCTTAGTAGAGATTTGAGCTTTTACTTCCTTATGTCAATACGATCATTTCTACATGGACACTGCCATGTTTTGTCTCTTCTAAGGATCCTCACCGAGGAGTTTTGAAAATATGGAATCCGAGTCAATCCAAATAAGCTAGCGTTGGTTAAGTTCCAGGGAGAATAAGAATTGGTAGCGGGAGGGTCATTTTGGAATTCTGTAAGATTGTTATGGATAGTGCTTGAAGTGGTATCCAAAGATGAGCTGAAAGTTTTAAAGAAGACACAATTTGCACATCAGATTACATTTAAAAATAAACAAACCAGTAAGTCTCTTTTTGTCTGAATTCATTTTTTTTCCTTCTACTTTAGCAGTAGTAGACTTACTAACACTGCTACCTCTCTGCCTTCTACTTGCCTTTTTTTTTTAAGGATTAACAAACCTCCATTTAGGGGCGTTAGTCCAAAAAAAAAAAAAAAAGTCCTACCATAGGAAAATGTATTCTAAACAGAAAACGTCAGCTCTGATAAGCTAAATAAAATTCCCGAGACAATCTCTTACAAGTATAAACTGAGAATCCTGGCTGTTTTAAAAGTTGTCATTCATAAACTACTAAAAGGTTAACAGCATTCATCCATTGATCCTGAAGATATAGCAAAGTTTCAGGGATTTCCCCAAAAGTCATAGGGCCATAGTATATTAAGAAAACATCTAAATTATTGCTTTTTAAAAAATATTTTAATACAATTATGCCCATTCAAGCCCTTTGATTTATATAAGCTATCAAAATTGGGGGTGGGGGAAGTTAGGTATTATGTAGAATAGAGAACAACTTAGGCTAAGAGTTTTTTAATTTGATCTTAAAGAGTTGAAAACTGAGTAATTTGGCTACTATTCCTGTTTCTGCAAGCATTCCCTGATCTGCGGGGTGGCAGTTAGGTGAGAAGGTGTGTTCAAGTCCTGACTTGCCATTCCCTAGCTACATGATCATGGGGACAATCACCTCTGAGCTCTGTTTAACTCATTTTACCATCTTACTTGGATTTCCCAAAAGCAGGACTTGGCAAGGATATTTATGTGCAGGTGATTTATTATAGAAGTGTTCCCAATAAGGGAATGGGAGAAAAGCAGGACATAGAAGGTAAAGACAACAACAAGCAGGAATGCTATTTAAGGCAGAGTCCTAGCCTCAGTAGGACCCTCAAGTGAGCTCCAAAGTCAAATCCTGCCTCCAAGTTTATCCCTGACTCAAGAAACAGAGCTGGCTTTTCATGCCCCCAAATCACTGAATCATGAGAGTGGGAAGTATTTGTTAAATTTCCAAGCCCAGTTGGTATCACTGAAAGCCAGATCACACAGAAGCAGGGAGAGGGGCAAACAGAAATATTAAGGGGGGGTCCCAGGGCATTTGGGCAGAGCATCTGTAATGGCCAAATGGCATTGATAAATACCTCATCATTGCACAGAGAAACTATGCAAACCAACCTCGCTCTAGGGTTCTAATGATGTAAAGCTTCATATTCCAAATGTTTTCCTTTTCATTAGTTCTTAGAGGGTAAACTGTGAACCATCTGGTTCATTATACTCACCCATATACAATACACATCAAAGGAATTTTGCCAGTGACTCCTTTGTGCATTATATTACAGTGGAGTGCTGAATAAAAAACTGTTACATATGAGAAAACCTAATGGGACAAAAAGACTTTATAAGTTGATGTCATGTCACACAGGAGTTTTAAAGACATTTGAACAGTGAACAGATCAAGATAAGATGTAAGCTCTTTATACTGCACCAAGGTCTCTCTGCAGAGAGCTGGAAAAAGAAAACTGATTCACCAGAAAAATTTTAAAAAAACACCATCCAAGGCTTTTGATCATCAGTGCAATCAGTTAATATGTGTGGAAATAAAATAACAAGATTGTAATCTTGAATTGCCAGACTAGGAACAAGGGCTACAGCTTCTACTTAACAAGTTTTTTTTTCTCATATTTAGCTCTTAAACATTATCACAGTGCTGTATCCCAGATGTCTGAAAATATTGAACCAATTGGAGATTTGCCTTTTCTGAACACATGCTCATTGTGGAGATGTCAAAAACACTATGTTGGTCCAGCATGGTGGCTCACACCTCTAATCCCACCACTTTGGGAAGGTGAGGCAGAAGCAGGAGGATCGCTTGAGCTCAGGAGACCAGCCTGGGCAATATAGCAAGATCTCATCTCTACTAAAAATCAAAAAACAATCAACCGGGTTGAGTGGTTCCAAGCCACTCAGGAGGCTGAGATGGGAGGATTACTTGAGTCCAGGAGGTGGAGGTTGCAGTGAGCTGTGATCATGCTGTAATCATGCCACTGCACTCCAGCCTTGATGACAGAACAAGACTCTGTCAAAAAAGAAAAAAAAGCCACTACAGTTATGGTCAAAGATTTATAATCTTAATACAGGAATAATTTCTGTAATTACATTTAGGTATGTTTTTCTATTGATAATTTTTACAAAAATGTCTTATTGAATTACTATTTTTCAACCTGTTAAATAATGCAACAAATATTCTCATAGAAATAAAATGTTTCCAAAAAGAATAGAAATATAGAATTCAATAACACGATTATTTTCCCATTGCGTTGCTATTGAAGGTTATTTTAGTTGAGTATATAAATTGTATGTAAAGTGTGGAAAATAGATATTATATGCTCCTTACTTCTCTTGGTAATTATGTATTCAATAGTGATTTCTAGTATGCAAACTAAAGACCACCAAAAAATCCACTTCTTCATAAAACAATAAGAAAATGGCAGAAATTATCAAATTCAACTTTTTTAAGACTCTGAATATTATCCTCAGTCTTGCAACAATTCAAGGAGCATTTATTCAAGAAAAAAATGATAGAATCTCAGTAAGAATGATAGCTTTTTGGCATTTTTAACTTGTTCTATTTCAAGTTCCCTCTTCCCAGTACACAGTATCTATGAAAGTCAACAGCCTAGCAGGATCCAGAGGAAATAGATGGTTTGGAGCTCCTCAAAAGCCCCATCTTCAGAGAATTGTCATTTTTTTTTTTTACTTTTCCTGAAATGCTGGTTATTTGACTTGACTCTGAATGTGCTCAAGAGGAATAGACCTATATATAATAAGTAAAGAGATTGGATTAGTAGCCAAAAACTACCCACAAAGAAAGTCCAGGCATCACCAGGCTCCACTACTCAATTCTATCAAACATGTAAAAAAAGAATTAGAACCAGTGCTTCACAAAATCTCCCAACAAATAGAAGTGGAGCAGAGGAGACGCCTAGATGGCCAAGTAGAAACAGCTCCAGTCTGCAGCTCCCGCCGAGATGGAAATAAATGGGGAGTGAATTCTGCATTTCCAACTGAGGTACCCAGATTCTCTTATTGGGACTGACTAGGCGGTTGGTACAATCCACAGAGAGCAAGAAAAAGCAGGATCAGGTGATGGTTCACCCAGGAGCTGCACAAGGAAAAGGGCCGTCCCTCCCCCAGTCAAGGGAGGCGGTGAGAGATTGTGCTACCCATCCGGAGAGCTACACTTTTCCCATGGATTTTTACAACCCACAGAACAGGAGATTACTTCATGAGCCCACACCACCAGGGCCTTGGGTCCCAAGCACAAAGATTTGCAGACTCATGACAGCTGCTCAGGTCAGCAGCCGCTCAGGCAGGCACTGAGCTGCAGGAGTTTTTGCATACTCCAGCAGCTCCTGGAACTCCAGTGAGGCAAGAGATTCGTCCACTACTGTGGGAAGGAAACTGAAGCCAGGGAGCCAAGTAGCCTTGCTCAGCGGATCACACTCCCACGGAACCCTGCAAGCTATGACCTACTGGCTTGGATTCCCCACTGGCCAGCACAGCAGCCTGCAGTCTGCCTAAGATGACAGAGTTCCTGGGGGGAGGGGCCACCACAATTACTGTGGCTCTAGTCAGCCATTAGGGGGATTCACCCCAGTGCAGTGCACTTGCTCTGCTAAGGGACAGCCAGACTGCTTCCTTAAGCAGGTCCCTGATTCCATGCCTCCTGACTGCATAAGACCTCCCAACAGGGGTTGCCAGACACCTCACACAGGAGAGTAATAGCTGGCATCTGGTCGGTCCTCCCCTGGGACAAAGCTCCCAGAGGAAGGCACAGGCAGCAATCTTTGCTGTTCTGCGGCCTCAACAGGCGATACCCAGGCAAACAGAGTCTGAAGTGAACCCCCAGAAACTGCAGCAGGCTTGCAGAAGCGGGTTCTGAATGTTAAAAGAAAAACAAACAGAAAGCAACAACATCAACAAAAAAAGACCCCACAAAAACCCCATCCAAAGGTCAACAGCCTCAAAGGTCAAAGGTAGATACATCCAAGAAGATGAGGAAAAATCAACACAAAAATGCTGAAAATTCCAAAAGCCAGAATGCCTCTTCCCCTCCAAATGATTACAACACCTCTTCAGCAAGGGCGCAGAACTGGGCTGAATCTGAGATGGATGAACTGACAGAAGTAGGCTTCAGAAAGTGGGTAATAATGAACTTCGCTGAGCTAAAAGATTATGTTCTAACCCAATGTAAAGAAGCCAAGAATCATGATAAAAGATTACAAGAGCTGTTAACTAGAATAACCAGTTTAGAGAGAAACATAATGACCTGATGGAGCTGAAAAACACAGCACAAGAACTTTATGATGCAAACACAAGTATCAATAGCTGAATTGGCCAAAGTGGAAGAAAGAATATCAGAGCTTGAAGAATATATTGTGAAATAAGGCAAGCAGACAAGATTAGAGAAAAAAGAATGAAAAGAAATAAACAAAACTTCTGAGAACTATGGACTATGGAAAAAGACCAAACCTATGAGTGATTGGAGTACCTGAGACAGGGAAGATGGAACCAAGTTTGGAAAACACACTTCAGGATATCATCCAGGAGAACTTCCTAACCTAGCAAGACAGGCTAACCTTCAAATTCAGGAAATCCAGAGAACCCCAATAAGATACTCCATGAGAAGATCAACTCCAAGACACATAATCATCCAATTTTCCAATGTCGAAATGAAGGAAAAAAATGTTAAGGGCAGTCAGAGAGAAAGGCCAGGTAACCTACAAAGGTAAGCCCATCAGACTAATAGCAGGCCTCTCAGTGGAAACCCTATAAGCCAAAAGAGATTGGGAGCCAATGTTCAACATTTTTAAAGACAAGAATTTCCATCCCAGAATTTCATATCCAGCCAAACAAAGCTTCATAAGAGAAGGAAAAATAAAATCCTTTTCGGACAAGCAAATGCTAAAGGATCTCATCACCAGAAGGCCTTCCTTGCAAGAGTTCCTGAAGGAAGCATTAAACATGGAAAGGAAAAACCATTATCAGCCACTACAAAAACACACTAAAGTACACAGACCAATGACACTATGAAGCAACTACATTAACAAGTCTGCAAATTAACCAGCCAGCATCATGATGACAGGACCAAATTCACACATAGCAATATCAACCTTAAATGTAAATGTGCTAAATGCCCCAATTAAAAGACACAGAATGGCAAGCTGGATAAAAAGACAAGATTCATTGGTGTGCTGTATTCAAGAGACACATCTCATATGCAAAGACACAAATAGGATAAAAATAAAGGGATGGAGGAAAATTTACCAAGCAAATGGAAAGCAGAAAAAAGCAGGAGTTGCAATCCTAGTTTCTGACAAAATAGAATTTAAACCAACAAAGGTCAAAAAAGACAAAGAAGGTCATTACATGGTAAAGGGTTCAATTCAACAAGAAAAGCTAACTATCCTAAATATATATGAACCCAACACAGGAGCACCCAGATTCATAAAATAAGTTCTTAAAGACCTACAAAGAGACTTAGACCCCCACACAATAGTGGGAGACTTTAATACCCCACTGTCAATATTAGATTGAGACATAAAATTAACAAAGATATTCAGGACTTGAACTCAGCTCTGGATCAAGTGGACCTGATAGATATCTACAGAACTCTACACCCCAAAACAACAGAACATACATTCTTCTCAGTGCCACATAACTTACTCTAAAATTCATCACATAATTGAAAGTAAAACACTCCTCAGCAAATGCAAAAGAACTGAAATATAACAGTCTCTCAGACCACAGCATAATCAAATTAGAACTCAAGATTAAGAAACCCACTCAAAACCACACAATTACATGGAAATTGAACAACCTGCTCCTGAATGACTTCTGGGTAAATAATGAAATTAAGGCAGAAATCAAGTTCTTTGAAACTAATGAGAACAAGAAGACAATGTATCAAAATCCCTGGGATGCAGCTAATGCAGTGTTAAGAGGGAAATTTATAGCACTAAAATGCTAACATCAAAAAGCTGAAAAGATTTCAAATTAACACCCTAACATCAAAACTAAAAAGAACTAGAGAAACAAGAGAAACCCCAGAGCTAGCAGAAGACAAGAAATAGCCAAGCTCAGAGAAGAACTGAAGGAAATAGAGACATGAAAAACCCTTCAAAAAAATCAATGAATCTAGGAGCTGCTTTTTTGGAAAAAAAAAAAATCAACAAAATAGGTAGACCACTAGCTAGACTAATAAAGAAGAAAATAGAGAAGATTCATATAAACACATTCAGAAATGATAAGGGGGATACCACCACTGACCCTACAGAAATACAACCAACCATCAGAGAATACTATAAACACCTCAAACTAGAAAATCTAGAAAAAAATGGATAAACTCCAGGACACGTACACTCTCCCAAGACTGAACCAGGAAGTTGAATCCCTGAATAGACCAATAACAAGTTCTGAAATTGAGGCAGTAACAAATAGCCTACCAACCAAACAAACAAAGAAGCCCAGGACCCGTTGGATTTACAGCTGAATTCTACCAGAGATACAAAGAGGAGCTGGTACCATTCCTTCTGAAACTATTCCCAACCATTGAAAATAAGGAACTTCTCTCTAACTCATGTTATGAGGCCAGCATCATTCTGATACCAAACCCTGACAGAGATACAACAAAAAAAGAAAACTTCAGGCCAATATCCCTGATGAATATCAATGCAAAAATCCTCAATAAAATACTGGCAAACTGAATCTAGCAACACATCAAAAAGCTTATACACCACAATCAAGTTGGCTTCATCCCCAGGATGCAAGGCTGGTTCAACATATGCAAATCAATAAACATAATTTGTCACATAAACAGAACTAAAGACAAAAACCACAGGATAATCTCAATAGATACAGAAAAGGCTTTGAGAAAATTCAACATCCCTTCATGTTAAAAACTCTCAATAAACTAGGTTTGAAAGAACATACCTCAAAACCATAAGAGCCATTTATGACAAACCCACAGCCAATATCAGAACGAAAGGGCAAAACCTGTAAACATTCCCCTTGAAAAATGGCACAGGACAAAGATGCCCTCTCTCAGTACTCTTATTCAACATAGCTGGAAGTTCTGGCCAGAGCAATCAGGCAAAAGAAAGAAAGAAATGGTATTCATATAAGAAGAGAGAAAGTCAAATTGTCTTTGTTTGCAGATGATGTGATCCTATATCTAGAAAACCCCATGGACTCAGCCAAAAGCTTCTTAAGCTGATAAACAACTTCAGGAAAACCTCAGGATACAAAATCAATGTGCAAAAATCACAAGCATTCCTATACACCAACAACAGACAAGCAGAGAGCCAAATTATAAATGAACTCCCATTCACAATTGCCACAAAGAGAATAAAATGCCTAGGAATACAGCTAACAAGGGAAGTGAAGGACTTCTTCAAGGAGAACTACAAATCACTGCTCAAGGAAACCAGAGAGGACACAAACAGATGAAAAAAACATTCCATGCTATTGGATAGGAAGAATCAATATCGTAAAAATGCCCAAACTGCCCAAAGCAATTTCTAGATTCAGTGCCATTCCCATTAAACTACCATTGACATTCTTGACAGAATTAGAAAAAAAAACTATTTTAAAAATCATATGGAACCGAAAAAGAGCTTGTACAGCCAGGACAATCCTAAACAAAAAGAACAAAGCTGGAGGCATCATGCTACAAAACCTCAAACTATACTGCAAGGCTACAGTAATCAAAACAGCATGGTACTGGTGCAAAAACAGACATATAAACCAATAAAACAAAATACAGAACTCAGAAATAAAACTGCACATCTACAACCATCTGATCTTTGACAAACCTGACAAAAACAAGCAATGGGGAAAGGATTTCCTATTTAATAAATGGTGCTGGGAGAACTGGCTAGTCATATGCAGAAAATTGAAACTGGATCCCTTCCTTACACCTTACACAAAAACTAACTCAAGATGGATTAAAGACTTAAGTGTAAAACCCAAAACTATAGAAACCCTAGAAGAAAATCTAGGCAATACCATTCAGGTCATACACATGTGCAAAGATTTTATGATGACATTGCCAAAAAATTGCATCATAAGCAACAAAAGCAATTGCAACAAAAGCAAAAATTGACAAATGGGATCTAATTAAACTAAAGAGCTTCTGCACTGCAAAAGAAACTATCATCAGAGCAAACAGACAACCTACAGAATGGGAGAAAATTTTTGCAATCTATCCATCTGACAAAGGTCTAATATCCAGAATCTACAAGGAACTTAAGCAAGTTTACAAAAAAAAAAACAACAAAAAAAAAACCATTAAAAAGTGGGCAAAGGGGTGTGGTGGCTCATGCCTGTAATCCCAGCACTTTGGGAGGCCAAGGCACACGAATCACTTGAGGGCAGGAGTTCAAGACCAGCCTGGCCAACATTGTGAAACCCAGTCTCTACTAAAAATACAAAAAAAAATTAGCCGGGCATGGTGGCACACGCCTATACTCCCAGCTATTCGGGAGGCTGAGGCAGCAGAATCGCTTGAATCTGGGAGGCGGAGGTTGCAGTGAGCCAAGATCACACCACTGCACCCCAGCCTGGGTGACAGAGCAAGACTCCGTATCAAAAAAAAAAAAAAAAAGTGGGCAAATGACATGAACAGATACTTCTCAAAATAAGACATACATGTGGCCAAAAAACATAAAAGCTCAACATCACTGATCATTAGAGAAATGAAAATTAAAACCACAATGAGATACGTTCTCACACCAGTCAGAATGGTGATTATTAAAAAGTCAAGAAACAACAGATACTGGAGAGGTTGCAGAGAAATAGGAACTCTTTTACACTGTTGGTGGGAATGTAAATTAGTTCCACCATTGTGGAAGACAGTGTGGTGATTCCTCAAAGATTTACAACTGGAAATACCACTTGACCAAACAACCCCATTACTGGGTATATACTCAAAAGAATGTAAATCATTCTGTTACAAGGATACATGCATTTGATCAAACAATCCCTTTACTGGGTATATACCCAAAAGAATATAAATTCTATTACAAGGATTCACGCACGTGTATGTTCATTGCAGCACTATTCACAATAGCAAAGACATGGAATCAACCCAAATGCCCATCAATGATAGATTGGATAAAGAAAATGTGGTACATACATACCATGGAATACTATGCAGCCATAAAAAGGAATCAGATCATGTCCTTTGCAGGGACTTAGGTGAAGCTGGAAGCCATTATCCTCAGCAAGCTAACACAGGAACAGAAAACCAAACACTGCATGTTCTCACTTAAAGGTGGGAGCTGAATAATGAAAACACATGGACACAGAGAGGGGAATAACACACATAGGGGCTTGTCAGGGGAGGGTGGGGGAGTAGAGCATTAGGAAAAATAGTTAATGCATGCTGGGCTGGATACCTAGGTGATGGATTGATAGTTGCAGCAAACCACCATGGCACACATTTACCTATGTAACAAATCTGCACATCCAGCACATGTACCCCAGAACATAAAATAAAATTTTAAAAAATTAAAATAAATATTTTTTAAAAAAAGAAATAGAAGATGGCACATTATTCAACTCATTCTATGATGTATTGCCCTGATATTAAAACCAAAGACATCACAAAAAGAAACTATAGATCAATGTACCTTATGAATGTACGTAAAAAAACTTCCAACCCAAATGCCCATCAATGATAGATTGGATAAAGAAGATGTGGTACATATGCACCATGGAATAGTATGCAGCCATAAAAAGGAAGAAGATCATGTACTCTGCTGGGACATGGATGGAGTTGGAAGCCATTATCCTCCACAAACTACTGCAGGAACAGAAAATCAAATACTGCATGTTTTCACTTATAAGTGGGAGCTGAATGATGAGAACACATGGACACATGGGGGACAACAACACACACTGGGGACTGTCAGGGGGATGGGGAGGGAGAATAGCTAATGCATGCTGGGCTTCATACCTAGGTGATGGGATGATCTGTGTAGCAAACCACCATGGCACATGTTTACCTATGTAACAAACCTGCACATCCTGCACATGTACCACTGAACTTAAAATTAAAGTTGAAGAAAAAAGAGAAGAAATCATTGTCTAACCACGCGCCCCCCCAACAAAAAATAAAAACTTCAGCATACCATATCCAGCAACATCTAAAAAGGACTAAGCAGTATGACTAAATGGGATTTATCCCAGGAAAAGGATATGTTGGCTCCACATACAAAAATCAATGTAATACACCATATTAATAGAAGAAAGGGCAAAACCCATATGATCATCTCAATAGTTTCAGGGGAAAAAACTATAAAATTAAATACCATTTATGATAAAAACTCTCCACAACCAAAGATAAAAGGGCACGTCCTCAACCTGATTAAGAGCACCTGTGAAAATCCCACAGCCAACATCATATTTAACAATGAAAGACTGAAAGCTTTTCCCTTATAATCAGAAATAATACAAAGATGTTCACTCTCACAACTTGTATCCAATATTGTACTGGAGGTTCTAGCTAGGAAAATTAGGCAAGAAGATAAAACAAAAATTATCCAGATTGGAAAGGAAAATTAAAACTATCTCTATTTAAAGATGACATGAGGCCTGGCACAGTGGCTCACGCCTGTAACCCCATCACTTCAGGAGGCCAAGGTGGGCAGATCACTTGAGGTCAGGAGTTCGAGACCAGCCTGCCCAACATGATGAAATCTGGTATCTACTAAAAATAAAAAAATAAATAGCTGGACACGGTGGCACACACCTGTAGTCCCAGCTACTTGGGAGCCTTGAGGCAGCAGAATTGCTTGAACCTGGGAGGTGGAGGTTGCAGTGAGCTGAGTTCATGCCACTGCACTCCAGCCTGGGCAACAGATTAAGACTGCATAGAGAGAGAGAGAGAGAGAGAGAGAGAGAGAGAGAGAGAGAGAGACAGACAGACAGACAGACAGACAGACAAACAGACATGATCTTGTATATAGAAAATCATAAGAGATCCACCCAAAAAAAAAAACTATTACAACTAATAAGCATGCTCACTAATGTTGTAGGAGACAAGATCAATCGACAGAAATCAGTTCTATTTCTGTACACTAGCAATGAACAATTTGGAAATAAAATTAATAAAACAGTTTGAAGTTCAGTTGGATCCTGGCAGCAGCTGCAGCAGTTCTCTTCTGTGTCTCTCTTTGCCACCTCCTTTTCACTTCCGGAACATGTGTGCACATATATTTGTTTAAATAACTGTTATTAATTCTTTTGCACATATAACCAGGAATTAAATTGCTGTCTGTTATTTAAGCCACGGCAAGATTCTTCCCTTCTTCCCAATAGTAAACCAGGAATATTAGAAATGTTTTATATTTGAAAAAGACCTGTATATGAATCCAGAATCCTTAACCTTGGTTTTCCTAACCTTTCTAGAAAACCCATTATCTGTGAAATATTTTGTCATTAATCACATTAATGTTTTCATTTAGTGCATAACAATTAGTACTCAATTTAAAATTATCTTCCTTTAAAAGTAGCTAAGTTTGCAGTGTCCAGCAAGAGACTGACAGTCATGGCTGTATGACCTTTTGTAGGTTACTTAATCTTTTTGAACTTCATTATCCTCTTCTGTACAATGGGGATAATAGGAGGACCTACCTCACAGGATTATTGTGCAGTCCCCTGTCTTTCTTAAGACAGAAAAAGTTTCGCATTGAAGCTAACCCATCATTTAACCACTCTTCTAAGCACCATATATTTTGTTTCACAAATTTGTTATTCATTCAGAAAAATAATTTGAAAAGTGAGTAAATTCTACACAATTATAGTTCTCAAATGACTTGTACATTATGGTGCCTGTTCACATTTTACTACATGTAATCTTCTAAGGTTTTTAGATTTCTTTGGAGGTTGGAGGTGGCAATATCGCTAAGGCAGCTAACTTTTCAACATTCTTGGATCAAGCTGATATTGTGGTGAAAAGAATTCCTGCATTTCTCAAAGAACTAGGGCTGAAGCAAAAATCAGTTCCAATGAACAGGTGTCCAAATGGGCTGTTTAATAAAATCTAATCATTTTAAACAACTCTGGCGTTTCAGTGTTTTGTTTTGATCCTGTGAGTTTTAAAACTAGTATTTTAGGTGAGTGGTAAAGAAAGAAACCAAACAATAGAATAAAGAGTTGTTCCCAGGAAAGAATTGAAGTTGGGACAAATAAATTATTAACTTTGATTGCTAGACCTTTCATTGAAGACATTCAGCCAAAGACTCACCATCTTTAGAAAAATAAAAGACTATGCAACTCCAAAAAATTAAATATAGAGTTACCATTTGAGCTAGAAATTTCAGTCCTAGGTATTTACCCAACACAATTGAAAACAAATGTTTACACATAAACATGTACACAAAGGTACAGCAGTAACAAAAAATGAAAACAATTATTCAGCCATAAAAAAGAATGCAGTATTGAGACATGCTATGATATAGATAAACTTTGAAAACATGCAAGCAAAAGTCACAAAAGGCCACATATTGTATGATTGAATTTATATGACATATCCAGAGTATGCAAATCTATAGAAAGAGAAATTAGACTTGTGGTTGCCTATAACTAGGGGAGAAGAGGCAGTGAAGTGACCGCTGATAGGTATGGGTGCATTTTTGAGAAGTGATTAAAATATCCTGGAATTAGAGAGCAGTGATAGTTGTACAACTTTGTCAATGTACTAAAAACCACTGTATTGTACACTTAAATGTTTAATTATTCTTTCCTAATCCATGTCTGCTACTTAAACTGATTGCTACAGTCCTTCATTTTGTTTTTAATACTGTTGAAATTCTAGATCCTGCCCTTTAAATGGAAAATCTTTATAATAAATTATAAACCTAAGAAAGAAATGAAGCCACCAAGGTAGAGATTCTTTGACTCATAAAACTCAAAGAATCTGATTTGATAAGGTATTAAATCAAAATACTCATGTGAATATGTGAATATTAACATTGCTTTTGTATACTATGGAAATTTGAAAACATTTTAAACATTAACCAAATTGTTCCATATACAATCTGTCCTTGAAAGGTAATTTCGAAGGGGTCTTATAAGACCCTGAAAACTTTAGAAATGGTTTTCATGCCACAGGGGGGAAAAAAAAAAATCTTCAAAAGAAACCTACAGCTCTGATTGGTTATTCTACGTCATAGTTTGTGCCTCCTGTAATAACATTGTGGCTGATGTCTCTGCCTCTCTTAGTGTCTCATATTTAATTGTATAAACTTTGAAAAGTTGGCTTATTAATTCTTTGGCCTTTGTAATGATTTCCCTATATCCATAATAAGTCATACTTTGAAATATGGGAAAAACCACAAAGGCCAAAGAAATTAAAAATCTGCAAACTTTCATGAAGTAAGTTTTGTAGATGTGAAACAGCATATTGAAGGAAATCAGAATTGTTTGTATAGGACACACATACCTCTAAATGGAGAGTGTGGTTATTCACCACTTAATTTTCCTATAAATACACTACCTTTTATTTATTTATTTATTTTTTTGAGACGGAGTCTTGCTCTGTTGCCCAGACTGGAGTGCAGTAGCATGATCTCAGCTCACTGCAACCTCTGCCTCCCAGGTTCAAGCAATTCTCCCTGTCTCAGCCTCCTGAGTTACTGAGATTACAGGTGGCCACTAGGCTAATTTTTGTATGTTTAGTAGAGACAGGGTTTTGCCATGTTGGCCAGGCTGGTCTCAAACTCTTGACCTCAGGTGATCTGCCTGCCTCGGCCTCCCAAAATATACTATTTTTGTCATATTGTAAAACCACTGCAAACTGAATGCAGAGTCCACTTTTCTTCCTCCACCAAAGGTTAATGTTGAATAGTCTGTATGTTGCTGTCAGAAAACTCTCGCTCTCCTCCTCCCTAGTTCTATTGCCTTAATCACCTGGATTCAACTTCATCCCAGTGATAAAACCAGAGAAAAACAAAAGATACAGGAGATTTTATCATTAACTTCTATTGAGCATTCAAGGATCAAAAAATTCCAATCTTTTTTTTTTTTTTTGAGATAGTCTCGCTCTGTCACCCAGGCTGGGGTGCAGTGGCATGATCTTGGCTCACTGCAACCTCCACCTCTCGGGTTCAAGCAATTCTCCTGCCTCAGCCTCCTGAGCAGCTGGGACTGGACAGGCACATGCCACCATGCCTGGCTAATTTTTTATATATTTTTTAGTAGAGACAGCATTTCACCATGTTAGCCAGGATGGTCTCGATCTCCTGACCTCATGACGTGTCCGCCTTGGCCTCCCAAACTGCTGGGATTATAGGGTAAGCCACCATGCCTGGCCAAAACTTCCAATCTTAACTAAACTGTCTCAAAACTTGACAAGGAGCATATGAGAAAGAATGAATTATAGACCAATCTCATTCATGGACATAGATGTCAAAATTAGAAACAACATACGAGCAAATCCACCTCCACCTCAAACCTCCTCAGATGTTTTTTTCCTCTGACTTCCCCTAGTGAATTCTACCTCTGGTATCATCCATTTTTTCATCGCCTGCTTCTTCAAAGGAAGAATGTAAATCCCAATTTACCAACATGCAAGTTTCAGTTACATACCTGTTGAACAGATGCATGATCTATGGTAAATTGTTACTCATTTTAGCCTCAGTTACTATGAAAACTAGGAACAATGCCTGCTTTAAGTGCTTCTAGACTTTAGGGGATGTAAGGACTAAAAAAGACTTAAGAGTGCTTGGATAGTTATACTACTATATATGTTGAAGTATTCTCCTCCACAATGGGCTATGTGCCATGATATTTTATGGCCAAGTCAAGGTACCCACTGGTCTTCCTATCCTGAAAGTACCAAATTAAAGTAATTCAAGAGCCATAAAAAAATCTCGCACTGACAGTACACACAGTACTACTGCAAGGTACAACCTAGGGGTTAGTTTATTATTTGAACTGCTTGCAGCTCTTACCTCTTTCTGAATCCCACACTGAGTGGCAGGGTAATTAAACTCATATCCCTTCGCAGTTACATTGGTTACAGGACAGCCAGTTCCCAGAGATGCTTCATCAGAATGCAAAATATGATCTTGACCAAGTAAAGTTGGTTCAGCCACAACCCAGAACATAGAGGAAGTACATCCTACTGACACTGTTGAAAAAAAATTTTTTTAAACATTTAGATAGCAATTTTATGCTAAACGACACCCAGAGAAAGTCTGAACATAGCATATTTAAACATATGTATATACACCACTGTAAAACAGCCTTGAGAGATACAATATGATCACTCAGATGAAATGGTAAAATTGTAAATGAAGGATCAGTCCCATTCAAGCCTGTCTGGAAACAACCTCTGTCTCCTTCCCTGCGAGTACTGTTTCCTTAAAAGTTCAACATTAAGCTAAATATGGGATGCTGTCTCTGCTTCTTTTGCTGTATGGGGCTGCCCATGGATTGGGGGAGCCTCAAGCTGGTGTGCTGGCCTTGAGTTTACATAATTAGGCCAGTGTAAATGACTGATAGGGCACTGAAGCTGCAGCTTCTATGGCCTCTGACTCTCATCCCTGGCAGACATCTACATCCCGTGTGGGTGAAGAGACAAGGGAAACTGTACCCTGGGGCATCTGCTAGACCTGCCAATAAGATGAAGATCTGCACCTGCTCTGTCTCCACCCTGTATCCTTCTATGATGCAAAAGGAAGATAGTCTCAGATTAAAACCTTGTGTGGTAAGTCTGTCAACTCAAAACATTCACAGCTGTGGTGTTACAACAGCATTTCTTCATTTTGTGTCTATTAATTCTACTACCAGAAGCATATCCAAAAAACATTTTTAGACAAAAACATATCCTATAGATAAAGCAATTCATCACTGTATTTTCATGGTTTAAAAAAAAAACTAGAAATAACAAAATTATATGTATTTTATATGTATTATTTCTACCCAATAACTTTGTACATAAATAAAAATATATAGTTTAGATGAGAAAAGATTACTGTAAAATATGGAAAAAGTAAGTGGAATGCAAATAAAACTATTAATATTAATGATAACAACTTTATGACTTAGGGAGAATAAGAAGTGAAAGGAGAAAAAATGAAGAACTTTATTTTCTCAACCTGATTTATGATCACTAACTCATGACCACTTAGGAGGCAACAGGGCAGGACAGGAGGCAGGTGGCAGGATTATGAGTGGGAGATCAGGGTGGGAGGTGGAAGAGCAAGTTGAAACCTTAAATAGAGAAATATTTTTCCACAGGTAGGGTGAATAGGGTGACAAAACACAATAGAAAACACCTAAATCCAGAGGAAGAATAAAACTAGCTCTTTCTCAAGTATTAGGATAAACTAGATAAATCACTTGCTTTGCGGGGTGGTAGAGAGCAAACAAGAGAAAGCAATACCACTACAGAAGTCAGAAAACTATACTGGAAAGTCACTTCCACTCAAAACAGCAAACAGTAAAAGGCCCACAACCGCTAAGAAACTATGACTTCAAACAACAAAATATAAAGGTCACTTGTACCTGACTCTTGCTCAGAAAGAGTCAAAATCGTGCACAAAAGGAAAGAGGACTGTAACCTCACAAAATCTTTCATGACGTCAGCTGCCAACTAATGACCCCTGAAAAATTCAGGAAATTGGAAGCGGCTGCCCTGCTTTTGATACTTTTATACCCGCTGCCACACCCAGCTGACTACATTTACAAATCACTTTTTGCCAATGGCTTATATTTTCCAGGAATGTATTGTTTTTGCCAATTTAAGTTGCTTAATGTTTGGAAAATACAGAAAGTATAAAGAACAAAATTAAAACTCTTTATAAAAACCACTATTTTTATATTCACAGAAATAATTTTTTCTCCCTGCTGAAACTTGACATTCTCTTGATCACTCCAGAACCAAAATCAGGCTGCAAATAAAGTCCCATTGACAAATCTTTGAGAACTGTGACTTCTTCAGGCCCTCCAAAGTTCCTAGAACAGAATGTTCACAGAAGGTCAATGCATGTTTATTGAATTGTTGGGAAATGATTTTCAAACTTTAGCAGCATCAAAAACACCTGCAGCACTTGTTAATACACCGATAGCTGAACTGTGTTCAGGAAATTCTTATTCAGGGCTGGGAATGGAAGGGCCAAGAATTTACATTGCTGAAAGTTTCCAGGTGCTGCTGATGCTGCTGACCCCAGGATCATACTTTGAGATTGTGCCTCAGGCATGTTCACTTTAGAAAGTATTTATTTCAATGGCTCCCAAATTTTAGATTAATTTTCAAAATTATCTGGAACACCATTTAAAAATATGTGTATTCTAACCCCAATCTAGTCCATTGAGATCTATTGTAGCTGGAAATGTAAGAATGCATATGAGTCACTGCAGGGTCTTGTCAAACATGCAAATTCTCACAGTCTAACTCAGTGGGGCAAGACCCAGGAATCTGCATTTTTAAACAACTGCCCCCAGGTGACTCCTGGAGGCTCACACTTTGAGAAACTCTAAGCAGAAGTCCTCAGGGCTGCTGATGAAGGAGGAGGGAGGCAGATCTCCAATTCTTTTTCAGTTATTTTCATTTTATTTATATCTGTTTTATATTAGATCCTTTTTAAAACATCAACATTATAAATTCTCAGCATCCTTTGACCTGAAATGTAACATCATAATTTTAAATAATAAACCAAATGTGCCTGGGGCTACTCATTAAATGACATCTTTGATGGATCAATAAGGAATAAAACAATGAATCCAAATCCTATTTCTCATCATATAATCTCCTGAGACTTCCAACATCTATAATATAAACTTTGCAAAATATGTATGTTATCTGTGCCACTAGTCATTATCTTTTGAGAATCTGGAATGACCTAAAAGAAAACAGAGACCAGTCCAACTAGCATGACATTGGGCCAAGTTCCAGAATCAGTAGTCTAAACAAAGCCTTCCCATAAGAGATATAAAAAATAAAATAAAAATTCCTTCACCCAATGAAACATGTCACATCTACCTCCCATATTAACTTCTTCTACACACCCACATATTATAACAGAAAAAGAGATGGAATAATTCAGTTTGCTACCATACCACTTTGAATCACCCTCAGATCTGGGAAGGAAGAGCCTCTGCTCAGGGACCCATGCATTAGAGGGTATCGCTCTGAACTTCTCCATCATGTTCTTCTCTGGGCACAAGAAATGTGTTGAAACAAAGGAACATGCCATCCAATTCCCAAGCCTTCATAATTTCCTGCCCAAATGGCCTTGAACTTAACATCCAAGGGCTGCTTGAGCCCCTTCCCTGAGTCAGTTCTCTCAGGTGTATATAGCCCTGGGCCTAATGGTGGCCAAGAGGCAGTTGTCTGCTGGAAATATGGACGGAGCTTGGACACAACACCTGGAGTGTCCACACACGTGCACTTGAGGCCCCCTACAATGCAGATCAGAGTGGGGTTAGCAAGAGGAAGGATTTGGCCATGGGCCATGGGCAGGGGATGGTAGTACAGTGGAGATAGATGGTGGCTCTCACCACATTGCAGTGTTCCAATGTGAAATTCTAGAGATTCTAGACTCTGAGAATTGTAGACTAAAGTCTATCTTTCTATTGCATTATGAAAGTCAGTTTGTCAAAATAGGAGACATAACATATCTTAACAGTTTCTTCATTTAAAGCTTTTATGTAAATATACATGATATGTGCCTCCACTTGTACCCTTGCTCCAGTCCCCATGCATGTGAGGTGGGAGCAGACTTGGGGCCGTTTGTCCTCCACACAAAGTATTAGTTTTGTGCAAAAGTAATCTCGGTTTTTGCCATTACTTTTAATTTGCAATGACTTTTAATGGCAAAAATCGCGATCAGTTTTGCACTACCCTAATAACTTGTCTTGGGAGAGATCTACTGATTTCCTTGGGAACCCTCTTAGGGACTTGTTTTGCTTTGCCAATAAGCCTGAAAGGACCTGAGTTTCACTAAACATCTTTGTGCTTAGGTCACTCATCAATGTTCGCCTTCAGTAAGTCAAGCAAATAATCAGAATTACGTAACTCTTACTTAGCATGGAGAGAAGTGAAACGAAAGATATTGATTATTTCAAAGTGGATCTGCTTGATGAGATAAAGGAATTCTGGGTAAATGTCAACAACATACTTAATGCTTGGGTCACTTTGACTTTAACCCCAGATGTTTACATCCCCACGGCACTCCTGATTTCCATGGAAGGCCCCTCTATCATTTACTTTTTTCCTAGTTTGCTCCTGTAAAACCTTCTAATATTTATCCAATGAGATTATCTACCGGTATGTGTTATTAATTTGTCATTTGGCTTAAGGATCTGAGGTTCCTTTCAGCAAACATTTTGATAACCTCTTACATCATAGGCATTTTTTATGGTAGCGTGGAGGACACAATAGTGAACGAGAAAGGTGTATCGCTGCCTTTGAGGAGTTCACAGTCAGGCAGGGAAACAAACATTAAATACACACAGTTAAGAAATAATTCTGCAAAAATTAATTGCTATTTTCATAAGTGCTGCAAACGAAAGTACAGAATGTCAAGAAAGTGGCTAACAAATGGCCAGAAAGTACTTGTTCTTAGAGATCACATTTCAAGTCTGGAGTTTTATTTGAAATGCAGTGGAAGGCTTCAAGGATTTAACCAGGAATGAGGATTTTAAAATATTTTTTAAAAACATCAGCACAATAACAACATATCTCTGTTGCAAAAGAAAATTCAAAACTTCCATTGTCTTGGATTAAAAGTCTTAAGACAGTGTATTTCAAACTGTGTTCCTCAAGAATTCCTTCTCTAAATGTGGTCCATATATGACTCAAGTTGGAGAAGTGCTGCTGTAGGAGCTGGGGGGAGAATGGCTTGGAGAGGGCTACAAGTGAATAGTAACACACAAATGTGGAAGCTATTTCGGAGAGGGCAAGAAACTGGAAATGCTGATCAGATTATTGGCAGGGAAGGCAGGGTGAGACAGACTGGTCCCAGAAGGTAGAATGTGTCACTCTGGTTGGTTGGTTAAGTGATCAAAGGAGACAGAAGTATCAGGCATAACAACCAGACTTTGGGCAGGTATAACTGAGTTGATGGTTATTAGTGAGACAATAATAGCCATCAATTACGTACTGCTTATTACGCACCAGGTACTACTCTAAGCACCCTCCATATATTAACTCATTGACTCCTCATGAAAACCTAGGAGATAAGAACTATTTTCTACATTTTGGAGACCTAGAGAAATTAAAGATTTATTGAAGGTCACAGAGCTATTAAAATGGCAAAGATGGCTATACTGATAAAGAAGTAAGTTTGCAATGGAAAACTAAGAATTCAATTTTGGATATGCTGGTTTTTAAATTGCAATAAGACATCCAAGTAGAATTACAGAGAAGGCATTTGGCTATAAGTTGAGACTCAAGAGAATCTAACATAAAAGTGAAAACTGGGAAAATATTAGTCTATTTGAAGGTTTGAATGTGGGTGAGAACACCTAGAGAGAGTGTGTAGCATGAGAAATAATATAGGTACAAAGCTCTGAGGTCATACAACATTTAAAGTTTCAAAAAAGATTGGCAATGAGTACAAAGAAGGAGTCAAAAAAAAACTGGGAGAAAAATTACGGGGCTGAGAGTTGATGATATTGCAACAGAAAACGTGGGGAAAATGTATCTAGAATTTGAAGGAAGAATCAACTATATTCAGTGATTTTTAAGAATTCAGGTAGAAAATACAACCCACAGAATGGGATAATATTTGCAAATTAGGTATCTAGAATATACATAAAGAACTCTTACAGCTCACTAATAAAAAGATATATGGAAACCCAATTAAAACAATTAGTTCTGAATAGTTTTCTCTTTAAAAAAGATGCCAGGTGTGGTGGCTCATGCCTGTAATCCCAGTACTTTGGGAGGATGAGGAATGCAGATCACTTGAGGCCAGGAGTTCAAGACCAGCCTGGCCAACATGGCGAAACCCTGTCTCTACTAAAAACAAAATACAAAAATTAGCTGGATGCAGTACCACACGCCTGTAATCTCAGCTGCTTGGGAGGCTGAGTTATGAGAGTTGCTTGAACTCAGGAGGTGGAGGTTATAGCTAGCTGAGATTGTGCCACTGCACTCCAGCCCGGGCAACAGAGCAAGACTGTCTCAAAAAAAAAAAAAACACGTGTGTGTGTGTGTGTGTGTGTGTGTGTGTGTGTGTGTATTTGTATATATATTAGATATATACAAATATCCAATAATTTCATGAAAAGATGTTCAACATCATTAGTCATTAGAGAAGGTAGAGACAATGTTACCAAAAGACCCAGCAATTCCACTCCTAAATATACATGGAGAGAATTGAAAATGTCCATAGAAAACTTGTAAACAAATGTTTATAGCAGCATTGGCCAAAAAAAAATAGAAACAACATAAATGTCCATCAACTACTGAAAAGAGTCAGGTATGGTGCTCACACCTCTAGTCACCAGCACTTTGGGAGACCAAGGTGGGCAGATTGCTTGAGCCCAGGGTTTCAAGACCGGCCTGAACAACATGGTGAAACTCCATCTCCACAAAAAATTCAAAAATTAGCTGGGCACTGTGGTGCATGCCTGTAGTCCCAGCTACTCAGAGGCTAAGGTGAGAGGATCACCTAAGCCTGGGAGGTCGAGGCTGCAGTAAGTGGTGTTTATGCTGCTCTCTAGTCTGGGTGACAGAGGGAGCCCCTGTCTCAAAAAAAAAAAGACTACTACCAAATAGATAAATAAAATGTTATATATCCACATAATAGAATATTATTTGGCCATTAAAACTGAAGTTCTGGGCCGGATGTGGTGGCTCACACCTGTAATCCCAGCACTTTGGGAGGCTGAGGCAGGTGGATCACCTGAGGTCAGGAGTTCAAGACCAGCCTGGCCAACATGGCTAAACCCCGTCTCTACTAAAAATATAAAAATTAGCCGGATGTGGTAGCGGGCACCGGTAATCCCAGCTACTCAGGAGGCTGAGGCAGGGGAATCACTTGAACCCGGGAGGTGGAGATTGCAGTGAGCCAAGATCTCACCCTTGCACTCAAGCCTAGGCAACAAGAGTGAAACTCCATCTCAAAAAAAAAAAGAATGAAGTTCTGATACATGCTACAACATAGATGAAACTTGAAAACATTATGCTGAATGAAAAAACTAGTTACAAAAGACCATATATTGTATGATTCCATTTATATGAATGTCCAGAAAAGGCAAAGTATAGGGACAGAAAGTAGATAAGTGGTTTCCTAAGACTGGCAGGACTGATTAGTCACTGCTGATGGGTATGAGGTTTCTTTTGAGGTGATGAAAATGCTTTATCATTGATTATGGGGTGATAGTTTGCACATATTTGTGAATACACTAAAAACCATTAAACTATGTACTTCAGTTCAGTGAGATGCCAGAAATTTGTGGCCAAAGGCTAAGAGAGATAAGAATTTAGAAGGAGATTTACTATGTACAATATTAAATTGCCTCTAGAACCATCATTAGGATTGGATCCCATTATGCCCCAGGGAGACAAGTACAAAATCTGTTCCAGCTCACCTGGCCTCTTTCTTTCCTGGAAAGCCCAGAGAATACAACCTTAACTAGACATTAACATATGAATTAGTAAAGGGAAGTTGTTGGGATTGACAGTGAAAGATTTAGCCATTGAAATTATCTCAGTCACTATAATGTGATTCCAGATTAGCCAAAATTAGATGGCAGTACCTAATCATCAAAGACAAGTTGTAGAAATTACCATAGCTGTCTACAGAATCAGAGTGACAATAGAAGTGCTTTGATCCACAGTGATTTATGACATCATCCAACAAAACATGAGGTAACGGGGAATGAAATAGATGGTCAGCTGATTAAAATATTGCTTGAACTATATAACTGGAAAAAATTCTAAGTATAGTGTATTATTTTTCTACTGCCACATAAATAACTACCCCAAGACTTAGTGGCTTAAAACAATCTTTTTCTCACAAATCTATGTGTAGTAGCTTGGGCTAGCTTTAGCTAGGCACTTCTACTGGTCTTGGCCAGTGTTATTCATGTGACTTTAGTCATCTGGTAGCTCAACTAAAGCTAAATAATCTAAAGGCATTTCATTCAATGTCAGGTAGTTGGCAGCCTACAGCTGGCATGTTTCAGTTCTCCTCTATATGACCTTTCTAGAAGGTCACAGCTATAACAACTAGAACATGAGCTCAGTTTTATACACATTGTGGATCACAGAATTCAAAACACAAAACCCAAAGCAGAAGGAATTTTTAAATTTCCACCTATTTCATATTTGCTAACTACCTCTTTCATATTTGCTAACTACATCTTGACCCAAGACAGTCACATGACCAGGCCTCAATTTAAATCTAAATTTAGAAAGATGTTCTATATGAAGATATAAATTTTAGAAACACTAGCATATAGGTGTCATTTAAAGCCTTGGGATTAAATGAGAGCAACATAGGAGAATGAAGAGTTTTAGACACTGAACCCTAGAAGATTGCAACATTTAGAAGTCAAATATATTAGGAGAAAGTAGCAAGAAAAGGCCAAAAAGGAAGAGTCAGAAAAGTAGAAAAACTCCAGAAAAGGATGGTGTTCCAGCCAAATGAAGTAAGAAAAAGAGAGTAATCAACTATCAGTTCAAGTAAAATGAGAATTTAGAATCACTGTTGGAAGCAGCAAAGTAGAAATGACTTGTTAAAAACAAGTTTTAGAAAAATATGTAATAGATACACAAAACTTCAAGAGAAAGGAATTGAAGCATACAACTACAAAGTCATCAAATCACAAAGAAAGCAATAGAAGAAAAAAAGGAAAAAAGAACTATAAAACAGTTAGAAAACAATTCACAAAATGGCAATGGTAAGTCCTAACTTATCAAAATTACTTGAAACTTAAATGGATTAAATTCTCCAATCAAAAGACAGAGTGGTTGCATGAATAAAAGACAAGATTCTTGGCCAGGCGTGGTGCCTCATGCTTGTAATCCCTACACTTTGGGAGGCCGAGGTTACAAGAGACAAATAAATTGTTACAAGAGACAAAGAAAATCATTATATAATGATAAAGGAGCCAATTCATCAAAAAGATATAAAAATTATAAATATTTATGTACCCAACATTGGGTGCTTAAAGCAAATATTAACAGAACTAATGTGAAAAATAAACAGCAAAACAGTAACAGAGGTGACTTTAATACCCCACACTCAACAATGGATAGATAATCCAGACAGAAAATCAATAAGGAACTACCATATTTGAACAATACTTAGACCAAATGGACCTAACAGACATATACAGAACATTCCATCCAACAGCAGGGGAGTACACATTCTTCTCAAGCACATATAAAACATTCTCCAGGATAGATCACATTAAGTCACAAAATAAGTGTTAACAAATTTAAGAATATTGAAATTATATCAAGTATCTTTTCTGACCCCAATGGTATGAAACTGGAAATCAATAATGTGAGAAAAATTGGAACATTTACAAATACATGGAAATTAGATAATTCACTCCTGAACAATCAAGGAGCCAAAGAGGAAATTAATGAGGAAGTAAAAAGTATCTTGAGACAAATGAAAAGGTAAACTCAATATCTGAAAACATATAGGATACAGCAAAAGCAGTACTGAGAGGAAAATTCATAGTTATAAATGTCTAGATTAAGGAAAAATAAAGATTTCAAATGAACAAACTAAGTTTAAACATTAAGGAACTAGAAAAAGAATAATCTAAACCCAAAGTTATCAGAAAGAAGGAAACAACAAAGATCAAAGCAGAAACAAATAAAATAGAGAATAGAAAAACAATGGAAAAGATCAACAAAACTAAAAGTTGGTTTTCGGAAAAGATAAAAAAAAATCGACAAACCTTTAGCTAGACTAACCAAGAAAAAAGAGAGAAAACTCAAATAAGTAAAATTATAAATGAAAGAAGTGAAGACATTACAACTGCTATCACAGAAATACAAAGAATCATAAGAGACTACTATGAACAATTATATGCCAGCAAATGGGATAACCTAGAAGAAATGCATAAATTCCTAGAAACACACAATGTGCCAACAATGAATCATGAAGACATAGAAAATCTGAACAGACCAAAAATATAAATAAGGGGACTGAATCAGCAATCAAAAACCTCCCTACAAAGAAAAGCCTAGGACCAGATGTTTCACTGGTGAATTCAACCAAATACCTAAAGAAGAATTAATGGCAATTCCTCACAAACTGTCCCAAAATATTGTAGAAAGAATATTTCCAAACTCATTTTACAAGATGAGTATTACCCTAATACCAAAGCCAGATAAGGACACTACCAAAAAAAAAAAAAAAATCACAGGCCAATACCCATAATAAACATAGATGCAAAAATCCTCAACAAAATACTAGCAAACCAAATTCAACAGCACATTAAAAAAAAAGCAAAAAAAAAAAAATCAATCAAAAAAATTTAGCATCCTTTCATGATAAAAAAAAACTCTCAACAAATTGGGTATAGAAGAATTCTACTACTGAGCCATTAAAAGGAATGAAATAATGTTAATAATAAGTGAGAAAATATTTTTTTTGGTTTTCTACTCCTGTGTTGCTTAGAATAATTGCCTCCAGCTCCATCCAAGTTGCTGTGGAATATTTGAGAAAATATTTGCGAACCTATATCTGAAAATAGATTAATATCCAAAATATGTAAGAACCATGCAATTCAATAGCAAAATGAAAACAAAAACAAAACAAATAACCTGATTTTAAAATGGGCTAAGGACCTCAACATTTTCCAAAGAAGACATAAAAATGGCAAACAGGCATGAGAAAACATGCACAATATCACTAATCATCAGAGAAATTCAAATCAGAATAATCACATCACCTTATACCTGTTAGGGTGACTATTATCAAAAAGACAAAAGATAACAAAGTATGGATGAGGATGTAGAGAAAAGAGAATCCTTTGTGTTTGCAGAATGTAAATTTGCACAACCATTATGGAAGACAGTGTGGTGGTTCTTCAAAAAATTATAAATGGAACTGCAATATGATCCAACAATCTTAATTCTGGGTACATATCCAAAGGAAGCAAAAGCAGTGTTTCAAAGAAATATATGTACTCCCGAATGGGCACGGTGGCTCACGCCTGTAATCGCAGCACTTTGGGAGGCTGAGGTGGGTGGATCACCTGAGGTCAGGAGTTTAAGACCAGCCTGATCAACATGTTGAAACCCTGTCTCTACTAAAAAAAAATAGAAAAGTTAGCCGGTGTGGTGGCAGATACCTGTAATCCCAGCTACTCTGGAGGCTGAGGCAGGAAAATCACTTGGACCCGGGAGGTGGAGTTTCCAGTGAGCTGAGATTGCACCATTGCACTCCAGCTTGGGCGACAAGAGAGAAACTCTGTCTCAAAAACAAACAAACAAACAAACAAACAAACAAAAATATATATTATATAAAATATGTACTCCCATGTTCATTGCAGCATTATTCACAATATCAAAGACATAGAAACAACCTACATATCTGTTGATGGATGAAGGGATAAAAATTGTGATTTATATACACACACACATATATGTGTGTGTGTGTATATATATATTTATATTTATATAATAGAATAGTATTCAGCCATAAAAAAGAAGGAAATAGTGCCCTTTGAGACAGCATGGATGAACCTGAAGAATATCATGCTAAATGAAATAAGTCACAGACAAATACTATGATCTCATTTATATGTAGATTCTAAAAATTATCAAATACATGGAAACAGAGAGTAGAATGGTGGTTTCCACATAAGTTTTATATAAATATGTGAGAGAGAGAAAGAGATTTATTCCAAGGAGTTGATTCATGCCCTTATGGAGGCTAAGAAGTCCCACAGTCTACTGTCTGCATGCAGTAAAAGTCAGTGGAGTGATTCAGGCCAAACTGAAAGCCCAAGAACCAGGGGAGCCGATGGTGTAAATCTCAGTTTGAGGGCTGGAGAAGATAAGATGTCCTAGCTCAAACAGGCTGGCAGGAAGCAAAAAAAGGGTGAATTCCCCCTTCCTTCACCATTTTATTCTATTCAGGGTCTCAATAGATTGATTGATGCACACCTACATTGGAGACGGCATTCTACTTTCCAGAGTCCACCAATTAAAATGCTAATCCTATCTGGAAACACCCTCACAGATACATCGAGAAATAGTGTTTAATCTGGGCACTCAGGTGCCAGTCAAGTTGACACAGAAAATTAACCATCACAGAGGTACAATGCAAATAGTGGCTCATTAAGTCATGACATCCTTAGCTAGGCTGACAGTATTCTCTAATAGTTCTCAGAAGAACTGTGATAGGCAACACTTCTCACATGTAGCAACTGCCCTGGCAGGGCAGAAATTCACATTTGATGTATAGCTCTCTGGTTTTCCTCCTTGGTTAGGAAACTCTCATGGAATCTATCTTAGGAGAAAAATCATAGTTTGGAAACCACTATGCCAAAGATCCCCTCATGTGCTGGGTTCTCCAATACTGCCTGCTTCAATTTCAGACTTACAACTTTTACTTCCGTTTTTAAATTTTTTTATTTCAATTTTTGTAGGTACATAGTAGGTGTATATATTTATGGGGCTCATGAAATGTTTTGATACAGGCATGCAATGCGTAATAATCACATCATAGAGAAGGGGGTATTCATCCTGTCAAGCATTTATCCTTTACGTTACAAACAATCCAGTTATACTATTAGTTATTTAAAATGTACAATTAAATTATTATTGACTATAGTCACCCTGTTATGCTACCAATAGTAGGTCTTATTCATTCTTTCCAATATTTTGTACCCATTAACCCTCCGCATCTCCTTCCCACCACTAGCCTTCCCAGCCCCCAGTAACCATCTTTTCATTCTCTATCTCTATGAATTCAATTGTTTTGATTTTTAGATCCCACAAATAAGTGAGAACATGCAATGTATGTCTTTCTGTGCCTGGCTTATTTCACTTAACATAATTATCTCCAGTTCCATCCATTTTGTCACAACTGACAGGATTTCATTCTTTTATATGGCTGAATAGTACTCCATTGTGTATATGTACATTTGCTGTGTTCATTTATCTGTTGATAGACACTTAGCTTGCTTCCAAATCTTGGTTATTGTAAACAGTGCTGCAACAAACATGGGAGTGCAGATATCTCTTCAATATACTGGTCTTCTTTCTTTTGGGTATATAGCCAGCAGTGGGATTGCTGGATCATATGGTAGCTCTATGTTTAGTTTTTTGAGGAAGCTCCAAACTGTTCTCCATAGTGATTGTACTAATTTACATTCCCACCAACAGTGTACAAGGCTTCCCTTTTCTCTACATCCGTGCCAGCATTTGTTATTGCCTGTGTTTTGAATAAAGCCATTTTTA
Organism: Homo sapiens; assembly: GCF_000001405.40. Taxonomy (NCBI): domain Eukaryota; kingdom Metazoa; phylum Chordata; class Mammalia; order Primates; family Hominidae; genus Homo; species Homo sapiens. The sequence continues at coordinate 59,867,000 of NC_000011.10, read as the reverse complement.
GCTGAGATGAGAGGATATCTCATTGTAGCTTTGATTTCCATTTATCTGATGATCAATGATGTTAAGCACCTTTTCAAGCACTTTTTCATATGCCTGCTTCCCATTTGGATGTCTTCTTTTACTTCCATTTTTATATGTTGTATGTGTTTGCATGATCAAATCTACTTTATCAGGAAACATAAAACATAAAGTGAAACGGAAAAAAAAGGAAAGATTATAGGAAACAGTCATTTGCCTAATATATCTTCACTGCACGGAAGGCAAATAATAGATATGAAACCCGAAGGTTTAGGACAGGAGACAAAGGAAAGTTATTGCCTTATTCTCCCTAACCACATCCTTCAAGTCTTCTTCCTTATTTATTACATCACATGGACAAATACACTTGACCACACCTCCTGACATTGCTCAATATTTGCTTGAGTGAAAAGAGGCTGAGGCAACCTGAAGGAGGAGCTCTCATTACCTTCTGCCCATCACTTAATAAATAGCCAGCCAATTCATCAACATTCTGGTACACTGTTGGAGAGATGAGACAGTCACACCAGCTGCCCCTAGTGGGGCTCTTACTGTTTTCTTTTATTCCAAGCCAACTATGCGAGATTTGTGGTGAGTAAACTTTGAGCTAAAATTACTCTAGAGTGATAGTCTACTGAAAACTGTTGACAAGAGACTCTATGTAGAGTTACCTGAGAAAAGATCCCATTCCAGTTTCGTATGTGGTTGGACTCCATGAATGATGAAAAGGGTGGCAGGAGATGGTGAGGAAAGTCTCACAATGCATGTTGTTGTAAGAGGAATTATAGATTGTGTATTCACTTGCCTAACTGCTCTTTCTATGCTCAGATCCTCTCTAGCACAGCATCCCTACCAAGTAACTCCCTATTCATGTGACTTTTCAATGACAGAAAATTTATGCTCCCAGAAACTTTTCTAGATCATGGAAAGTTATCTTTTGGTCTTGATATGCAATCTTTTTTCCCTGAAATTCAATGCATGATTTTTGGGTTAACCCCTTGTAACTACATAGAAAAAAATAATAATCTCTTTCAAATAGTGATGACTGCTGTCTTGTCATGAGTGAGTTTAGATGTTCCAAGTTGCATGTCCACCTTCCTTCAACTCTTTCCCAGGACACATGGGATAAAGTTCCATCATCTCTTGCATGGGTGTTGACCCCAGAGATTGTGTGGTTCTGTAAAAGAACTTTAAAGTAAGAGAAGGGAAAACTAAATTCAGGTTTAGTTTGATCCCTTAGTTATTGAATGACCCAACATTTCTGAATTTCTTTAGCTTCATTCATAAATAAAGGATAATGAGGGGAGACTATTGAAGCAAATTATCTCATGAAGTCTGGTGCAGTTCTCAAGTGCATGAATTCTCTTTTGTGAGACTTTACTCTGAAATTGAGCTTCAAACCAGTCCAAAGATTACTAGGTGGTACTATCTGTGCTCTCTAACCAGTAAGAAGAGAACACCACAGAAGACAGGCTTGTATACATACAGGCTAAAGCATAGACTCTTCTGACTCTGATTTTTCTTCTTGGCTTGACATTTCCCCTGTTGGATCCTAAGAATAGGGAATGGCTATGTAGGTTTTAGCTTTCAATTCATTTTAAATAATAATGATAATAATTAAATTTATCTTTGAGACTCAAGGAAGCTGATTTGAGTTGTTGATCAGGAACTAAAAAGTCTGTTTCAGGGCCAGAAAATCTGCTGAGCTGGATGGTTCCACAAAATCTCAGAGAACTGACTCACAATTGTTCCATTGTGTCTGCAACAAACCATGACCTTTCTACAATCACTCTATTCAGATCTTCTTGACTCATTCTTTTAAAGTAAAGAAAACTGGGCAAGAGAAATTACATTTCCTTGATTCTCAAGTATAGTGATAAAAACTCCAGTTGAGCTGGAAATAATAGTATGTGCAGCATTTTACAGTTTATTCGGTGGTTTCTTGTCCAATATCTGTAAGGTAAGTGTTAACAGCCACAATTTTTAAATGAGAAAACTAAGAGTAAAACAAGTTACATAAGTTATTATCCACAGTCATAAGTTAAGGAGCACAAAATGTGGCCAAAATCTGAATCCAAACCTCATGTTCTTCTCACTCTCCCACTAATCCATTAGATAATCTGGAGATATGTAGGATTTGGGGCTACTCCTCAAGATTATGGAAAAATACATTGACAAAGTGTCCTGTGTTTAAATAAATAGTAAATCTTTTTATTCTCCTCTATTTCCTTGGGAGCTATGGATTTTCCTACTTCCACAGTATAATGTGACTTCCCTCCATCTCTGGAATTGGGGCATATTGTAGGCTAAAACTGGAGAGTTTTTTACAGGCTGCATAATGCTAAATAATGATCTCGATGCCCAGCCAGCTGGGTAATCAGACAATGAAGTTTTGGGGTCAATCACCAGTATAACACAGAATTATTACCTGCATTTTCTCAACATTAACCCAGTTGATTTAGAAGATGGAGAAGGAAAGAACTGAATCCAGGAAGTAGAAAGTCCTGCTTACTGAGAGTCAGAAGACATGTAGTCTAGTTTCAGCTCAGCCTCCAATTATGGAAGTTTCTTTAAGGACAATCTATCTAAGCTTCATATACAAAATTAGGGAATGATGCTAGATTTCCCAGGCAGGAGTCTGCCAGTACACAATGATAAGTCTGCACCAGTTGTTAAAATATTAAAACATTTTCATGTTGGTTGTTAAAGGAGTAATGTCTGGCATGGGGGTGGGTTCAAGACCCACCTTTGTATTATTCCACCAACACAGTCTGCAGCCACTGGATTGGTCTAGGTCTGTGCCATATCTGTTACTAAATATTTTTATATAACCCCTGCTGCAAGTCTTACTATTTTCTGAGTATGTGTTTCTTATTTCCTTCCTTCTCTGCCACAGAGGTAAGTGAAGAAAACTACATCCGCCTAAAACCTCTGTTGAATACAATGATCCAGTCAAACTATAACAGGGGAACCAGCGCTGTCAATGTTGTGTTGTCCCTCAAACTTGTTGGAATCCAGATCCAAACCCTGATGCAAAAGATGATCCAACAAATCAAATACAATGTGAAAAGCAGATGTAAGTTGCTGTATATTCTGGAAGATTTAGAAAAAAATCTACCTATTTAAAGATTATCTGCAACTAATCCTAAAAAATTATGCATCCAAAGTATCCCTGCTACATCCCTTCTAATGGTACCAAACTTGAGGTAACAGAAACATGCCCAAAATACAATCCCATGCCATTCACCCTAGAGCTAGGTCTTGCTTCTTTTGGTCTTAAAAACCACTTTTCTTCAAGAAGCCACAAACAAAAGCTATGGATTTTTATCCATTAATGCTGTTATATAAGCTAGCTTAGTTCACAACCACATGGGAATACAGATCATAACTAAGAAAGCTGGTGATGGAAAGGCAACCATGGAACAACCCAGATTTGAACTAGGTATGGGTGGGCCTTGAACCAGTCATGTTAATACTGAGCCTCAGTTTTCTAATTAGTATAAGGGGAAAAGAAGCCACTCTTACCTACCTCATAATATTATTATAAGAATTATGAGAATCCTGAGAGTTTGGATACTCTAAAAGGCAGAACATTAAAAATCAAGAATTACTATCCTAGCAAGCTGGTACCACAAAGAAAAAAAAACCCAAGATCTTGTTGTTTATCTATTTTTCCTCTTTTTCACTTTCATAAGGATTGTATGATTCCAAAACGATTCTGTGATTTTTATGGAAAAGACAAAGATTTAGTTTGCATTTATACAGTACTGCTCTAAAAGGCTCTGCTTTGAGGATAAAGAAGAGAGGAATCAAATATTCATACAGGAATGCATCACATAATGATGAATATATATGACGGTGGTCCCACAAGATTTTAATAGTGTATTTTTATTGTACCTTTTCTGTGCTTGGATATGTTTAGATACACAAATACTATTGGGCTACAATTGCCTATAGTATTCAGGACAGTAACATGCTATACTGGTTTTTAGCCTGAGAGCAACAAGCTGTACCCTATAGCCTAGGTGTGTAGTCAACTATACCATCTAGGTTGTGTAAGTACACTCTGTGATGTTTGCACAATGACAAAATCGCTTAACAACCAGTTTCTCAGAATTTATCCCTATCATTAAGCGACACAAGACTGTATAGAGCGCAACAGAAGAAAAAAGTGATAGGCAATATAAGTCTCAAGGAAATCAGGAGGCCCAAAAAATCACAAGCCTGTACCTTATTAAGCTTGAATACTTTTCTTTTCAGTGTCAGATGTAAGCTCGGGAGAGCTTGCCTTGATTATACTGGCTTTGGGAGTATGTCGTAACGCTGAGGAAAACTTAATATATGATTACCACCTGATCGACAAGCTAGAAAATAAATTCCAAGCAGAAATTGAAAATATGGGTAAGAATTAAATATTTAGAGACCCTAGACTACCTTGTCTTCTCCTCCACTGATTCAAAACTATATGAAGTTTCCCTCCACTCTTTCCTTCTCTTCATCCCGTTCATCTCACTATGTCTTTGAGGGCACTTCCCTTTTTCTCTTTCAGTATGCATCTTGAATTTTCTTTTTAAATATGTTCAGCTGAGCATTGACCCTATGTCAAGTACTACTTTACATATGATGGCAGAAACACACACACACATACACACACACACACACATGCACACACACAAGTCACCATTCTCTAATCGTCCAGGAGCTTGGCTTTAAGTCAAATGATGAATTACACCAGAAATAGCTGAACAATACAGGATACAGTGTCATAAGTACCAAAATATACAATGCTAGTATATGAGCTAAAGGTGGCCAGAGTACATTATCACTGGGAAAAATCAACCGGCCATGGTGGCCACTAGTGAGGTGCACTGTTTTTATTTCAGTTCCCACCCAATATTTATTCTATTTTTCAGTAAGTCCATTTTCCTTTGAGATGGCCTCTAACCTAGGTTTCTACTTACAGTTTCAACACCTTACTATTGAAAACGCAAGAGGCTTGGAGGTTGAAAACCTGTATTCTGGCCCTAACTCTGTAACCATCTGAATATCTAGATAGCATCTTAATCTCTTTAAGACTGTGTCCCCTCAGTTATAAAATGAAAGAAATTGAGCGGAATTTAGTGGCCCTTAAAAGCCCTCACATTTCTCAGGTTTTCTGATTCTATGGGTGACCTCCCCCTTCTATTAGCCACCTTTCCTTAAATGTAAAGAAATTAAAATAGAGTAAGTAGGAATAGATGGAAAATGCATACGCCATTACCACTTCCATGATTAAGGGAGGTATTTCTTCTCTTTTCTAGAAGCACACAATGGCACTCCCCTGACTAACTACTACCAGCTCAGCCTGGACGTTTTGGCCTTGTGTCTGTTCAATGGGAACTACTCAACCGCCGAAGTTGTCAACCACTTCACTCCTGAAAATAAAAACTATTATTTTGGTAGCCAGTTCTCAGTAGGTGAGTTACTAAGCCCAATTCCCTTGGTACAGAGGACATGGTCACCAGTAGGTCTTGCTCTTTGAGTTTTTCTACCAGTAAGTACCTGGATTTTATTTTCTACCCTCTTTGCTCTAGTCCCCTCAAAAGGGAATTTTCTTTTTGAGAAGAATGGATGATGGATGGCATTTAAGCTTCTTTCTAGATGTGTGGTATAGTAGAAATACCCGGTTTCTGCTCCAGCTCTTCTTTGGGTTATATAAACAATGAATGTTAACTCTTGATCTTAATTTTTCCATTTGTAAGATGAGGATAAGGCATGAGAATATCCACATGAAATATTTTAGAAAGGGTAAGTTTTAGAAAAGGGAAATGCAATGGAATTCGTTTATCTTAACACTGTCTCTTTCTCTAGTTTATTGGGACAATTTGGATACCTCGAGAGTCTTGAACAATACCACCTCTCCAGTGACAAAGTCCAATATTTTAATCAATAGATTGTATATTCACCTTGGGAAATGAACCAGAAATTTCCCACTGTGTCAGCCTTAATATCCATAAAGAAGTCTTTAGACAGTTAGTATAGGTGCTTAGCCTCTATGGATCCAGATATACAAGTTCATCTTTCTCCAAATTCAAAGTTCAAATTGAAGTTCAAAGCAAATCACCATGTAGTATTTCTGGATAGTAAGGAGAATGTGAGATTTCTCAGACTTCTTTTCCCATGAGAGAGGAAAGGTCCCATGCTAAAGAACACAGGAGACACCAAGTATCAAGCCAGAAAACGTGTCCTTATCTTTCCTTCTTCCAGTCTCTTGCCTCATCCTCTTTTGTAAAGAGGTTTACTGGGCAACAACTCTGTAAAGTACTATTTTCTAATCAGTCTAATGAAACCCTTGAGAGCCTTACAAAGACAGTTTATTTGATTCAGCCTCTTAGGTTTTCTCAATCCCTCAGCCAACATGGCTAAAAGATTAGAGAAAGATGGAAAAGATGAGAGCAACCAAGATGTAAAAGTGAAATACTGTCCATGTGTATGCACCTACAAATCCATAGGTGTTTTATGACCAAAATATGTGTAAAAAAAGAAACCCAGAATTGTATTTAAAAAAAAAAAAAGGCAGGGTGCAGTGGCTCACACCTGTTATCCCAGCACTTTGGGAGGCCGAGGCGGGTGGATCACCTGAGGTCGGGAGTTCAAGACCAGCCTCGCCAACATGGTGAAACCCCGTCTCTACTAAAAATACAAAATTAGCTGGGCGTGGTGGCTCACTCCTGTAATCCCAGCTACTCAGGAGGCTGAGGCAGGAGAATCACTAGAACCCAGGAGGCAGAGTTCGCAGGGAGATCGGACCACAGCACTCCAGCCTGGGCAGCAAGAGCGAGACTCCGTCTCAAAAAAAACCAAAAAACAAAAAACAAACAAACAAAAAACACTCCAGACAGCAGCAAGAGAGCTTTAGAGATTCGTGCTACATCCCACCCTAAACTGCTTTTAAGCTAATTTCCTGGCTTTTTACCTGCTATGTGTGTGTGATGGGTCTCTTTTCCTTGGCAAGTTCTTAGATGCTTTCCAGGATGTTTGGATTCTCAAAGACACCTGTTCCTCAGCTGGGCTCCATGGCCTGGGCTTCAGACAGTTCAGGCAGCAGACATATCTTTGCAGGGCACTTCCCTTTTTCTCTTTCAGCATGCATCTTGAATTTTCTTTTTAAATATGTTCAGCTGAGCATTGACCCTATGTTAAGTACTTCTTTACATATGATTGCAGACACACATACACACACATACAAGACACCACTCTCTAAACCTCCAGGAGCTTGGCTTTAAGTCAAGATGAACTATAGCAGAAATAGCTGAACAACACAGGACACAGTGTCATAAGTACCAAAATATACAATGCTAGTATATGAGCTAAAGGTGGCCAGAGTACATTATCACTGGGAAAAATAAACTGGCCATGGTGGCCACTAGTGAGGTGCATCTCCCTTAAGTAACCTTAAGTGGGAGACCCATCGCACTACAGTATGAGGTATGAACTATGGAGTACATGGCAACTGAACATTGGGAAGAAATCTTTAAATATTTGAGTGGTTAGTGCTGGAGAGATGATTGCTGTATCTTGAAATCTTTCTTCACCAATTAGCATGACCAACCATCCCAGTTTTTCTAGATCTGTTTTTCTTTTAGCACTGAAAGTCTCACATCCCAGGAAACCTCTCGGCCCAGGACAAACTGAGGTGGTTGGTCGCCTATCAACAATGTTTTGTTTCCTGACAGATACTGGTGCAATGGCTGTCCTGGCTCTGACCTGTGTGAAGAAGAGTCTAATAAATGGGCAGATCAAAGCAGATGAAGGCAGTTTAAAGAACATCAGTATTTATACAAAGTCACTGGTAGAAAAGATTCTGTCTGAGAAAAAAGAAAATGGTCTCATTGGAAACACATTTAGCACAGGAGAAGCCATGCAGGTAAGTCAGAGGGTGAAACAGGAGGCAGAGAAGGGAGTCTTCTCTGGAAGAAAGCAGTATTTTTTTTTTTTTAAGATGGAGCTTCGCTCTTGTTGCCCAGGCTGGAGTTGCAATGGTGCGAGCTCAGCTCACTGCGACCTCCGCCTCCCGAGTTCAAGCGATTCTCCTGCCTCAGCCTCCTGAGTAGCTGGGATTACACCTGCCTCAGCCTCCTGAGTAGCTGGGATTACAGGCATCCACCACCACGCCCGGCTAATTTTTTCTATTTTTAGTAGAGACAGAGTTTCACCATGTTGGCCAGGCCGGTCTCGAACTCCTGACCTCAGGTGATCCACTCACCTTGGCCTCCCAAAGTGCTGGGATTACAGGTGTGGGCCACTGCGCCCAGCCAGTATCTTTTTCCTTTCTTATTGGCCTCCTAAGACCTTATTATACATTCTGCGGTTCCTATACTAACTTTGATTTTGCTCATACGATTCCCTTCCCCTCCCTGACATGTACTCTTCTCATCTTCAGCTTTACTTCCCCATAGCCAATGCTTCTAGGAAGCTTTTCCTAACTACAATTTCTCTAAGAAACTCTAGAGTCTACTACAATCTGCTTTCTTGTTCTATCACACGTAGTTTACACTTTCACACACACAGTAGTCCCCCCATTATCCACAATTTCACTTTCCACAGTTTCAGTCACCCAAGGTCAACTGAGGCTTGAAAATATTAAATGGAAAATTTCAGAAATAACGCATAAGTTTTAAATTGTGCATAATTCTGAGTAGTGTGATAAAATCTTGCACCTTCCCGCTCTGTTCCACCCAGGAAGTGACTCATCCCTTTGTCTATGCTTGTTAATCACTTAGTAGCCGGTTATCAGATCAACTGTCCCAACATTGAAGTGCATGTGTTCAAGTAACCCGTATTTACTTAATAATGGCCCCAAAGCACAAGAGCAATGGTGCTGTAATATATTATTATAATTGTTCTATTTGATTATTGCTGTTGTTAATCTCCTACTGTGCCTAATTTATAAACTGAACTTTATTATAGGAGTGGATGTATAGGGAAAAAACATAGTATATTTAAGGCTCAGTACTATCCATGGTTTCAGGCATCCACTGTAGGTCTTGGAATGTATCCCCCGCTGATAAGAGCAAACTACCCCATCACCTCCATTTCCTAAACTAGGAGCATGAGTCACAGTAACTGTGTCAGTAATCTAACTAATCTCACAAAACCAGAAAGTGGTGTAGATTGGGATGGGACCTGGGCTGTTGTTCTCAAAACTCACACTCAGCACCTACACTGTCGTGCATATGCTCTTTGAGGTCTGAGACTTTATTCCTGCATTCATTCAGCCATTGATTTACAAACTCTAAGGGGATGATATAAGAAGCGATCAAGGAAGGTTTACAGAAAAAAAAAAAACTTTACTGCATCATCAGTATGAATAGATATTTTCCAGGCTGACTCAGGGCTAGAGGACTTTCAAGGGAGAGACGACAGTGAGGACAAAGACCCAAAAGCACAAAAGAATGTTAGGCATTTTAAGGTCAAGGTGTTCGGCATGACCAGCACAGAGTCCTTGGGAAACATAACAGGAGGCTGGAGGTGTAAGCACGGGTCCAGTCATAAGGTTATCTGTATTGTTGTTGTTACTATTTATGTTGTTGATTGCCTTACTAAGTTTGAACTGAATATAAACTGCTTTCCCATTTTCATTGCATATTTGAATCACCTGAAGGAGCTCTTAGAAAACACTAATACCCAGGCCCACACCAGCCAGGTAGTACAGAAATTTAGAGGTGGAGCCTGGGCCTTGCTCTGGTTTAAAAGCCCTACAGGTGATACAAATTCACAGTAGGATCAAGAGCTAATTGCCTACAACACATTGTTGGGTATTTTTAAATATTAATAACATTTAATTTATTGTTATGTATGTGAATAACATTTATTGACGTGTCTTAAGAGGAAATGTACTATGACCAGTTTTTCTTTTTTCTTAATATCCCACAAATGCTTGTGGACAACTTGGTTAGCTTAAGAACCTCCAAGAAAAGATGAAAACAGGAACTGTCCATCCCTGGGAAACTACAGAGCAGCATGTTCAAGTCCGACCCACCTTAGTTCCTGTCTTGCTTACCCCAATGCCCTCCTAACTTTTACTACCTCACAATTCTGCCCCTTCAATCAAGCTTACATTCTGCTGCCAGGAGAGTTTCTGTTTAATGAACAATTAGACTCCCCATTGTCAATCAAATAATGTCAGACACCTCCTCATCGTTGTCAATCAAATGAGGTCAGACATCTCATCATAAAATTCAAGCATCTACTAGTCTAGCCCAACTTCCTTCTCCAGCCTGTTTTTCCACAGTTGCCTCCAATGTTCCCCATACATCAGTTCTCCTAAACCAGGAGGAATCCCCTGAGGAACTTTGCTAAAATGCAGATACTGTCATCATTGCCAGGTCATGTCCTGGCCATTCCTACCTAACACCTTTGTTCATGTTGTTCCTCTTGAGTGCTCTATCCTACTCTCCAAGGCCTAACTCAAATACCACCTTCTCCAGGAAGCTTTTTTTTTTTTAGCTTCATTAAATGTTTGTGAGCTCCTCTCCTCTTTTGAAAGAGGCATCCCACTAGATGCATCCCTTAGGGCATTCCTCTGGCAACTCCTTTTACAGTAGTTTGTTAATATTTATTGAGTGTCTCCTATATGACAGGTATTTCCCAGCACTGGGATACAGAAATGAATGTGGCAAAGTCTGCCTTCATTGGAACTATTATAGCTTGTGTTATTAAGCAGTTCCAACCTCCCTGCCCAAACTAGTTTATAAGCTTCTGGATAACAAGAAAGATAACTGAGTTATCTGAGGTGCTTCCTAGGTAGTCAATGTTCAATTAATACTGAATTAGTTACATATATAGTTATAGATAAGGCTTCCCCCTTATTTGAAGTGTCTCATATTCTCTCTCTGTCTCTCTTTATCTCTCATCACCCCCCCACCCCACCCTGCCTCATTAGGCCCTCTTTGTATCATCAGACTATTATAATGAAAATGACTGGAATTGCCAACAAACTCTGAATACAGTGCTCACGGAAATTTCTCAAGGAGCATTCAGCAATCCAAACGCTGCAGCCCAGGTCTTACCTGCCCTGATGGGAAAGACCTTCTTGGATATTAACAAAGACTCTTCTTGCGTCTCTGCTTCAGGTATAAGCATTAAAGAGAGCACACTGTTTCGCTTTTCACCATAGCACCCAAAGCATGTGAGATTCAGGTGTCCTTTGAAACCAAAAGTGACCAGATAAACCTCCAAAACATAACAGTTGCCAGAGAGAATTCAGTTTTCCTCATGTTACCAGGGTTTACAGTCACCTGAGGATTTGTTCTTAACTGAGTGCTAGATGTCCCTCTTAGTTCAAACATTAACAAGGCAGACCTGATTAAATAATGTCTATCTCCAAAGGTGTATTTTCTGACTGTTGGATATAGAAGGATCTGAGCATCATTCTCATCCTAAATAAAGTATGGAGTATTGGTACCGTGACTCTGACTTTGCACAGTGAGTGATCCCTTAGGGAAATGAGACATCTGTGTGGAAGTGATATGCCAGTATTCAAAAATTGTAGCATGCATTACTTATTCAAAAAATGACCTTGCAACCAGGTAGAAGGAAAGGAGACATTGTCTTATATCTCTGTCCATTCCTGGTTCAGCCACTCACAGGTTTAGGAAACTTGGACAAAATGTTTAACCTCTAAGCTTCAGTTTTCTAATGTAAAAGTTGGGAACAAGGACAGTACCTAACATAGGTTTTTGTAAAGATTGAATGAGACAATCCATGTAAAATGATTAGTATAGTGCCTGGCAATTCATATGTTTTCAATAAACGTTAAGCAATAAAAAGGAGAAAAGACAAGCATTATTGTATGCTGTACCAAGGCAAAAAAAGAAAAAAAAAATCAGGATCCTCTGTGAGAAACAGAAGTTAGAGCAACTGAATTGCTTAAACAGCTGGGAGTTGAGCCAAGTGCCAACATTCACAAGCTGGTGAGTTTGGGTCTTAGTTTCTGCTTTAGTTATATGAGAAATTTGCCCCTTGAGTGATGATAATTGCTCCTTATAGTAAATCCGTGTCTGCATAAAGGCAAGGAGTCCTTGGATAGGGGTTGAGTAGGTCTGCAAACTCTAATATCATTTTTATTTTTCTGAATATTGCTCTGGGCTTTTCTGTCTCTGCCAGGTAACTTCAACATCTCCGCTGATGAGCCTATAACTGTGACACCTCCTGACTCACAATCATATATCTCCGTCAATTACTCTGTGAGAATCAATGAAACATATTTCACCAATGTCACTGTGCTAAATGGTTCTGTCTTCCTCAGTGTGATGGAGAAAGCCCAGAAAATGAATGATACTATATTTGGGTAGGTCTGTACCTAACCTAAGGTTAAGATGTTTGCTGTCATTTCTAAAGATGCAGTAAGAATGCATTTGCACCTAAATACAAAGTATATTTAAAATGCTTCTGGGTCAGTAGCTTTGCTGTCCATCTACATCTCACAGCAGGAGTTTAAAATAGGAGGTGAGGTATTTCATCTTCTTGCACATAATAGGTAGTAAATTAATGTTCGCTAAATAAATTAATGAATCTCAGGGCTCTCTCTTATTTCAGTAAAATTCTTGCAATAAATGTAACTTCTAAAGTCAAACATTTGAGATCTAGAACAGTGGTTCTTAACTCTTTTTGAATCACGGACCCCTTTGAAAATCAAGTGAATGTAATGAATGTTCATCCAGGAAAAAAATGAACATACACACAAAAATTGGCATTTGTTTATTTATTTATTTTACAGACAGCATCTTACTATGTTGCACAGGCTGGTCTTGAATTCCTGGGCTCAAGAGATCTGCCCACCTCAGCCTCCCAAAGTGCTGGGATTACAGGCATGAGCCACTGCCAAATTTAGCATTTCAACTGAGGGTTTCACAGATACCCTGAAGCTTCTCCCTGCCCTCGCTTTCAGAAAACTCATAGATCCCCAAACTAAAGTAACTGGTCAAGGAGGTCAAGTATTAAAATTAAAATAATGGCTTTGCCTCTGAAAAGTATGACTTATTTGGCTCCTTAACTCTAGTTGACAGTTATTTATCATATCTAACAACACAGTGTAGGATGCTATAAAGAAAATCAGAATAATAATATAATATACATTATAAAGGCTACCCTCAAGGGCTTTAAGGGAGGTAGAAAAATGACTACGGAATATAAAACAGATACTGACCTGTCACTTTTTAATAAACACAATATGAAATATCAAATTATCCTTTCCTGTTCCTCTTTTCTAAGGGAAAACTCAGTAACTTATGGTGTCTCTAGCACATGAGGATCATATGTTCTTCTACTGAATCAGTATCTTTAGCAGTTACTATCTTGGGGTGGAAGGTTGAAGCTGTTATCTGAAACCTATCTACCATGGCAGGTGGGGAGAGCAGAAACCATGAGCATCATTTCTCTAATTTAGCATGGAGTGTGGAGTGCCTGCATTAGAATCAGCTGGAGTGTTTATAAAGCATGCAGATTCCTGATCCCCAGCTCATATCTAAAAATAAAAATATCTATGGATAGGGCCAGGAAATCTGCATTTTTATAATGTCATCAAGTGATTCTCAGGTACATTAAAGTTTGAGAAATGCCTATTGTTGGTTTCCTTTGACAATTCTAAGTTCCAGTAACCTACTTGCTGTCACCCACAGTTTCACAATGGAGGAGCGCTCATGGGGGCCCTATATCACCTGTATTCAGGGCCTATGTGCCAACAATAATGACAGAACCTACTGGGAACTTCTGAGTGGAGGCGAACCACTGAGCCAAGGTAAGGGAGAGACATGCCAAAAAGACCCATGCTAAAAATGCCCAAATGGAGAGGGGTGTGAGCCTCTGTGGGGATTGGGCCAAGGGGTTAGTAGAGATGACATCCATTATTTGGTGATTTAGTGGCCAAATCATTTGACCCAGTTCTCTTTCTTCTTCCTTTTCAGGAGCTGGTAGTTACGTTGTCCGCAATGGAGAAAACTTGGAGGTTCGCTGGAGCAAATACTAATAAGCCCAAACTTTCCTCAGCTGCATAAAATCCATTTGCAGTGGAGTTCCATGTTTATTGTCCTTATGCCTTCTTCTTCATTTATCCCAGTACGAGCAGGAGAGTTAATAACCTCCCCTTCTCTCTCTACATGTTCAATAAAAGTTGTTGAAAGATTAACAACTATACAAAAAGAGCATGTTCTAATTAGTTCATTCTGAAAGGATTTTAAAATGTATTAGAGGAAAGTCCACCTAAGGAAAAACTGAAGTGAAAAGAAATGAGACCACATGTCTAATAAGCGGGGTTCTACTCAAGGTTCTCCTACTAACTATCTCAGTGGCATTGGGCAACTGGGTAAAATGGGGATAAGGTTCTAGGTCTAATGTTGCAGCAACAACCAATGAGATCAAGCAGAAAGTCTGTGAAAGACTGAGCTCTCTGAGGCCCAGATGCAAGAGAGGAGCCCATTGGTCACACTGATTTCATACAGGTAGTGGGTAAAAAAAACATGTTGCTCAGAAGAAAGGGGGAAACGTGAGGCATATACATAAAAGGTCTGCCCGTAGTTTGAGAAACAATCTCATCCCCTGCCTCCAGATGTCTCCCTTGGGTCCCACTTATTCTTCTCTTACATTTATTTTCCCTTTATTTCCCCATAAAATCACCCCAATATTCATGTCATCAAAATACATATGCAAAAAAGTCACTTATCATGTTCATTTCCACAGAATTCACTTTTTTCCTTTTTTATTTTTCTAATCAATTTTTGTCATGCTAAGAAGTCACGTCTTAAAGGAAAAAAGTTGAATCACATCAAGGCAGCATGAGCTTGTACTTATACTGAGTACCTGGGCTACATGCAGTACAGTCAGAAACTAGAAGGACACTTAAGATACCAAAGGACAAAAGGTACTTTATGTAAAGTGTAAAGTAACCCATTTAAAGTAATTTCCTGCAAATAAAAACCACAATGAGACACCATGCCACACCAGTCACAATGGCTACTATTAAAAAGTCAGAAAATAACAGATGCTAGTGAGGTTATGGAGAAAAAGAAACACATACACTGTTGGTAGGAGTGTAAATTAGTTCAACCACTGGGGAAAGCAGTGTGGAGATTGCTCAAAGAGCTAAAAACAGAACTACCATTCAACCCAGCAATCTCATTACTGGGTATATACCCAAAGGACTATAAATCATTCTACATCTAAATCTAATATAAACCGCGTGTATGTGTATTGCAGCACTATTCACAATAGCAAAAATATGGAATCAACCTAAATGTCCATCAATGATAGACTTTTAAAGAAAACACAGTACATATACACTATGGAATACTATGCAGCCATAAAAAATGAGATCATATCCTTTGCAGGAACATGGATGGAGCCAGAGGCCATTATCCTTAGCAAACTAACACAGGAAACTGCATATTCTCACTTATAAGTGGGAACTAAATGATGAGAACACATGGACACATAGAGGGGAACAACACACACTGGGGCCTATGAGAGGGTGGAGGGTGGCGAGGAGGGCGAAGATCAGGAAAAATAACGAATGGATACTAGGCTTAATGCCTGGGTGATGAAATAATCTGTAAAACAAACCCCCATGTCATGGGTTTACCTACACAACAAACCTGCACATGTATACCTGAACTTAAAGTTTAAAATAAAGTAATTTTTAAAAGAAAAATGCCTTCAGGTAGAATTAGTTGAATTATTATTTATTTTATTATTTTTTTTAGACAGAGTTTCGCTCTTGTTGCCCAGGCTGGAGTGCAATGGTGTGATCTCGGCTCATCGCAACCTCCGCCTCCTGGGTTCAAGTGATTCTCCTGCCTTGGCCTCCTGAGTAGCTGGGATTACAGGCATGCACCACCATGCCCAGCTAATTTTGTATTTTTAGTAGAGGTGGGGTTTCTCCATGTTGGCCAGGCTGGTCTCGAACTCTTAACCTCAGGTGATCCACCCACCTTGGCCTCCTAAAGCACTGGGATTACAGGCGTGAGCCACCACGCCCAGCCAGGTGAATTATTTTAACAATGTCTTCCTCATTTCTCCTGTGTTTTCTTCACAATCATCCTAGCTTCCTCTCCTTCACCAGTGACACTGCTTCACAGTCAGAGATTGAACCCTCTTCCAACATACTGCTTTCTGCTATTGATACTCGATGCTCAGGTTCAACTCTGCCCTGGTCTTCATTAACTGGATGTAACACATGACCCTCATGAGTGGACAGAAATGGATTCTATCCCTTGGGTCTGTGTCTCATCTTTAAAGCTAAGTTAGAAAATATATACACCTACTGTGTACCCACAAAAATTAAAAATATAATAACAATAATAATAATAATAATAATAAAGCTAAATTAGAGAAGCTGGGAGCCATGTTACCCTTCCAGGATCCCTGGTGCTGTTAATCGTCAGATCTGTTTGTAGCCTATACAAGCTATGTGAAATTGAAGGATACTGGTTTAAGGTGAGAAATATGCAAAATGTCAGAATTGCATACTAGCAATTAGCACTACTAGCATTTATTTCTAACAGACAGAGCCTAGTTTCTCCCAGCCAGAGGTCTTAAAGTATAATGTAGGCCGGACGCAGTGGCTCACGCCTGTAATCCCAGCACATTGGGAGGCTGAGGCAGGTGGATCACTAGGTCAGGAGATCGAGACTATCCTGGCCAACATGGTGAAACCCCGTCTCTACTAAAAATGCAAAAATTAGCAAGGTGTGGTGGCATGCGCCTGTAGTGCCAACTACTCGGGAGGCTAAGGCAGGAGAATCGCTTGAATCTGGGAGGCGGAGGCTGCAGTGAGCCGAGAATGCGCCACTGCACTCCAGCCTGGGAAACAGAGCTAGACTCTGTCTCAAAAAAAAAAAAAGTATAATGTAGTAAGTAACATTGCTGTCTGATATAAATGCCTTTAATCTCAGAAGTAGACATGAAATAACACTCCCTTAGGGTTCCACTAACATCGGCCCTTGAAACCTAGTTCTGAGGACAGGCGTGGTGGCTCATGCCTGTAATCCCAGTACTTTGGGAGGCCAAGGCAGGCAGATAACTGAGGTTAAGAGTTTGAGACCAGCCTGGCCAACATGGCGAAACCCCACCTCTACTAAAAATACAAAAATTAGCTGGGCATATTGGCAGGCAATTGTAATCCCAGCTACTCAGGAGGCTGAGGCAGGAGAATCACTTGAACCCGGGAGGCAGAGGTTGCAGTGAGCTGAGATCACACCATTGTACCCCAGCCTGGGCAACACAGCCAGACTCCATCTCAGAAAAACATAAAAATAAAAATAAAAATAAGAAACCTAATTGGCCACACTTGCCTTACAAGAAGCTCCTACAGCTTGAGACTATTACAGAACCTGAACTGAGTCTGAAGAGAGAAACTTCCTTTTGCTGCCACAGCAAAGAATAATCACCACAAATAAACCTCACTTATGTCCAGAGAGAGTCTAGGTGCTTTGATACCAAAATATTAGGCACAGGAGAAACAAGGAAATAAATGAACACATCATCCCAGTCAATAGTTAACCAAGGACTGTCAAAATATCCCTGTTAAGAAATGTATGGCCTGTGTGGTTCCTGTTCTGGGAATTATTTACTAACTGCAACAATTGTGTCACGATCAATCTTGCAGCAGCCCTGGTTGTAAATGGTAATTTATAATACAAGGAAGTGAGTGGTTAAAGAGCTGGCAGGCCAAGGGTGTGTGGATCATCTCAGGACGATCAGGAGCAGGCTCTGGAATGCAAAGTCAGCACCATACTGTACTCATAATCCTGTATTAGATTCTTATTGTTGCTGTAACAGATTACCACTAATTTTGTTATTTAAGACAAATTTATCATCTCACAGTTCTGGAAGTCAGAGTCTCACTGGGCTAAAATCAAGGTGTCGAAGGAGCTGTGTTCCTTCTAGAGGTGGCAGCAGTAAACCAAGTTCTTTCCCTACTTTGTATGGGTCACAAAGAAGGAACATGCAATTGGACAAAAGCAATTGGGTCGTATTCACTGGCCAGGGAATGGAGAAGGGGAGCTCTCGCTCTAAAGGCGCATTCTCCTTAAGCAATGGGAAGCAGGGAAATTTTCAAGAGTTAGACATGGGGCAGGGAGGTATGTAAGCAGGCCGAGGGTGGAGTTCCAAACACGCAGGCGCAGTCCCCAGACATACTTCTTCATACCTCGCATGTACACAAAATGGCAGCGATTTTCTTTTAAGGGAGAGGAATCTAGTATTATAATGATATGTTAATGATCTAAAAGTAACTAGGGGTTGCCGGTTCTGGTTTGCACCGGTCTGGTGCAGGTCTTATCTTCCTCTGGTATTTGGCAAGGGATCATGAAGCTCCTGAAGCATCCTGGGCCATCTGGAGCTCTTTAAGCAGTGGCATCTATAGATAAAAAGGCTAAGGGGACATCCCATTACTGGGTATATACCCAAAGGACTATAAATCATGCTGCTATAAAGACACATGCACACATATGTTTATTGTGGCACTATTCACAATAGCAAAGACTTGGAACCAACCCAAGTGTCCAACAATGATAGACTGGATTAAGAAAATGTGGCACATATACACCATGGAATACTATGCAGCCATAAAAAATGATGAGTTCATGTCCTTTGTAGGCACATGGATGAAATTGGAAATCATCATTCTCAGTAAACTATTGCAAGGACAAAAAACCAAACACCGCATGTTCTCACTCATAGATGGGAATTGAACAATGAGAACACATGGACACAGGAAGGGGAACATCACACTCTGGGGACTGTTGTGGGGTGGGGGGATGGGGGAGGGATAGCATTAGGAGATATACCTAATGCTAAATGATGAGTTAACGGGTGCAGCACGCCAGCATGGCACATGTATACACATGTAACTAACCTGCACATTGTGCACATGTACCCTAAAACTTAAAGTATAATTAAAAAAAAAAGAAAAAAAAGGAACAGGGACAATCTTAAAAAAAAAAAAAAGGCTAAGGGAAAACAACAGTTTAAGAAAATAAGAAGCCCTCCCAGCTATTTCCGTAGGGCTCCCCTAGTAACAGAGCTTGTGAAGAAGAATCCATTTCCTTGCCTTTTCCAGCTTCTGGAGGCTGCCCACGTTGCATGGCTCATGGCCCCTGTCCACCTACAAAGCCAGCAATTGCATCATTCTGACTTCTGCCTCTAACATCACATTTGCTTTTCTGATTCTAACGCTCTTGCCTTCCTCTGCCACTAACAAGGACCTCTGTGATGACATTGAGCCCACCCAGATGATCCAAGCTAACCTTCCTCTCTTAAAGTCAGCTCATTAGCCACCTTAATTCCATGTGCATCTTTAATTCTTCCTGGCCATATAACCCACGTAACATGTTCACAAGTTCCAGGGATTAGGGCATGGGCATTTGGCGGTGTGTGGGCAGTGCCATTATTCTGCCTCCTACTCCTTCACACAGCATGCAAGGCTGTCCACCAAGTAGATGCCAACTGTCTTTCCAGCCTCATCTTCCACCATGTACCATGTATTGGATATATATTGCTGCATAACAAGTGACTTTAAAACTTAGGGGCCTAAGACAACATTTATTATCCCACAGTTTCTGTGGGTCAGGAGTCCAGGGAGGGTTTACATGGGTCCTCTGGCTTAGGAGGGTCTCTCCCAGGGCTGCAATCAAGATGTCAGCTGGGGCTGCCTTCATCTCAAAGCTCACTGGGGAAGGGTTCTTTTCTCCCTGAATATCGGCTGGAGGCTACTCTCAGGGGCCATATGTGGGCTTCTCCATAAGGCAGCTCACACTTAGCAGCTGCCTTCATGAGAGCAGGAAGGGCAAGAGAGAGAAGGCAAGCAAGAGGGAAATCGGTCTTTTGCAACCACATCCCATCACCTTTGCTGCATTATATTCATTATAATAGAATGTGGCCCCAGGCCAGCCCACACTCTAGGGAAGAGGACTACACAAGGCATGAATACCGGGAGGTGAAAACACAGGGCCATGTTAGAAGTTGTCCAGCACACCCCAGTATGTACCCTGTGCTCTCATCTCACAAAACTCACCCATGTTTCCCAAGGGGGAAAAAATGCTTTATTACCCATGTCTTACATTTGCTCATTAATTCACTCATTCAAAAAGTATTTTATTTCTACTGTGAGCTAGGTAGTGTTGTAAGGGCTAAGGATAGAGCAGTGAGCCAAAGAGACAAAGCCCCTCCCTCGTGGAGCAGACATTCTAGTAGGGAGATAAACAAACGATAAACAACCACACACTTAGTGCGACAGAGGGCAATGAGTTATAGCAGGCGAGGGGCATGAGGGGTGTCAGTGGAGGTGAGGATGTAGGATCTTATGTAGGGTGGCCTGGGAAGGCGTCTCTAAAAGCTTACCTCTGAGCAGAGACATGAAGGATGTGAGGAAGCCACCATGAGGCTATTTAAAAGAAGAGGGTCCTGGGCTGAGGGGGACATCATGTGCAAAGGTAGCTGATGTGTTCAAGGGGCACAAGAAGTTCTGTGTGATGGGAGCGGTGTGAGCAAAGGGGAAAACGCCTGGAGCTGAGGTCAGAAAGGAAACCAGGAGCCAGATCTTCTAAGGTCTTATAGGTCATGAAAAGGGCTTTGACTTTTATGCTAAGATGGGCGCCACTGGAGAATATCCCCTTAAAATGAGCTACTTTACATGCAGGAAAAAAACAAACAAAACTCCTTTCTTTATAATTTCAACATACCATTTTCAGTTCTCCCTTATAAAGAAGTATAATTTGCATTATAATGTAGCTACACATCTGAAATATGTATTCTTAATGGATCTCACATTTTCTAATTACTTACTTTAAAAGATAATATCTGAAAGCTTTGGGTGTTTGAGATGGCTTTTATCTCCAGATAAGGAAAGAGAAATCAAACAAAACCATTTCTGGGAAACCGAGGTCCATTTCTTGCCTAAAGTCAAACAACTTCAAAGAGTCTAGGCTAGAATCCAGGTCCAGGTAGACATCATTAATTTCACAAAGCCAGATGTCACCTGGCAGATCCCTGCCTGAGAGCCTAAAAGGACATGTTGTAAAGCAGGTGTCTAGGATCATAAAATGAGCTGATGCCTATGAATGGCCTAAATCCCAGTGAAGTAGTTACTAAAAAGCAGCCTGGTAACTGATTGGATACAATAAGGGCTAGAAGAGGTCTTGTTGATACTAGCACATTATCCAAACTTCCTGATGTCTGACCCAGGCCTTTGGTAAAGGACATTTTCTCAACATTGCCTTCACTGCATACCCAGCCCCAGGTTTCTCATATGACTGTGCAACCTAGAAGTCACCTTCAGACACCTTGGAGGGTCTATAGTCGGTAAACTTAGATAAGCAAATGAAAATTTACTTACTTGTATCAGGAAAGGAGAGGTCAGCACAGGGGCAGTTAGGAGAGGCTGGGTTGGGGACAGATTATTTAACAAAGGGAAGCACATATAAGAGAAGGTAAAGAAATATTCCACTTGCAAATCGCGGTACCTGTGGATGAGAGACATAGACGAGAGAGTGAGATGGCCTGGTTTGCCCTCTACCTCCTGAGCCTTCTCTGGGCTACAGCTGGGACTAGTACCCAGACCCAGAGTTCATGCTGTGAGTATGATGTTTTTCCAAGGAGGTCAGGGAAGCAGTTGCCCTGGGGAAGGGGCTGTGACCTCTGACACTGAGTGGTTGAAAATAGCAATCACTATAGGAATTCCAAAATGGGTAAGTCTGAGTGTGATTGTGTGCTGTTCATCCTTCCTGACTTAATAGCATAAGTTCTTTGAGAGACAAGTCTATATGTTTTTTATTAAGAGAGATGGGGCCAGGTGCAGTGGCTCACACCTGTAATCCCAGCACTTTGGGAGACTGAAGCAGGAGGATTGCTTGAGCCCAAGAGTTCAAGACCAGCCTGGGCAACATGGTGAGACTCCATCTCTACAAAAAAAATAAATAAATAAAAATAAAAAATTAGCTGGGCGCAGTGGCATGCACCTGTGGTCCCAGCTACTCAGAAAGCTGAGGTAGGAGAATCGCTTGAGCCCAGGAGGTCGAGGCTGCAGTGAGCTATAATCACACCACTGCACTCCAGCCTAGATGACACAGCAGCACCCTGTCTCAAAAAATCAATAAATAAAAATAATAGAGATGGAAGTACTACTGCAGGAATAATGGTTGATGGTACAAAGACAGACACTCAGTGGCTATTGTGACCAGACACCACTACATACTAGTGAGAGATTTTGGTACTCACTGAGGATAAATTATATCCCAAATCTTTAATACTCTTCATGAAAGAGTAAGGAAAAAAATGAATGCAAGGAAATCAGTGATTTCCAGGAAAGTGATAGAAACTATGAGAAATGTCATGAGCCATATTGCTTGAAGTTACTAAATTTAAAAATCACTTTCTTAAGGATATGGATTATTTGAGAAGATGTAGAAACTAATTGTCCTCAAAAGTAAAATCTCACCATTTTCTCCATTTCTCTTTAGTGACTTAGGACACTAATGCTAATCAAGTGTTCTCCTAAAAGGCATCAAAGATGGCCAGGCGAGGTGGCTCACGCCTGTAATCCCAGCACTTTGGGAGGCCAAGAAGGGTGGATTACCTGAGGTCAGAAATTCGAGACTACCCTGGCCAACATGGTGAAACCCCATCTCTACTAAAAATACAAAAATTAGCCTGGCGTGGTGGTGCACACCTGTAATCCCAGCTACTCAGGAAGCTGAGGCAGGAGAATCACTTGAACCTGGGAGGCAGAGTTTGCAGTGAGCCGAGATCGTGCCATTGCACTCTAGCCTGGGCAACAAGAGTAACACTGTCTCAAAAAAAAAAGAAAGAAAGAAAAAGCATCAAAGACACGGGGATAATGTTTTTGAGAAGGAATGAGGGTTAGAAGGTGAGTAAATGGCTTTCCTCTTCTCAGCCGTTCCCTCAGCACAGGAGCCCTTGGTCAATGGAATACAAGTACTCATGGAGAACTCGGTGACTTCATCAGCCTACCCAAACCCCAGCATCCTGATTGCCATGAATCTGGCCGGAGCCTACAACTTGAAGGCCCAGAAGCTCCTGACTTACCAGCTCATGTCCAGCGACAACAACGGTGAGACATCTGAGCCGCTCGCACTCTCCCTGAATCTCACACATCACATACCACCTCCAGATTCCAACTCAGCGTCCTTCCCACCCCAATGCTGCCTCTGACTGTAAATAAACTACCCAAACACCTTTCCTTACATACCTGGAAGGTACCTGGAAAGAAACATGTGTGAAGTCAGAGCATTCATGGAGGAGGTCAGTAAAGCAGGGAGAGCTCTGGACTAGACGTCGAAAGAGCAGCCTTCTGGTTCTGGCTCTGCCACGTCATAACTCTGGGATCTGAGACAAGTCACTGGATACTGCTCAGCCTCACCTTGCAGATGATTGTAGTAACAATAACCCTACTACTACTAATAGCAATGATAATAATAATAAAATCTCTGTTCTGCCTATCTCCCAGGAGCTGCCTGCAGGCTCAAGTTAGATAAAGTTTAAATTATTTTGCAACTGTAAATTTCTGTATATAAATCTATATGAGTATTTTGCTGCTTTTCTAATCAAATACCAGGGATTCTCAAATACCAAATACTAGAGTCATCAAGTTACACAGAGGCCACTAGATTAAATATTCCCTTACGTATTCTTCCATATTTTTTTCTTTGGAAAGACAGATCAAAGAACTGCTCATATTATTAAAAAGTCAAAATGCTCTAGATAAAAAGCAGAGAACTCATCACTGGCTCCTGGAGAGCTGTCCCCTGAGGATGTCTCTGTCTAACCGTTGTGTTCTCTTCTCTGCAGATCTAACCATTGGGCAGCTCGGCCTCACCATCATGGCCCTCACCTCCTCCTGCCGAGACCCTGGGGATAAAGTATCCATTCTACAAAGACAAATGGAGAACTGGGCACCTTCCAGTAAGACCTGACTGGAAGGGAGAAAAGAGTCAGGCATATGGTTTTACCTAAGAATTTTAAACCCAGAAAGGAAAAGGGTGGGGGTGGAGAGAAAGGCAAGTTAGGGAAGAGACAATGTATCCTTCACTCTGGTCCTTCTGATAATCCAGACCAGAAAGATTCATTTCCAATCCAAAATGAACTAGAAAAGGTCATGATCCCAAGGACACAAGCTTGTCCAGCCATCACCTGTCTAAAGACACAGAGTCATCCCTTTTATTCTTTGCAGATGCCTGATGACATTCTTTTGAAAAACACTGAAGTTGCTCTTTGCCTATGCTGTGTCTCTCTTTGGGGGCAGGTTTTCTAGCAATTTCCTTTTCAAAGGCTTGGCTTTTCCTTCTTTGCAAATGTCCTCATCGTGGTGACTGTGAGTCTGATGAAGGTTCTCTATCCCCTTCGGAGGCCCCAACGCTGAAGCATCAGCCTTCTATGGGCCCAGTCTAGCGATCTTGGCACTGTGCCAGAAGAACTCTGAGGCGACCTTGCCGATAGCCGTCCGCTTTGCCAAGACCCTGCTGGCCAACTCCTCTCCCTTCAATGTAGGTGAGTAGGTCACCACTACCCCGAGCTGGGAACATCAGAGGCATCGTGAACTGAATGGTGGAGCTGGCAGGGAAGTGACAAAGGAGAGCGTCCCATGGAGGAGGAGCTAAGGATGTGAACGTGCCTGTGGATGGGAGATATTTACCAGATGTTTGTTGGGCAGGTGAATTGAGGAGTAAGTGAAGGAAGAGGGGGTAGTATTATGTAGAAACAAGGACAATTGATAATACTTGATATGTCTGGCAGCTACAGAATCTCCGCTGGGAACAATAGTAATGCCATTCAAGTCAGAAGTTCTTCCCAAATTAAATATGAATGTCTTGCTTCAGTTCTCCTCTGCATCCTCTCTTTAATCACTACTGATGCTCCCACACTCCATTCTTTTCGATGCTTCTCCTCATTACATCCAAATATCCTCTCTCCATTAAACAGCTACTCTCGGAACCCTAACTCGTGATATTTCCCTTCATGGCAACTCGGGGACCACCTTGCGTCTTTGTTCTGCAAGCATATGGCTGCTTGTGAATAGAAGCTTTTCCCTCTACAACATCATGTCCTCCTTCTGTCCCCTTCTATGGATAATGATCCTTCTCTGTGGGGGCCACTGTCACAGCCCGCATTCATGATCACCTTTTCTCCTCTGCCAACTCTCTAAGCAATAGTATTATCTCAGGTTTTCACTCCCTTATGCATGCCCCATCAGCAACCTCTCTTGTTTCAGTTTCTGTCAGACAAACAGGTGAACCACTGCTCTAGGATCCTCCCTGGGGGTTAAGAACAGACTGGTCTCCCTTTCACATCTGGGACCTCACACATTTCTGGGGCATCTCTGCCTCCAAAAATTTGGACTTATTTACTTCTGGTTGTCAGTAACACTAGCACCCTTAACGAAGTTATGCAACTTTCAAATGGAGATTTGGCCCTGCTGCTTACTTAATTTTTCTGAGCCTCCATTTTTTGTCTCTTAAATGGAGATGATTACAGGTACTGTTTCACAGGTTGTTCTGAGGAGCAAATAAAATCATGGAGCCAGAATATAATAAGCACACAATAAATGTTAGCTGTTCATATTGCTGTGATGGTGACTATGGTGATCTTATACCCTCTGTCATTCACAGACACAGGAGCAATGGCAACCTTGGCTCTGACCTGTATGTACAACAAGATCCCTGTAGGTTCAGAGGAAGGTTACAGATCCCTGTTTGGTCAGGTACTAAAGGATATTGTGGAGAAAATCAGCATGAAGATCAAAGATAATGGCATCATTGGAGACATCTACAGTACTGGCCTCGCCATGCAGGTAAACACGTGCTGGATGCTCTTGGTTGGGTTCCTGCCAATAAGCCTGGATTGCAGAATCAAGAGGCCAGGCTTCTACTAACATCTCTGTGAAAGTCCAGCTAGTATGACCTGAGATATATTCTTTGTGGTGCCTGGGCCTCAGTTTCTCTACTGGTAAAATGCAGGTAAGTGTTAATTCCTCCCTACCTCCTATGTAAAGTGTGAAAACAAATCTATATGAACTTGTTTCTCTTTCTTGGGAAAAAAAATGAAACAAATAAATCAAGAAATATATTAATTTATTATTAATAATGATCAGTTTATTTGTAATAGTTACAGACTATTACAATTTTGATGTATAAATAATAAGAATATTAAAGCAGGCCCTCTAA
This sequence comes from Homo sapiens, assembly GCF_000001405.40. NCBI lineage: Eukaryota > Metazoa > Chordata > Mammalia > Primates > Hominidae > Homo > Homo sapiens. The sequence continues at coordinate 59,840,769 of NC_000011.10, read as the reverse complement.
AAATATACAATTTTCTGATGCAATCTTACCAGCCAAGTGTTCTTTTTCAGTGTTTTACCTTGATCTAAAAATAGCAAGTTTATACTCAAAATGATTAAGGAAAATAACCTAAAGTTGACCCAGCCTCACAAAAACCCATAGTAAATGGTAAAGCAGATCTATCTGTCAGCCAAGTCCATATTCAATTCTGTGCTTTCACAGCATGCATTCCCAGGCTTGGATTCTGTAAGATGTGTTTGGTATTCATAGTTCCAAATCCAACAACCCACCCTACCCTAGTTGATTAGGGCAGCAGCCTCCATAGAAGACAGATGCACCAATGGTGGTGGGCAGAAATAACCAACTAGAATCAGAAACTAGCAACCATCTGTGGCTGAATCCTCTAATCCCAACTAAGAAGTTTGAGCTCCAGTGTCTCAAAATGTCCTATGGGGATTAATAGGACCAGGGACTCTTCAACTCAGAAAGCCCACTAAAGGGAGAATCATGGAATGGTGATGCCAGCCCTAAACCTAACATAGTTGCGGACTATTAGAAAGAAATTGTCTCCTGGGGAAAACAATGGAGACTAGTATTGAGATTTCATACATTAAAAATTAGAAAAGGATATAAGCAGCCTAAGAATTGGTTCATGTTAAACATAAGAGCAAAAAAAAAAAAATTTCCACTTCAATGGACCACATATAGAAGTGACTAATAAAAATAGAGTTCATTTCTATGTCACAGTCAAGGAGACTTTGTCATAGAACAAAACCCTGTTTTTTCCATGGCTGAATTTTACAAGAACATTCCCAGTGCTCTGGTCTAGAAGCTTTTTGGAAAGAAAAAGGCAGTCTGGAAGAGATATAAAAGATGGTTTGGGGATTTTTTTTTTTTATGTGTGACTCTCTAAAAATAACCTTGCTTCAATTTATCACCAGACAGTGAAGTGTTTACTTTTGCTAACTTGGTTTGTGAATTCTGTTTGGATTTTATCACCTGCCAAGTACACTTTGATAAGCTGTACCTGGGAATTAGAGCTTTTCCTATCAAAAGGCAGGACCCTGTCTACATCCAAATACCACAGGCCATGTGGATTTCTTGTCAGAATACATAATCTCTCCCTACCCTTTTTACTGCCTCTATCTGGAACTTATTTAGGCATCCTGAAATCTGGAATCAATAGGTGTCTAATATATAATATTTTCCTAATCTAAAATATTCTGATATAGAAAATCAAAGGGCTCTGGAACTATCACAATTTAGGTTTGACTCCCACACCTGCCACCATCTCAGACAAATATTGAATTTCCCCAGATTTTATTTTCCCCATAATAATAAGGTTGCAATTAGGTTAAATAAAATGTGGTATGCAAAAAAATGCATGCATAATGTAATGCTTAACAATTGTTCAAGATCTGTCTCAGCAGAGCAGTGATGCTAGTAAAGTTCCTTTTCAGCCTTTGTTCACCTTCTTCCAAGATGTCAGTACACTTCCAGTGGCCCAGGCCACACTCTTCCCTACCCAAAGACGCTCATGAGGCATTTCCTCTGTTCCAGAACTTCTCATCTTTCTTCCATGAATATCCTATTGCTTTCAAGTTTCCTCTGATAGGCGCTTATCTTGAAAAGGGATCTGATAGGCCAGGCGTGATGGCTCACACCTGTAATCCCAGCACTTTGGGAGGACGAGGCGGGCAGATCACTTGGGGTCAGGAGTTCAAGACCAGCCTGGCCAATATGGTGAAACCCCATCTCTACTAAAAATACAAAAATTAGCCTGGTGTGCTGGCAGGCACCTATAATCCCAGCTGCTCAGGAGGCTGAGGCAGGAGAATCACTTGAACCCGGGAGACGGAGGTTGCAGTGAGCCAAGATTGCACCAATGCACTCCAGCCTGGGCATCACAGCGAGACTCCATCTCAAAAAAAAAAAAAAAAAAGAAAGAAAGAAAAGAAAAAGAGAACTGATAAACTTCTTGATGGAAAGTTATTAATGACGTCTAACCACTTAATGTGTTATCCTCTCTAGAGTGTTGGCATTGGTGATGTGTAATCCCAATGAATATACCTTGCTTAGTGAAATTTGGGAGGTGCATATGACAAGTGGACAAGATATTGTTGCTGAGGAGCACCCACCTGATGGCCCTTAAAGCAACTGCCTTGTAAAGTGGCCTCTGTCCAGAGCCATGCTTCATAGATGCTGAGGTTCAGTGATGGTTGTCCCTGTCACAACTGCCCAGTTGTGCATACTGACCCTAGCTGAGACAGCCGTTTCTGACTCCTCTCTCTCTCTTCTCCCATTTCCTATTCCAAGCTTCAGGTGAACCAGTCATTAACAATCTCAGCCTATTAACATGCTCTGGTGGCCATAATCGCACTGTAAAGGAAGGGAGGTGGTAATGACAGCTTCCACATCACACATCACACATCACGAAATGCTTTTATACATTAGCCCCTTGGAACCGCAAATGACTCCCCCAACAATAGACAGAAGTTATTATTTCTATTTTATTCATGCGATAGATAACGCAGCAAAATAGGTGAATGGCTGAATGGCTTGGTGTATTACTCAAGACTCATTTTGCAAGTAACAGAAACCCAAATCCTTTTAGCTCAAGAAAAAAATGAGGATTTACTATTCACATACACTGGGAAGTCTAGGGCTGAATTAGGTGGTTTCAGGAATAACCAGAATAAAGGGCTCAAATCATGATATCAGGAGCCACTCTTTTTTCATCGTCCAGCCCTGATTTTCCTCATTCTTTCCTGCTGCAGGGCTTCTTCAAAGTGGCTGAGAAAGATGGTCACTAGCAGCTTACCGTTTATTTGCATGGTCCCAGTTGAATAACCTTAGCAGGAAAAAAAAATCTTTGGGTGTCCCAATGTCTGTATGTCGGGGAATGATTCTGATTAGTACATGTGTCCACCAATCACTGTCATCAAGGGGATGGTGACCACCATCAGCCCAGTCCAGGTCATGAGTCCATCCTGGGCCAGGGTTGTGGAGCCTCTGAGAGTCCTGACACAAGCACAAAGTGAGGGAAAAGTCCATCAAAGAGGGCACATGGCAATATGAAACAAGGGGTCTACTCCGTTTATGTGGCTAGACTGTCCTAGGCTAAAGCTCCCTCTGGAGCCCAGCTCTCACCCTCACTCTACATTCAAGAGTCGTTCGTAAATATGACTGCCTAATAGTGTTCCCTGGATCTGATCATTGCACAGTTCTGTGTCTGCTGTCTGACAGACACTGTGCTAAGTGGTGGGGACATAGCATTGAAGACAAATGTTTTCCAAACCTTACATAGCATTGGCTTTGCATTCTGGGTGACTACGTGATCACCATGATTAGTGATCAAGTTTATCTCTTAAGACATGTAAGAGCCAACTCTCAGCTATGCCTAATTACTCTTTCTCTCTCTTTCTGTCTTCCTTCCCAGGCTCTCTCTGTAACACCTGAGCCATCTAAAAAGGAATGGAACTGCAAGAAGACTACGGATATGATACTCAATGAGATTAAGCAGGGGAAATTCCACAACCCCATGTCCATTGCTCAAATCCTCCCTTCCCTGAAAGGCAAGACATACCTAGATGTGCCCCAGGTCACTTGTAGTCCTGGTAAGACATCCACCTCTCCTTATGTCATAAAGCAGCAACTTATGCCAGAAATGACATGTGGATCAATGTTAAGTGGCATATAGGCTTGTAATGTCCATTATTCCCATGTGGGCAGAGTACATCTGACTCCCAGTCCTTAAGAGTGTGTGCTAGCACACAGACATACCTTCCTGCACTCAGAACTCAGCCCCATATCTACTTCATTCAGCATATATTTACCTAGCTCCTACTATGTGCAAAGCATTTTGTGGGATACTAGAGGTAGAAGAAGCTCCATGGTCCCAGCTATCAAACAACATATAGCTTCATTTATTCATTTCACAAATGTACCATCAAACACTATGCATATCTTATCATATCTGCCTTTCACAAAGTCAGAAGACAGATGTGTAAACAAAAACTACAATATTTGGGACAATCGAGTAAGTATTAAATAGAAGTTAAAGCCACACACAGTGCAAATGCCAAAAAGAAAAATAGTGACCAGTTGTTGATTTTGTTTGGGAGGCTTCAGAGAAGAACAGAATTCATATTTAAATCGAGCCTTAACGATCTAAATATGAAAGCTCGATGCACGCAATATATCAATGAGATGGAGTGGAAACCTAGCATGCCACTTTTTAATTAAAAATATCTTTATTTTATCCAATTATGCATATAATTGAAAGACACTAAAAATTCAAACATTACAGAAATATGCATTTGGAAAGTGGAGGTCTTGCATAAAAACTTATTACTCCAGAGATTACTAGTGTTTGGTATGGATTCCTCAAACTCTTTTTTTTTAATAAAATGCTAACACAAAGCATCATTCCTCTTGCATTGCATGAACTTCCTAAGACAAGAAGCAATTAATAAGTTTCTCGTCTATCTCAATGCAGAATGTGGAGACCAAAATCAAGCAAACTGATCCCAATCCTACCAAAAACTACCACATTCACTCAACCCCTTAGGCTGCTTCCCAGTGATGTCCCAACCTTAACAAGGTGGCCATGGAGTTTTTGCCGGAATTCTATGCTAGTTGTCCAAGTACTTTGTTAAATGGTATGAAACTCACTACTTTCTCAAAATGTCTTCTGGGGTAAGTTGCCAATAACAGAGATTTTGCACCTATGATACAAACCCCATAATCTTTGACAAATGTGGCCTCTTTGCCCTTCACAGATCATGAGGTACAACCAACTCTACCCAGCAACCCTGGCCCTGGCCCCACCTCTGCATCTAACATCACTGTCATATACACCATAAATAACCAGCTGAGGGGGGTTGAGCTGCTCTTCAACGAGACCATCAATGTTAGTGTGAAAAGTGGGTCAGTGTTACTTGTTGTCCTAGAGGAAGCACAGCGCAAAAATCCTATGTTCAAGTGAGTATTACAAATGTCATTCATCATTCTCTCAAGGCCTGATCTGAATTCCCATTTTTTATCCATCCTGTTTTCCTAATTTTTTTCCTTTTGATAACAGATTTTTATTTAATAGCGCTTGAGCAGCTTTCAATCTAATAAATAGGTAAGGCTCTCATGAAAACTTAAATCATATAAGTCAACATATGATGAAGTTTTAAAAACAAAAATTCAGAGGAGATTCGAAAGTCCATTGCAGAGTAGAACAGGCAAAAGAGACTTTGTAGCTTTGAAACACAAAGAATAGGTACTATTTAGGAAGATGTGGGAAGAGGTAAGTCCAGAAAAAGAAATGGCCAGAACAGGCCGGGCGTAGTGGCTCATGCCTGTAATCCCAACACTTTGGGAGGCCCACGCCTGTAATCCCAGCACTTTGGGAGGCTGAGGCATGCGGATCATCTTAGCTCAGGAGTTTCACCAACATGGTGAAACCCCGTCTCTACTAAAAACACAAAATTAGCCAGGCGTGGTGGCACGTGCCTGTAATCCCATCTACTCGGGAGGCTGAGGCAGGAGAATCGCTTGAACCTGGGAGACGGAGGTTGCGGTGAGCCGAGATCATGCCATTGCACCCCAGCCTGGGCAACAAGAGCAAAACTTCATCTCAAAAAAAAAAAAAAAGGAAAAGAAATGGCCAGAACAAAGCATTTGCGATAAGACTGAGCAAGGAATTTGGGGCCAATGAATAGGCCAGGTGGACATACCAGGTTGGGTGACAGTGTAAAAGTCTTGAAATACCAGGTTCAGGAGACTGAACTTCATTTTGCAAGTTTTTGAGTAAGAAAATCCACTTGGTAAAATGTTGCTTAGGTCGTGAGAATAGGAGACAAGGCTAAAACATAGGACATGACTCCAATAATGGAGGTGTGAAGTGACGATGACTTCCTCTGGGATACACGGACCCACACCAAGGCTCTGTGAGTGATGGGACATAGAGGTCAAGAGAAAGAAGCTTCAAAACTATTGATTAAAGGGTCAAGAAGAAAGAATATCTTTCAAAGAAAAGGATTAAATTCCTTAGATATGTTTAATGGTAGGCATTTGAAATAGGAACATTAGAAGGCTTTTGGCGGTATAGTCCAGGCACAGTGGCTCATGCCTGTAATTACAGCACTTTGGAAGCTGAGGCGGGTGGATCAGTTGAGGGTAGGAGTTCGAGACTAGCCTGGCCAACATGGCGAAACCTCATCTCTACTAAAAGTACAAAAATTAGCCAGGCGTGGTGGTGCGTGCCTGTGGTCCCAGCTACCCAGGAGGTTGAGACGGGAAGATTGCTTGAGCCTGGGAGGTGGAGGTTGCAGTGAGCCAAGATCGTGCCCACTGCTCTCCAGCCTGGGAGACAGAGTGAGACTCTGTCTCAAAAAAAAAAAAAACAAAAAAAAGGAAGGAAAGAAGGAATTGAGAGAGAGAAAGAAAGAGAAAGAAAGAAAAAGGAAGGAAGGAAGGAAGGAAGGAAGAAAGAAAGAAAGAAAGAAAGAAAGAAAGAAAGAAAGAAAGAAAGAAAGAAAGAAAGAAAGAAAGAAAGAAAAAGAAAGAAAGAAAGAAACAGAAAGGCAGGCTTTTGGAGGCATAGAGGAAGTACTAGGAAAAGAGGTCAGGACATGCAAAAAATAAATTGGACAGTCATCTCTTAGAGGTGATGACCTAAGTCAAGAACCCATGCAGTAGATAGCAGATACTTGCACCCAATAAAACCATAAGACATATTTAGTTATTCTCATTTTACAGATAGAACCCTTAGGCCCAAAGAAGTTAGTAACATTCCTAAGATCACATAACATGTAACTAATAGAGTTGAGAGTGGAACCCAGGTTGGACTGAATCTGATGCTCATGTTCTTTCCATGCCCCTCTCAAGGTAGGGGAAAATACAGAAATAAATCACAGAGGAGAAAATTAACTTTTAGGGCATGTTTATAGTTTGCAAAAAGAGGAAGCAGTAAAGAAACATGGAGAAGTCTAAGCTATAGGAGGAGAGGAGGAAAAATGCCAAGTCATGGAAAGGAAAAAAGCATCTTTTCTTTTTCAAAGAAAAGATGATCCAAATTCTTCAGGAAGATATCAAGAAGGAATACTGACAAAGGCTAAGGAATTGACAACTGAGTGATACCACGTGGGTATCTATTCCACCCGGTTCTGTTGAGCACATTGTGTCTGCTGCTTACTGCACGACTCCATAACTTCCCTAACTTCCATAGACAGGTCAGGATAAAAATTGCACTTCAAAACTATTTAATTTTTTTTTTTTTTTTGAGACAGAGTTTTGCTCTTGTCACCCAGGCTGGAATGCAATGGCGCGATCTCGGCTCACTGCAACCCCCACCTCCCGGGTTCAAGTGATTCTCCTACCTCAGCCTCCTGAGTAGCTGGGATTATAGGCACCCGCCACGATGCCCTGCTAATTTTTGTATTTTCAGTAGAGATGGGGTTTCAGCATGTTGGCCAGGCTGGTCTTGAACTCCAGACCTCAGGTGATCCACCCACCTCAGCCTCCCAAAGTGCTGGGATTACTGGCGTGAGCCACTGCGTCTGGCCCAAAAATATTTAATTTTAAAACCCTCTGAATATACCGTACTTTACTTCTCTGAAGTTAGCTTTAATTTTGCCTAATTTTTCTTTTTCTGATTATAAATGTATTAAATACATAGAGCAGAAATTTTGAGGGAAAAAGCAAAAAGAAGAAAAATCATCTATAGTCCACACACAATATCACAATTGTTAATATTTTTTATAACTTTTGTAGGTTTTTTTCTATGCATATTACAAATAGGTGTGATCCATCATATACATGGGACAGATATTTCATGTAAAATTTGTACCTCATATTTTCACTTAACGTTATTGCATAAGTAGTTTCCTGTGTTACTGAAAATTATTGACAAATATTTTCATGGCTTCCAAATATTTAATCTTGGATATTCATTCCATCACTCATATAATCATTTACCCATTTGGGGGAATTTACATTTTTTAAATTTGATTATTAATAGGTGTTTTCAAAATCCATTCATTTTCATTTCATTTCATTCTAAGTGAAGTAATTTCATATTCATTAGTCATTTGTATGTTTGCTTTTTTAAAATTTATTTATTTATTTATTTATTTTGAGATCAGGTTATGAGACTGGCTAATTTTTGTATTTTTGTTAGAGACGGGGTTTCACTATATTGCCAAGGCTGGTCTCGAACTCCTGGGCTCAAGCAATCTGCCCTCTTCAGCCTCCCAAAGTGCTGGGATTGCAGGCATGAGCCGCCACACCTGGCCCATTTTCTCTTTTTTTTAAACTTAACTTTTATTTTAAGTTTGGGGTACATTTGCATGTTTGTTACATAGGTAAACTGTGTCATGGGGGTTTGTTGTACAGATTATTTCATCACCCAGGTATTAATTCTACTACCCATTAGTTATTTCTCCTGATCCTGTCCCTCCTCCCAACCTGTACCCTCTGATAGGCCCCTGTGTGTGTTGTTCCCCTCTGTGTATTCATGTGTTCTCATCATTTTGCTCCCACTTATAAGTAAGAACATGCAGTATTTGGTTTTCTGTTCCTGTGTTAGTTTGCTAAGGATAATGGCCTCCATCCATGTCCATTGCAGCACGATTCACAATAGCAAAGACATGGAATCAACCTAAATGCCCATCAATAGTAAACTGGTTAAAGCATTTTCTCATTTGATTTTATCTGATCATTTTATCAGATAAAATCATGCTCAAAAGAGAATATCATTTAAAATATCTGAAGCATTTATCTGAAGCATTTAAAGTGTCTCTATCCTGGCGGGTGGATGCTTGAGCCCAGGATTTTGAGGCTGCCATAAGCTAGGATCTCACCACTAGCCTGGGTAACAAAGTCACACCTTGTCTCTAAAAAATTAATTAACTAATTAATTAATTGACTGTCTCTATCCCTTCATCTTACCGCTTATTCCCTGACCTAAAGTGAGATGTTAATCATATATAAACTTTTTTTTAGATTTGAAACCACAATGACATCTTGGGGCCTTGTCGTCTCTTCTATCAACAATATCGCGGAAAATGTTAATCACAAGACATACTGGCAGTTTCTTAGTGGTGTAACACCTTTGAATGAAGGTGAGGGAAGAAAAGACATAGGCGTTATCTTCCATAGTCTGAAGGCTACATTCTTTAATTATTTTTTCATTTAATTTATTCATTCATTCACTTAATTAATAATTATGAGATCATGTGTATATACAATAATTCTATAAACAGTGATTGCTTATATATGTATACACACATATATTTTGTGTATATATATATATATATATAATCATTACATAGAGAAAGAGATTAATTCTGTAGGCAGCGATAATACTTTTCACAGAGAAGGAAAGTAAGTCTTAAGAGACATTAAAGGGTCTTGTACAAGGCATGCATCTAGAATGTAAAAGTGGATAATCAAACCCAGGTTTCCAAACTCTAGGACAAATGTGCTTTGTACAAAAGTTTCACTCAAAATTTATGCTTCACCTTCTCTCTTAAAAAAATCTCCAGAGAGAGGAATGCCTGCATATGGATGTTGGTGCATGTTTCCCCTGAAAAAATTAGGAGAAAGTGGGAAGAATAAAACTCAGACTTCAGCAAAACCTTAACATTTGTTAAAGCTTTTGCACACATATTAAAATATTCCCCAATTTAAAGAGCATTGCTGTATGGTTTTGGTCTAAGCATGACGTTACCTAGTTAACCTGATGTTAACTGTCACCATGCAGAGACATGTAAAGGCAAATAAAGTCACAGTACAGCCAAGGCTATAGGTTGGTAAAGATGCTTCATTATCCAATATTACAGTGGAGGAGATGTTTTTCTTAGAATCAATCATGTATTTAGCAAAATCTTGCCAGTCAGAATTTGTGGAGTTGTAGCAAAGCATATAATAAAGATCTTGGAATCACAGAGGACTTGGCTAGAAGCTCTTTCTCTTATTTAATAGCTGCATTATATTAGTAGTAAATCTGTGAGCCAGTTTCCACAGCTTTAAAATGGAAATTGCATTAATCATTTATTGGGTTATTGTAAGGATTGGAAATAATATACTTAGAATGATTAAGTACAATGTTTTTTGCATGGCATGTATTCAAAAATATTAATCATCATTATTATTATTAGTTTTCCCATCACCTTCATCCCAAGAAATGTCTCTATCAAAATATCCCATATACCCCATAAACATACACACCTACTATGTACCCACAAAAATTAAAAATTTTTTAAACACCCAGAATTTTTTTAAAAAGAAAGTAATTCACTTTGGGAGGCCAAGGCGGACGGATCAGGAGGTCAGGAGATCAAGACCATCCTGGCTAACATGGTGAAACCCCGTCTCTACTAAAAATACAAAAAAATTAGTCAGGCGTGGTGGCGGGTGCCTGTAGTCCCAGCTACTCGGGAGGCTGAGGCAGGTGAATGGCATGAACCCAGGAGGCGAAGCTTGCAGTGAGCTGAGATTGCACCACTGCACTCCAGCTTGGGTGACAGAGCGAGACTCCGTTTCAAAAAAAAAAAAAAAAAAAAAGAAAGTAATTGCCCCAGGAACTTAAATCAGGCATATTCTCATGTCTACAAATTACTTTTCTTCCCTGGGAGAAAGAATGGTAAAGGCCTCTGAGAAACAAAAATATTTGGGCCTGAAACTGTCATTCTTTCTGTTGCCAGCTACCTGAAAGGTAACAGATATTGCCATCATCTATCTTTCCTGTTCTGAAAGACAAAAATTCTCAACCCACTGCTCTTTCTTATGTCTTACAAAATCTTCAAAAATGAACAGGAAGTTCTCCCTTGAATGCCCTAATTTTGGCCTAAATAAGCCATTTTAACAATAACCACCACTTATTGCACAATTATTCTGTGTCAGGTACTGTATTAGGTACCCAGCGGTCATTATTCCTAATTTTGAAAATAACTCTTCAGAGTAAATATTATTAACAAAATCTTGTATGTGAGGAAAAAGAGACTCGCGCATCTTAAAGGGTATACCCAAAGACTTACTCCATGAAGTGGTGACCAGAGACTGGAAACAAGAACTCCCTAAATCTCAGTTTCATTTTCTCTTCATAATCAAACTGCTTATTTCTCTCTAGGATGATTTTACTCCTTTAAAAACATTTAATGGGTTCACTGCATCTAGCTCACTGCATCCCTTGGGGGATGGAGGTGGTTACATGCACCACAGTCACCTCATGTTATTCTCTGCTTATTTCCAGGGGTTGCTGACTACATACCCTTCAACCACGAGCACATCACAGCCAATTTCACACAGTACTAACGAAGAGGTGGGTTCAGCTTCTATCAAACATCTCCAAAGGATGGGTGAAATTTTTTCCACTTCATTTTAAATCTATGCAAAAAAGCGAATGCCTGTGATGCTACCATATTCCTGGTAAAAACATGGAGAACCACTATGTAGAATAAAAATGCAAAGTTCACTGGAGTCTCAACATCTATGACTCATGAAAATAAAATTTTCATCTTCTCAACACAATGACTGCCAATCATCATTTAAACCTAAGCTGAGGGGAAAAGGGAGAGTAGCTGATATTTTTGGATATCATTCTGATTTCTTGATTAATTAAATAGCACATTCCCTATTTCTACAAATGATATATTTTTTAAATTTCATATTTTCTTATCATACCAAGCACTCCTTTTCAAATTGCCTAACGTAAATATGCCCACGTATGTACATACATGTATACATGAAATGACCAAACATTTCAACATATAAAACTCCCAGATGGTTCAAAACTTGGTAATTGATGTTATGTCTTAACTCTCTCCTTCCATTTCCAATTTTTTTGTTAAATTCATATTTAAAATATATATTTAGATCATTTAATATGTACTTAGTAAACTAACTTATATTCAATATATTATACAGAATTTAATATATCATATATTTTACATGATTATATATAACTTAATATATGTTATATGATTATATATAATTTAACATATTATATATTTTATATGATAAATAGATATAGATCTTTGAAAAAAAATTAAGCTTTCAAAGATAAACATAACTGTAATCTCTACTGGTAGGAGTGAACACTGGTACAAACTTTCTAGAGAATAATATAAAAATTTGTATCAGAAGACCTAAAATGACCGGGTGTGGTGGCTCACGCCTGTAATCCCAAAAGTTTGGGAGGCCAAGGAAGGTGGATCACCTGAGGTCAGGAGTTCAAGACCAGCCTGACCAACATAGTGAAACCCGTCTCTACTAAAAATACAAATATTAGCCTGGTGTGGTGGCACGTGCCTGTAATTCCAGTTACTTGGGAGGCTGAGGGAGGAGAACCACTTGAAGCCAGGAGGCAGAGGTTACTATAAGCTGAGATCACACCATTGCACTCCAGCCTGGGCAACAAGAACAAAACTCCATCTCAATTAAAAAAAAAAAAAAAACAGGCCTAAAATATACACACCTTTGGCCAAAAAAAAAAAAATCCCAATTCTGAAATTTTTATATATATATATGAGAACACATAAATATACAAGAATCAAAAGGTCAGCTGTAACTATTATAGACAAGAGCTTAGGTGTACAGCCACAGAACACTTCCTAAAACTGAACCCCAGAATCAGACAGACTGAACTGCCCAGGCACAGATGCTCCCATCTGAGCATCTCAGAGCAAGTACCTGCTCTCTGGTAACAGTCTGGCTCCTAGGAGAAGGAGGTGTGGGCCACACAGGCCCAGGTCCTCAATTCAAACTTATCTATTAGGTAACTCTCTCTATCCCAGAAAAAGGCCAAGACTGTCACTATAATAGAAGGAAATCTCAGGGGTGGTGAGCAAAGTGCTCTCACATAACATAATGTTTATAATATGGGAAAAAATAGAACAATCTAGATGTCCAACAGTACGACAATGGACAAACTCTGGTGCATCCATATGATGGGATACTTAAAAGTTACTAAAATTCATGTTGAAGATAAATTCTTACAGACATGAAAAGACGTTCATGATGAACATGAATGAAGTGAGTGAATGAAGTGAATGAAGGCAACTCCAAGTGAATGAAGGCAAGTACATGACGACATTATAATATTGTCCATGCTGGAGTGTTTCAGTGGTAATCTCTGTGTGCAGAATTATTGGTGATAGGGTTTTTTTGTTTGCCTCTCTGTTTTCTAAGTTTTAGCCATACAACACATAATAATTGAGCAACTGGAAAATGGAAAAAACATTATTTTATACAAAGATTATTTCTGCTTGTTTAACAATAAATTGGGCAACCAAAGAGATTTCTCTGTGTGTGTGTGTGTGTGTGTGTGTGTGTGTGTCTGTGTGTGTGTATGGGAGAGTTCTGTCCCCAACCTTTGCTCTAGTAATAGAAACTGAGGAAACAAGCCTAGGGAGGAAACAAAGAAAACAAACAGAGGGAAATCACAGATTTGTTTCATATAATGAAAACCTTGTTTTAGCTACCTATCTAGGACTTAATTGCGTGTGTGTTCATCTATATTGGCAGAGCTAGAGACAAGGAAACGGCTTCAAAAGTTGTAATTCTGTTTTGAAGAAGTGCTTTATTTATTTATTTATTTATTTTTGAGATAGAGTCTTGCTCTGTTGCCCAGGCTAGAGTACAAGGCGTGATCTCGGCCCACTGCAACCTTTGCCTCCCAGGTTCAAGCAATTCTGCCTCAGCCTCCCAAGTAGCTGGGATTATAGGTGCCGATCACCACGCCAGGCTAATTTTTCTATTTTTAGTAGAGATGGGGTTTCACCATGTCAGCCAGGCTGGTCTTGAACTCCTGACCTCAGGTGATGCACCCGCCTGCCTCAGCCTCCCAAAGTGCTAGGACATATATATCATACGTACGATATATAAGCATATATATCGTACGTATGATATGTAAGCATATAGATCATATATATGAGTGCATATATATAAAAATACCCATTTTCCAAGACTTATTTCCATTTTTTAATATGTTTCCAATACATTTTCCAGCTTGTTTCCATTTGTCATTATCTCACAGATTAAGGATTTCTACTCTTTGTTTGTTCATTTGGGGACTACTACACAGTTTAAGGATTTTTTTTCCAAGCATTGCTTCTCTCGTTTCTCTTGCCCATAATTCTCATGTTACAGTCATTTAGCACCAGTAACTCATCTAAGAAACAGTTCAACTGGGTGACTTATTAATATACAGTACCTGATTTCTTTTAAAAAGGTGGTAACAATGAAACAGAATACCCCTGAAACAAAGCCACAGCCTACAACCAACTGATCTTTGACAAAGTCAACAAAATAAACAATGGGGAAGGATATTCTACTCAATCAATATTGCTGCCATATGCAGAAGAATAAAATGGGATTCCTACCTCTCACCATATACAAAAATTAACTCAAAATGGATTAAAGACTTAAATGTAAGACTTCAAACTATAAGAATCCAAGAAGAAACCCTAGGAAATACCCCTCTAGATGTTGGCCTAGGCAAAGAATTTATGACTAAGCCCTCAAAAGCAAATGCAACAAAAACAAAAATTGACAATTGAGACCTAATCAAACTAAAACTCTTCTGTTCAGCAAAATAAATTACCAGCTGGGCGCGGTGGCTCATGCCTGTAATCCCAGCACTTTGGGAGGGTGAGGTGGGCAGATCACTTGAGGTCAGGAGTTCAAGATCAGCCTGGCCAACATGGTGAAATGCCATATCTACTAGAAATACAAAAATTAGCCGGGCATGGTGGTGGGCACCTATAATCCCAGCTACTTGGGAGGCTGAGGCAGGAGAATCACTTGAACCCAGGAGGCAGAGGTTGCAGTGAGTCAAGATCGTGCCACTGCACTCCAGCCTGTGCAATAAAAGGAGACTCTGTCTCGAAAAAAATAAATAAAAATAAAAATAAAAACAACCAAGGAAAGAAAAAAAAAGAAGTTACCAACAGAGTAAACAGACAACCTACAGAATGGGAGAAAATATTTGCAAACTCTGAATCCAGCAAAGAACTAATATCCAGAACCTATAAGGATCTTAAACAAATAAACGAGAAAAAAAAAACCAATCCCATTAAAAAGTAGGCAAAGGACATGAACAGAGACTTCTCAAAAGAAAACACACAAGCAGCCAACGAACATATGAAAAAATGTTCTACATCATCAATCATCAGAGAGATGCAAATCAAAATCACAATGAGAGGCTATATCACGCAAATCAGAATGGATATCATTAAATGATCAATAAATAACAGATGTTGGCAAGGTTGAGGAGAAAAGGAAACACTTATACACTGTTGGTGGAAATGCAAATTAGTTCAGCTCCTATGAAAAGCAGTTTGGAAATTTCTCAAAGAACTAAAAATAGAATTACCATTCAATCCAGAAATCTCATTACTGGATATATACCCAAAGGAAAATAAATGGTCTGCCAAAAAGACATCTGCACTCATATGTTCATCACAACACTATTCACAATAGCAAAGACACGGAATCAACCCAGGTGCCCATGATGGTAGATTGGATAAAGAAAATACGTTACATATAGGTCATGGAATACTACATAGCCATAAAAAAAAATGAAATCATGTCCTTTGTAGCAGCATGGTTGCAGCTGGAGGCTGCAATCCTAAATGAATTAATGCAGAAACAGAAAACCAAATATTGAATGTTCTCACTTATAAGTGGGAGCTAAGGCTGAGGGGAGTGGCTCACACCTGTAATCCCAGCATGCTGGGAGGCCAAGGTGGGAGGACTGCTTGAGCCCAGGAGTTCACAGACCAGCTGGGGCAACATAATGAAATACTGTCTCTATGAAAAATTTGAACATTAGCCGGGCATAGTAGCACATGTCTATAATGACAGCTACTTGGGAGGGTAAGTTGGGAGGATCACTTGGGCCAGAGAGGTTGAGGCTGCAGTGAGCAATGATCACACCACTGCACTCCATCCAGTCTGGGTGACAGAGCAAGACCCCATCTCAAAAAACATAAAAAATAAAATAAGTGAAAGCTAAACATTGGGTACATATGGACAGAGAGATGGAAACAATAAACACTGGAGATGAGACGGGAGACAAGGAGTGGGGCAAGGGTTGAAAAACTATTTATCAGGTACTATGTTCGCTACTTGAGTGACAGGCTCATTAGAAGCCCAAACCACAGCATCACACAATATACCTATGTAACAAACCTGCACGTGTACCCCCTGAATCTAAAATTTTTTTTTTTTTTTTTTAAAAGGATGGTTGCGGCCGGGTGCGGTGGCTCACGCCTGTAATCCCAGCACTTTGGAAGGCCGAGGCGGGCGAATCACGAGGTCAGGAGATGGAGACCATCCTGGCTAACACGGTGAAACCCCGTCTCTACTAAGAAATACAAAAAATTAGCCAGGCGTGGTGGCGGTCGCCTGTAGTCCCAGCTACTTGGGAGGCTGAGGCAGGAGAACAGCGTGAACCTGGGAGGCGGAGCTTGCAGTGAGCCGAGATCGCGCCACTGCACTCCAGCCTGGGCGACAGAGCGAGACTCTGTCTCAAAAAAAAAAAGGATGGATGCTCATAGATTTGGAAGATGAAGCAAATACATTTATTAAACACTGTAGTGTTTCCTTTCACTTGGAAATTTAATGTTTACTTCAATTTTTATAAGAGGAGTTTCATAGAAAGGTGCATTTGTATTTATTATGCACTCAGTTTTATGTTGGGTAGTAGTAAACTCTCATAGCAATTAATGAGAAGAAATTTGTAATATGATAACTGTTTTTCTTCGTATTATTTCATATGATTATAATTAGAGGGAGTTGTTACACTTTAATTCATTCTTCTCTATTACACTCAGTACATTAGGATAGAGAGTTTATTATAAGCAGTATACATATCTCAGAGAATACAATTTATATTTTGAAGTTAGAATGCAAATTTTAACTTCAAAAAATAAATTAAATTTTAAAAATAGAAAGACACAAAATTACTGAACATACCAAACAAAATCAGTACTGAATATGCATAGAAAGTACCTAATCAGGAAGAAACCTAACATTACCTCTGAGGTTTTTCTGGTCATTATTTTACTGCCTCTACTCACATTTTTCTCATAGTCTCACAAGCAAGGATCATTTTTGCTTAACAATATATCTTCATCACCTAGCACAGCATCTGGCATAAATATTTATATTGAATTAATTAATTATTTTAGTTCAGAAAAGATTAAGTTACTATTGGAAAACATAGTCTACAGATACAGTGTGAAGAAATCTGATCTTGGGATCAAAAGATTTTGAGTTGTCACTCCTGTATTTGCTCATAAACAAGGTGAGTGACCCAGACGAGTCTCTAATTAACTCAAAGATCAGTTTCTTTATCTATACTCAGAGATTTGGCATAGAATCATCTCTAAAATTCTCTTTATTTTTGGAAAAGTCTTAAGAATTGTATTCTCTGAGATATGTATACTGCTTATAATAAGCTCTCTATCCTAATGTATTGAGTGTAATAGAGAAGAATGAATTAAAGTGTAACAATTCCCCCTAATTATAATCATTTATGTGTGCTCATTATTGCATAATGCAAATGCCCAAGCACGCATTTGGTTGAGGTTTCAGTGTCTATAATAAGCACTTTGTGACCTCTACTGGACATACACGGTAAAGTCTCGTATGAGCCCAGGAGTTCGTAGACCAGCTGGGGCGACATAATGAAACACCGTCTCTATGAAAAATTTAAACATTAGCCGGGCCTTGTAGCACAGATCTATAGTGACAGCTACTTAGGAGGGTAAAGTGGGGAAGGGTCGATTGAGCATAACTATTTTGTGAAGATGCAGAAAAGAAAGAAAGGAAGATTGCTAGCAAATACTTTCCCTCCATTTAGGGATTGTATACAATTGCACTTGTCTTTAATTAGATGTGTGAATAACCTATATAACAAGTATGTGATTGAAGTACACTGTTGAGGAACTGGAACTAAATATCTGACACCTCCAGTCGCCTCAAACTGAGATCCTGCAATTCTTTGAAATAGCAAAAGCCTCAACTTTGTCAGAAGTGCAAATGGTTCTCAGATTAAAATGAAAAAAAAAAAAGAGAGGAATGAGAATTCTAGCCAAGAAAATGAAAACAGAGAGTGTGGAACTTAATTTTATCTTGAAGAACAAACATGTTAAACATAGCCAGTATGTTTTTTTGCAGAGTGCAAAAACAAAGAACTTGACTGAACAGATATAAAAATGTGTAATAAAGTGGCAATGACTAAAACAATGTAGCACCAGTCTCAGAGCATGTGAATGGAAGAAAATGTCAAAAGGAACTCCCGAAAGCTGTGAGAATTTAGTACATTATAAAGTCACATATTAAGGCCAGGCCCGGTGGCTCACGCCTGTAATCCTAGCACTTTGGGAGGTTGAGGCAGATGAACTATTTGAGGTCAGAAGTTCAAGACCAGTCTGGCCAATATGGTGAAACCCCATCTCTACTAAAACTACAAAAATTAGTCAGGCATAGTGGCATGCGCCTATAATCCCAGCCACTCTGGAGGCTGAGGCAGGAGAATCACTTGAATCTGGGAGGCGGAGGCTGCAGTGAGCAGAGATCACGCCACTGCACTCCAGCCTAGGCAAAAGAACAAGATTCTGTCTCAAAAAAATAAAAAATAAAAATAAATAGGCCGGGCGCGGTGGGTCACGCCTGTAATCCCAGCACTTTGATTGGCCGAGGCAGGTGGATCACAAAGTCAGGAGATCGAGACCATTCTGGCTAACACGGTGAAACCCCCTCTCTACTAAAAATACAAAAAATTAGCCGGGCATGGGGGTGGGCACCTGTAGTCCCAGCTACTCAGGAGGCTGAGGCAGGAGAATGGCATGAACCCGGGATGCAGAGCTTGCAGTGAGCCGAGATCGCGCCACTGCACTCCAGCCTGGGCGACAGAGTGAGACTCTGTCTCAAAAAATAAATAAATAAATAAAGTCACATATTAAATGAGAATTTTCAACTTTGAGAAAGAATTATGTTATATCCCTACCTCTGGCCTTTATAAGCAGTATCAATATATTTTGAATTATCAAAGTAAGTCAAATATTAATATTATTATTAATATATTTGACTTATTCTTTTTCTTTCTTTTTTTTTTTTCTGAGACAGGGTCTTATTATGTCGCCCAAGCTGGAGTGCAGTGGCACAATCACAGCTCACTGCAGCCTCAGCCTCCTGGGCTCAAGCAATCCTCTTGCCTCAGCGTCTCAAGCAACAGGGAGTACAGGCATGAGCCTCCAAGTCTGGCCAATATTTTATTTTTGTAGAGATGGACTCTTGCTGTTTTGCCCAAGCCAGTCTTGGACTCCTGGGCTCAGGCAATACTCATCTCAGCCTCCCAAAGTGTTGGGATTACAGGCATGAGACACTGCACCTGGCTGAAAGTCAAAATTCTTAAGACTATTACTGACAGATTTTACTGCATAAAAATTATAAATGGTCCTACTTCAAAAACAATCAAGATATATTGAAAACTGAAAAAAATGAAAATATACAACCAGCTGGGCACAGTGGCTCATGCCTGTAATCCCAGCACTTTGGGAGGCCGACGCCAGTGGATCACCTGAGGTCAGGGATTCAAGACCAGCATGGCCTATATGGTGAAGACTCGTCTCTACTAAAAATACAAAAATTGGCTGGGCCTGGTGGTGGGCACCTGTAATCCCAGCTACTCAGGACGCTAAGGCAGAAGAATCACTTGAACCTGGGAGACAGAGTTTGCAGTGAGCTGAGATCACCCCACTGCACTCCAGCCTGGATGACAAGAGTGAAACTCCGTCTCAAAAAAAATAAATAAATAAAAATAAAACATATACAACCTAATAGGAGGTAATATACTTAATACATAAGCAATTTTGAATTGATAAGAAAAAAAGCAAAATAATTAAAAAATGGACTAAGTATACAAGCAAATCACACATACAGAAAACAAATAGACAAAAATATGTGAAATCAAGGACATGAGAAAAAATTTGACATCACTTATCATTAAGGAAATGCAAACTAACCTATAATCAGTATGTAGGTTATATTAAGTAAAATTCAGAGAACGTCATCAGAAATCAACTTTAGTTTACTACTGGTTATCCAAATCAACTCTGTGAGGCTGGGTTGGGTTTGATTTTTTGTGTGTGTTTTTTTTTTTTGTTTGGTTTTTGTATTTTCTCATTACTCTCTTATTTAAAACATAAAAATTAAAAAGTTGTGTTGTCACTTCTAATCACAGAAAACATTCTCACTTCAGGACCTAAAACGTCTGATTCTGTGTAACAGTCACAACTCTGAATTCCATTTAAAAGAAAAGTGACTCTCCTCCCCCAGCTCGGCCCTGCTTCAGACAAAGAGATAATAGTAAAAACAAAATGGGGAGCATGGGGTGAACCTGTTTCCTCATCTTGCACTTTTACTAATCAGGTAAGATCTTTCCTATCCCCAGTCTCTCACTATTTACGATGCCTCTGGGATGGTGGCACCTGATGTGAGCTGAATAGGATCCCTCAAAAAATATATCATCTTGAAGACCTAACCCCTAGCACTTCAGAATGTAACCTTATTTGGAGACAGTATTTTTACAGTGGTAATCAAGTTAAAATGAGGTCATTAGGATGGGCTCTAATCCAATTCGCTGAAATTTGCATTCACACAGACAGACATATACAGAAGAAAGATGATGTGAAGAGATGTAGGAAGAAGACGGTCATCTCCACGCTAAAGAGAGGCCTGGAAAAGATCCTTCCTCACAGCCCTTAGAAGCAGCAAGCAACCCCACAGACACCTTGATTTCAGACTTCCAGCCTCCAGAACAGTGAGGCAATAAGATTCTGTTGTTTAAGCCGCCCAGTGTGTGGTACTTTGTTTTGTGTTCGTTTGTGTGTTTGTGTATGTGTTTGTTTGTTTGTTTGTTAGAGACAGGGTGTCACTCTGTTGCCCAGGCTGTTCTTAAAGTCCTGGACTCAAGCAATTCTCCCACCTCAGCCTCCCAAAGTGCTGGCTTACAGGTGTGAGCCACTGTGTCCAGCCTGTGATACTTTGTCATGGCAGCTCTAGGAAACGAATACAGCACTCAGCAGTACTTTCCTTCTTAAAGAAGAATTCATAAAGCACTCATGAGAGAAAGAGGGTGCTTTAATAGTGATATCCTGTCTCTAAACAAACAAAGTACCATACACTGGGTGGCTTAAACAACAGAATCTTATTGCCTCACTGTTCTGGAGGCTGGAAGTCTGAAATCAAGGTGTCTGCAGGGTGGCTTGTCACTTCTAAGGGCTGTGAGGAAGGATCTTTTCCAGGACCTCTCTTTGACATTCTGAAGTACAAGGGGTCAGGACTTCAAGATATCAAATGTTTCACATGCACAAACACACACACACTCGGACACACACACACACCTGCTGTGGATCTCTCATCTGCTGTTCCCTTGATGCAGGCAAATTCATCTCTGCTGAGTTGTTGGCTGGTTGCACACAATTCTTCCCTCAGGCCCAGGACATCCATCATCACACCTACTCCAACTTCTTTCTCCCTGTCTTTGATGCAGTTCTGTTGATGTAAGAAACCCTACCTTGGCACTCTACACAGGAGTCCACACCTAGTCATGGAGTCCACACCTAGTCAACAGGACATGCATGCCTTTGCCCCACCATCAATGGAAATGTGGCTACTTCGCAACTGCAGCTCTCTACTTTTGATGCCACAGGCAGCTTCTACCAGCCTCCAAACATATCATTTTCTCAAGCCAGTGTCAAACCCCAAAGCCCACTGTCCCTTAAACTGCAGAAGAATTATATTAAACTCTCTGAATGATCTAGAAATGTCTTTCACTGGGCTTGATGGAGCACCCCCCAACCCTTGCCATTGAAGAGGGGAAGGCATGAAACTCACAGTACACCAACAACTGTGTTAACGAAATCTTTATTATAATCTCCAGTCTCCACTTCCTTTCTTGGCTTTTCTAGTGTTTTTTACAGGCTGGCAGAGAATGGGCAGCTAAAAATAGCAAAGCCAGTTCCTACCACCTGCTGCATAAACTGCCTAAAAGGCCCAGCACCTCACTGTGAAATGTGGAGATTACCTTGTGGTCCCAAGCAAAACTGAGGCAGAAACAATCGCATTTTAACAACCTGTTATAAATGTAACACCGAGTGGTGTTTTTCACCTTTCATATTGGCAAAGCCGTAGAAAAATTATAATATCCTTCTTTAGCAAGGGTGTTGATCAAGAAAACACTCTGATCATGGAGGCCAATTTTGCACAACTGTATAAAGTCAAAAGACATAAAATGAACATTCCCTTTGATCCATAAATTTCTCCTTTTGAAAGTGCCCAAAAGAAATACAAAATAACAAAAATGTACAAGGCTGCTTATTGCAGCATGGCCTATAATAACAGATTTGTAAATAATTTAACTGAGCAGCAATAATGATTCATTATGATGAA
Source organism: Homo sapiens (assembly GCF_000001405.40). Lineage (NCBI taxonomy): Eukaryota > Metazoa > Chordata > Mammalia > Primates > Hominidae > Homo > Homo sapiens. The sequence goes on along the minus strand of NC_000011.10, from coordinate 59,818,335 downwards.
CACATTCATAGAAATACTTTAATATAGCCCATGAATACTGAGACAGAAAACAATAAGATTAATTGGCATTGTTCTTTCTTCTTGGTCACACAATTAAAGAGTTGATGCATTTTTTGCACCTGTTGACTTAATAGATGAGAACAGCTGAAATGGCTTTCTTGTAAAACTTCAGTAACTCTTCCAGTTGAGACTGAATTTAATTTACCTTGAAACCTCTGGAATAAGTGTAGACACATTAATTTTGCTCATGGCACTATAGTAGATGCTCAAGAGATGTTTGTTGAATGAATAGACACTTGAATGGAAATCCCAGCTCTGTGCAATGATCTTAATAATCTTAATGATTTCTGTGTGTTATATCCACCATTATCATGTACATAATAGGATTCCAGTAAAATAATCTATGTGCATGTGAAAGTCCTTTGTAAAGAGTAAATCATGCTAATATGTTAATGGTTAATATTTTATTAGAGAATATTGTTTTTTGTTCTGGCAAAATCTATGGTATCATTGCCCTTTTACAAATGCTCTAAAGCATGTAGAAGCTAATTTTTTTTCTTTTCTTTTCTTTTTTTTTTTTGAGATGGAGTCTCACTCTGTCACCCAGGCTGGAGTGCAGTGGCACAATCTCGGCTCACTACAACCACTGCCTCCTGGGTTCAAGTAATTCTCCTGCCTCAGCTTTCCGAGTAGCTGGGATTACAGGTACGCACCACCACACCCAGCTAATTTTTGTATTTTAGTAGAGACGGGGTTTTACCATGTTGGCCCCGCCGGTCCCGAACTCCTGAGCTCAAGTAATCCACCCACCTTGGCCTCCCAAAGTGCAGGGATTACAGGCATGAGCCACCACAATCGGTCCGTAGAAGCTAAATTGATGAGGAAACTAACATTAACAAGTCCCTTGAGGAGCTCTGCACACTTGGAGTGAAGAAGTTTCAAGGTAATTTATTATGACATTGTGGTTACATTTTGATCAGCAAAAACCCAAGTGGTGTATTAAAAGATAGTGTACATGCACATGCATGCATACACAAACACACACACACACACACACACAGTTTTTTGAGGAACTTCCATCCCATTTTCTACAACAATAATGTACTAATTTTCATTCCCACTAACAATGTACAAGAGTTACATCATTTTCTCCACATACTTGCCAACGTATTATCTTTCATCTTTTTGATAATTGCCATTTTAACAGGTGTGAGGTGATATCCCATTGTGGTTTTAATTTGCATTTCCCTAATGATTAGCGATGCTTAGCATTTTTGCATGTACCTGTTAGCTCTTTGTTGGTCCTCTTTTGAGAAATGTCTGTTTAGGTCCTTTGCTTATTTTTTAAATGGGTTATTTGTTTTCTTGCTGTTGAGCTGAGTTCCTTATACATTTTTAATATTAACCCCTGCTGTTTAATTTGTAAACGTTTTCTCCCATTCTGTCTGTTGTCTCTTCATTTTGTCAGTTATTTCCATTGCTGTGTAAAAGCTTTTTACTTTGATGTCATCCCATTTGTCTATTTTTGCTTTTGTTGTCTGTGCTTTTGAGGTCATTTCCAAAAATTCATTCTCACGCCAATGTTGTGGAACTTTTCCTGTATGGTTTTGTGAAAGAAAAATATCTTGGGCCCCCAGAATCACTAATCTAAAGGGAAAAGTCAAGCTGGGAACTGTTTAGGGCCAACCTGCCTCTCATTCTAATCAAAGTCACCCCTCTGCTCACTGAGATAAATGCATATCTGATTGCCTCATTTGGAGAGGCTAGTCAGAAACTCAAAAGAATGCAACCATTTGTCTTTTATCTACCTGTGACCTGGAAGCCCCTTCCCCACTTTGAGTTGTACAGCCTTTCCAGACTGAACCAATGTTCATCTTACATGTGTTGATTGATGTCTCATGTCTCCCTAAAATGTGTAAAGCCAAACTGTGCTGTGACCAACTTGGGTACATGTCGTCAGGGCCTCCAGAGGCTGTGTCACAGGCACGCATCCTCAACCCTGTTAAAATAAACTTTCTAAATTAACTGAGACCTGTCTCAGATTTTTCAGGGTTCACATTTTGGTAACCACAGGGGGATTCTGAGTGGAGGTGCCTCTTACCTTTGACAAATCTATCGGTCCTTGGTACCAGCATGAGCTAACTTAATGGCTCAAACCAAAAGGACAATTTGCTGAGGTCTGGGAGCACCCCCTCCAGAGAATCCCTGATCTCCCAAAATTTGGTCAAGATCTAAAGTTTATTTTGCTGTATAAACCCCCCCCCCTTTTTTTTTGGAGTTTTACTTGCTTCCAACACAAGGAAGGCAAGTTTTTCCTGCTTCCATAACAATGGAAGGTAGGTAACTCCTTTATGGAATTTGAGCTACTTCCAACAGGGAAGATGAAGGGGGTTTTTTGCTGCTTCTAGGATAGTAAAGAGCAGTCTTCAGCCTGAGAGCCACCCCTGGGTAAGTAACTGAATTGGGATTTGTCTTGGATAAAGTTAAAATTAACAACCAACTGGTCTTAATTTCTCCTTACCATTAGAGTGCTCAGTGATCACATAAGTTGTGCGATCACTTGTTTTGCTTAACTGGTTTTTGTTGTTGTTGTTGTTGTTTGTTTCTGTTTTTGTTGTTGTTTCAGTCTTTTCCCACTGGGTGTGACCAATTCTATCCAACTTGATCAAATCCAAGGGAATGTTCCAAATTATGGGGAACGAGGCCTCTGAAGTGGCTAAATTCCCATAAAAAAAAAAAAAAAGAAAAGATTTTTTATTTTGACTACTTAAGGAGCTTTATTTACATAACAAGGCCACCCTTTTGCTAGCCAAGCCAAACTGAAAGAGCAATGGCTGTACTTCTGAAAGAACAGAAATACAGTAATAAGATTTAAAAACATCTATTTTAAAAGGAGCTCAATGGTTAAAAGTCACCCTAATTAGAAGCTAACATCCAAGATGTGTATATGTATGTGTGCAGGTGGATGTGTTTGTATTTAAAAGGCCCTCACATTTTTGTTTTGTTTTTCTCCTAGGACCCTGTCTTTTTTTGAGCAAAAGTTTTTTCCCACTCAGTTGACTGAATTCTGGTTTCTTCATTTACTTCTGTCTCTCCTTTATCTTGCCCCCTCTGCTGCATAGGGGACCTAAAATAGTTTAATAATAGCCTGGGGTTCCTTAAAGAAAACTGAGAAAGTGCCAGACTCCCTTTGGGGGAGAAACCTGTTTTTCTTATGGGACCCCAAGAACGTAAACAGACAAGTTCATCTCAGCTCTTAAACTGTTTGCTTTTGTATTGTGTTACCTGTTTTGTTTTGGTTTTTTTGACTAAAATAGTTAACTGCAACAGAGCTTACTCTGTTTTTAAGGAACAGCGTGGTTTAGACACTAAGATATGTGTTCATTAAAAAAATTTTTTTAAGTGCACCATAAAAGCATCACATTGTCAAACCTCATAAAATGATCTCTCCAAAACATTTTAATAAAAGAAAAGGGGGAAAATGTGAAAGAAAAATAAATCTTGGAACCCCCAAATCACTAACCTAAACGGAAAAGTCAAGCTGGGAACTGCTTAGGGCCAATCTGCCTCCCATTCTATTCAAAGTCACCTCTTTCCTCACTGGGATAAATACATATCTGATTGTCTCCTTTGGAGAGGCTAGTCAGAAACTCAAAAGAATGCAACCATTTGTCTCTTATCTACCTATGACCTGGAAGTCCCCTCCCCATTTTGAGTTGTACAGCCTTTCCAGACCAAACCAATGTTTATCTTACATATGTTGACTGATGTCTCATCTCCCACTAAAGTGTATAAAATCAAACTGTGCTCTAACCACCTTGGGCACATGTCATCGGGACCTCCTGAGGCTGTGTCATGGGCACACATCCTCAACCTTGTTTAAAAAAACTTTCTAAATTAACTGAGACCTGTCTTAGATTTTCAGGGTTCACAGTTTCTTCTAGTAGTTTTGTTACAGGAAAGTGTCTCAATCCAGATCTCAAGAGAGGGTTTTTGGATCTTGTGCAAGAAAGAATTTGGGGGTGAGTCCACAGAGCAAAGTGAAAGTAAGTTTATTAAGAATGTAAATAAAAAAGAAAGAATAGCTACTCCATAGACAGAGCACTCCCAAAAGCAAGAGGAGAAACACATCTGCCTTTGGTATAATACTCGTTTATATACAAGATAACAAAGCAAAAAAAATCAGGGGAGGATGTGTTCTACTACAAGTGCTTGTGACAAAGGATTGTTAATCTTTGTGTAACTACTGTCTTTTGCAAGCATCTATATTATTAAATTGAAAGTGAAACTTATTCTTTTTTTTTTTTTTTTTTTTTTTTTTGTGAGACGGAGTTTCGCTCTTGTCACCCAGGCTGGAGTACAATGGCACGATCTCAGCTCACTGCAACATCCACCTCCTAATTCAAGTGATTCTCCTGCCTCAGCCTCCTGAGTAGCTAGGATTACAGGTACCCACCATCACGCCCAGCTAATTTTTGTATTTTTTAATAGAGACAGGGTTTCACCATGTTGGCCAGGCTGGTCTCGAACTCCCGTCCTCAGGTGATCCACCGTCCTCGGCCTCCCAAAGTGCTGGGATTACAGGCGTGAGCCACCACATCCATCTGTGAAACTTATCCTTACACTAAGAATGCTTTTGTTATTAAGATATTGGGACATCAAGACATTTCCTGGGTCTGTTAAGTCCTGAGCCTGTTCAGTAAACATCATTTTGTTTTTTTGAGGTGGGGTCTTGCTTTGTTGCCCAGGCTGTAGTGCAGTTGTGCTATCACAGCTCACTGCAACCTCTGCCTCCCTGGCTGAAACTATCCTCCCACCTCAGCCTCCCAAGTAGCTGGGACTATGGGCATGCACCACCAAGCCTGGCCCTGGTAAACATTATTAACTGTTCCCTTAACCATAAATATCCTGTGACTAGGAATGCCTAATCTCCTGGCAATGCAGCCTAGTAGACCTCAGCCTCATTTTACCCAGCCTTTATTCCAGATGGAGTCACTCTGGTTCAAATGCCTCTGACAGTTTTACACTTTCAGGTCTTATATTTAAATCTTTAACCTATTTTAAGTTGTATGTGGTATGAGACAAGGGTCCAATTTCAATCTGCAAGTGAATACCCGGTTTTCCCAACGTCATTTGTTGAAGAGACTATCATTCCCCCATTATGTTTTCTTGGCACCTTTGCCAAAAATCAATGGACTGCGCCAGGCGTCGTGGCTCATGCCCGTAGTCCCAGCACTGTGGGAGGCCAAGGTGGGTGGATCACCTGAGGAGTTTGAGACTAGCCTGGCCAACATGGCAAAACCCCTTCTCTACTAAAAATAGAAAAAATTAGCCAGGCGTGGTGGCACACCCCTGTACTAGAGAGGCTGAGGCGGAAGAATCTAGTAACACCCAGTTACTAGAGAGGCTGAGGCGGAAGAATCGCTTGAACCCAGCAGGCGGAAGTGGCAGTGAGCCGAGATCGCACCACTGTACTCCAGCCTGGGCGACAGAGTGAGACTATGTCTCAAGAAAAAAAAAAACAAATCAATGAAGTATAAATGTGTGTGTTTATTTCTGGGCTCTCTATCCTATTCATTTGGTCAGTGTGTCTATTTCTCTGCCATACCGTGCTGTTTCGATTACAATCAACTTATGTTTTGAAGTCAGGGAGTGTGATGCCTCCAGCTTTGTTCTTTTTGTTCCAGATTGTCTGGGCTATTCAGGGTCTTTTGTGGTTCCAAATGAATTTAAGGGTTGTTTTTCCTATTTCTGTGAAAAATGGCATTGGAATTTTGATAGGGATTGCACTGGATCCGTAGATTGCACTTTTTGGCTCTTTTGAAATAAACAATAAGGTAGAAGTTTTGGGGTACCAAAAGACTTAGAGACCAATCAAACCGTGATTTTAGTGCCACTTCATTTTTCACTCAAAACAATATTGCACAATATTCAACTTGAGGACTAAGCTCTGATTTTTTATCTTGCCCAAATTCCTACCTAAGGGAATCATGCCCTACAAACCATAAATTCTCATCATATAGGTTTTATTTTACCCTATATATTGTGACTTACTTTTCAACATGACTCTGGCATAACATTATGAGACAAAGAAAAAAATATTTAACCCCAAAATATATTTCTTTGCCATATCTTGAAATTGCCCTGCAAAGTCTCTTGCGGGAAAAATCCATTTCTATAGGTATTCTCTTTCCCCTTTGTTTTCCTTCCTTCCTTCCCAGATCCAGGAGACAATCAACTAAGAGCCAGGCATATTTTTTTTTCTCTGTCTTGCCCAGTCTGGAGTCTGGAGTGCAGTGGCGTGATCTCGGCTCACTGCAACCTCCGCCTCCTAGGTTCAAGTGATTCTCCTGCCTCAGCTTCCCGAGTAGCTGGGATTACAGGCACCCGCCACCACGTCCAGCTAATTTTTTGTATTTTTAGTGGAGACGGGGTTTCACCATGTTGGTCAGGCTGGTCTTGAACTCCTGACCTCAGGTAATCTGCCCGCTTTGGCCTCCCAAAGTGCTGGGATTACAGGCGTGAACCACTGCGCCCGGCCTCCAGGCACCCTTTAAGTCAGATAAAAAAACAATTTACAACAGTCTTTCTCTAAAGTCTGCTATCTAAGAGCTTCCTCTGCATAATAAAACTTGGTCTCTACAATCATTTATGTTTAACCTGAACATTCCTTTCTATCCATCCCAGGTCTTTGGACAAACTCAACCAATTGTCAACCAGAAAATGTTTACATTTACCTATAGCCTAGAAGCCCACCTTGACTTGTCCCGCCTTTCTGAACCAAACCAATGTATTTCTTAAATGCATTTGATTGATGTCTCATGCCCCTCTAATATGTATAAAGCCAAGCTGCACTTCTACCACCTTGGGCACATGTTCTCAGGACCCCCTGAGGGCTGTGTCACAGGCCATGGTTGCTCATATTTGGCTCAGAATAAATCTCTTCCAATATCTTACAGAATTTCACTCTTTTCATCAACAATATTGTTCATTCACTGAGATCTCTGGAATCACAGACTGTGCTCAAATTCTGATGGTACTGTTTTCCTGTTGTATGACCCAGAACAAGTTAAATTATTTCACCCTCAGGATGGAATCTGCAAAATAAGTATAATGACTTATCTCACAGATTCGTTGGCAGGACTAACGAATGAGGTACTCAATGACACATTGCAATTGCCCTATACATGTTAAACCATTGCTAAATCTGGTATTCTCCTAATGTCTTTGAGGGGTCCCCTAGAAAATCATCTCAAAGGCTGTGAATCGTAAGGGACCACCTTGCTAAGCAACCGGCAGGCACTAACAGTTGTACTCCGCAGAAAAATAAATAAATAAAACAAAAGACTCCCCGCCCCGCCGCCCTCTTCTTCTGGGGAAAGACTGGAGATTGGAAGGAGAACCCTAGAGAGCCAACAGGGCCCCTGGGCGTGGCTGGGCGGACGGCGCCTTTGACCGCAGGAACTCAACCTCCCCCGGAACTCAACCCCCGTCGCTCGAGTTTCTTTCGCTTCCGTCGGGACTCTGCGGAGTGGACCCGAGTGAACACAACTTCCGGCCCCACTGAGCGGTGTCCTGAGCCGATTACAGCTAGGTAGTGGAGCGCCGCTGCTTACCTGGGTGCAGGAGACAGCCGGAGTCGCTGGGGGAGCTCCGCGCCGCCGGACGCCCGTGACCATGTGGAGGCTGCTGGCTCGCGCTAGTGCGCCGCTCCTGCGGGTGCCCTTGTCAGGTCAGAAGTCCCTTTTGGTTCCTAAAGACTTTACCCCTCTTCCTCCCCCACCCTCCAGTGCTTTTTCTCCCTAACCCAAAAGGCGGCTCTGCATATGCTTGGTGAAGCACTGGTTAGGAACTACGCTATCGCACCGCCGACCTCCACCGTAGGGGTTCGTGCAAGAGGGTCACAGCTGCGTCTGGGAGTCGGCGCCCAGAGATCCCGGCTGGCCTTTTGCGGAGCCTGAGCCTTTGAGTCCATTTAGTGGAATCCGCATCCCACACCTCAAGACTCCTCCGGCGGAAGTACTTTTGGGCGGGCGCGGTGGCTCACGCCTTTAATAGCAGCACTTTGGGAGGCCGAGGCGGGCGAATCACTTGAGGTCAGTAGTTTGAAACCAGCCTGGCCAACATGGTGAAACCCTGTCTCTACTGAAAATACAAAAAAAATTAGCTGGGCGTGGTGGTGGGCGACTGTAATCCCAGCTAGTCCGGAGGCTGAGGCAGGAGAATCTCTTGAACCCGGGAGGCGGAGGTTGCAGTGAGCCGAGATCGCGCCACTGCACTGGATCCTGGGCGACAGAGTAAGACTCCGTCTCAAAAAAATAAAATAAATAAAAATAAGAAGTAGTACCTTTGGCCCAGGTTGTATCGGGGTCCCGGCCTGTTACCTTCGTCGTTTAACTTGATTTGTCTTTGTAGATTCCTGGGCACTCCTCCCCGCCAGTGCTGGCGTAAAGACACTGCTCCCAGTACCAAGTTTTGAAGGTGAGAGCTTGTCTTTCTCCTGTTCGTAAATCTTTTCTCTGATGGAAACCAGGAGCGGGTGGGAGATGACATAGGAATGTTCTCGTGTTTCCCATCCCCGTTCACTCTTTCAATAAATATGTTTTTAGAGCTTACAGTTTTGCCAACTAATATTCTGAGCACTAGAAATAAATCAAAGACAAAGGAAACCAAAAAAGTTCCTTGCTCTTACGGAGCAGCGTCTAATGAGATAGCTCCCCTAAAACCTCCCACTGGTGTGTGTCCCATGGTCCACTCAGCCAGTAGTCATTGGCCTGAAATCTGGATTTTTGAGCGGGCATGGTGGCTCACGCCTGTAATCACAGCACTTTAGGAGGCGGAGGCGGGTGGATCACTTGAGGCCAGGAGTTGGAGACCAGCCTGCCAACCTGGTGAAACCCCATCTCTACTAAAAATACAAAAAATTAGCTGGGCGTGGTAGTTTACACCTGTAATCCCAGCTACTCAGGAGGCCACTGCACTCCAGCCTGGGCAACAGAGTGAGACTCTGTCTCAAAAGAAAAAAAAAACCTGAACTTTTGATGTTCTTTCCAAATAAGTTTACATATATGCAGTCATCTAACGATATGTGAAAAAGCTTTAATTTGTTAAATTTAAGCCACAATATCGTAAAACTAGTTTACTTTTTAAAAAAGAAATATACTGGAACCCTCAAAAAAAATGAATAGGGTCTGTACATCTGAGGGTCTTCTGTACAGAATTGTTAAACCACGTTTTGAAAGTACATTTTGACTTGTAGGTGAAAGAAAGCATTACTAAGATTCTCTGTAGCTACATATAGAAGTTGAGGGGCAGCTTCTGAAACTCTGATAGTAATAATTTGGTATTTCCTCAAACTCTTCTATTTTGTATTTGTCTCCATTATAAAGCCATACTTGGTTCATTTAAGAAATTTTTAAAAATGATTTGTATGTTAACTTTTTTCCCCAAATCGTCAAGTAAGGATGATAAAGAAGATGTCACATGTCTGGCCTGAAGTTTTGCCCACCCACCAAAACCTGGCACACTGACCTGTGCAGGTCTCAGCATGAAAAGTCCCTGCATATATGAGAGAAAGAGCATTGATCAAAGGATTCCTAGGTTGTAAGTTTCTCAACAAGAATGTGGCAGAGCTGGAGAACTTAGATATTTTTATGTACAATATAGTATTCTTCCACTACCCCCATTAACATCCAGAGAGGCAGGGAAATATATGTATATATTTTTGTGACATGGTATGTAGCTTTGCTGTTGAACTGGATGGCATAGACCAGATTATAAAGTGTTTTTAGCCCTCGGGTTCCTCTTCTATAAAATGGAGATTAAAAATACTACCTGCCTAATATCCTGTTTGTTGATCTGGGTAATAGTGGTGTGTGTTCATGTGTTCACTTTCTGGTAATTCACTGAGCTGTATATTTTTAATTTGGCCCTTTGATATAGCTGTGTTAAACTTTGACAAGTTTAAAATTTTTAAAAAGAGAGCCCTGAAAGAATACCAAGGCTATAAAGTTATTTTAAAGATTAAGTGAACTAGTGGTTTCCAAACAATCCCTGTTACAGTGTTAAGCACAGAGTTGGTGATTAATAAGTGCATTTGGATTCAGAGGATAAAACTTTGCTATCTTTAAAGTTTTAGAAACATTTGCATTAGCCACTGTCACAGCCAGAAGATTCCAGTGTCACTAAAAGCATCTGCAAAAATGTAATATACCTTTACAGTTACTGTTCAGTGGTAACTTTAAGACTTTCAGGCTGGATATGGTGGCTCGCACTTGTAATCCCAACACTTTGGGAGGTAAAGGCAGGAAAATCACTTGAGGCCAGGAGTTTGAAACCAACCTGGGCAACATAGTGAGACCCTGTCTCTACCAAAAAATGAAGAAGAAAGAAATTAAGACTTTCACCTGTTATAAATCTTTCTAGGAAAATAGATCTTTTGAGATGTATAGTTTTACTTTATCCTGGTTGTCTGTGCTTCTTTTAGATGTTTCCATTCCTGAAAAACCCAAGCTTAGATTTATTGAAAGGGCACCACTTGTGCCAAAAGTAAGAAGAGAACCTAAAAATTTAAGTGACATACGGGGACCTTCCACTGAAGCTACGGAGTTTACAGAAGGCAATTTTGCAATCTTGGTGAGTGAATTCAGCATCGAGCAGCAATGGGATGGAAGCTAGGGAATAACAAAATCTCATACTCCTTGAGATAATTTAGTCTCTTCCTCCACAGTTTTTATTAGAACTGCCACCAGTTGCTCTTTAAACTGGTATGTACAGAGGCTACTGGGTACCCAGTAAACATTTGGGTTATATATCTTTTTTTTTTTTAATGTAGAGTGAAAATAACGTAAAAGCAGAAGGAAGGGGCTAGCTAATGTGCCCCATAATCAGATCATGAGATCTTTTCAAGCCCTGGTAAAAATAAAACCATCCACAATATAGGATGTGGAAGACAGCTGTTTCCTTACTTGTTGAGTAGCTTCCATGAAGACTTGATGTCAGCAGCCACACAAATGGGTGTGCACTAGGATTTGTTTTCCACCAGGCAGCCAGAGTGATATTCCAAAGTCCTCTTCCTGCAGCCTACATAATCACCCCCACTGACCTCTCAGAACCTCCTGCCCACTCTCCCCATTCCTCACCCTACTCCAGCCACATTGGCTTCTGTTCAACTTGCCAAGCCCTCTGCTGTGCCAGGGCCTCCACATAAGCCTTTCTTATGCCTGGCACACTCCTCTCTTTTCCCTTGGCTAGTTCTTTTTATTCTGGTCTTAGCTTTAGATGTCACCTCTTCAAAGAAGCCTTCCTGGCTCTCCACTGAAATGGGTCCCCCTTCACTCTATTACTGTGTACCCTAGGCTTTTCCTCCATGGGACTTATTAGAACTTAGATTTTTATTTTCAATTGTATCATTGAAGCCACAGTTACTAGAAGAGACAAAATAATGAGCCCATAGATGATGTCGAAGTCCGCATGTGTTTCTAATTCTCCCATTCACTTTTAGGCATTGGGTGGTGGCTACCTGCATTGGGGCCACTTTGAAATGATGCGCCTGACAATCAACCGCTCTATGGACCCCAAGAACATGTTTGCCATATGGCGAGTACCAGCCCCTTTCAAGCCCATCACTCGCAAAAGTGTTGGGCATCGCATGGGGGGAGGCAAAGGTGCTATTGACCACTACGTGACACCTGTGAAGGCTGGCCGCCTTGTTGTAGAGATGGGTGGGCGTTGTGAATTTGAAGAAGTGCAAGGTTTCCTTGACCAGGTTGCCCACAAGTTGCCCTTCGCAGCAAAGGCTGTGAGCCGCGGGACTCTAGAGAAGATGCGAAAAGATCAAGAGGAAAGAGAACGTAACAACCAGAACCCCTGGACATTTGAGCGAATAGCCACTGCCAACATGCTGGGCATACGGAAAGTACTGAGCCCATATGACTTGACCCACAAGGGGAAATACTGGGGCAAGTTCTACATGCCCAAACGTGTGTAGTGAGTGTAGGAGATAACTGTATATAGGCTACTGAAAGAAGGATTCTGCATTTCTATTCCCCTCAGCCTACCCACTGAAGTCTTTGGGTAGCTCTTAAGCCATAACTAAGGAGCAGCATTTGAGTAGATTTCTGAAAAACAATGTTATTTGTTGATTTAAAAAGAAAACTGTATTTTTATTAAATAAAATTTAAACATCACTTCAGGATATAACTTCTCATTGGTCATTCTTAATCCCTTAAAAGATTAAGAAATAGGCCTCAATGACTAAAGAGTTCTTGGTCCTCCTGGGGTGTAAGATGAACATGAAGGCTGAAACAAATGTTTGCATTCCCCCATCTATGATGCGAGTCTCACTTAAATGTTTATACTGCCTTTTATACGTACACACTTCAGGAGCCAGTTTCTGTGATATTTTACTAGGTTAAAAACACATTTTTAGAGTAAGAAAAAAACAACAGTACATAGGTCAATTGATTCAATATTTATTGATGCCCAGCTACCCATCTTCTCACAATCTTGGAAGGGGTATGTTGGACAATAGGCAAGGAACATACCCTTTGCCTTTTAGCAAAAGGAACCGATGACAAAAGTTAGAACTGCGTGGCCTTTTCTGGGTCTGAAATTCTCCAAGAGGGAGAGTGTTTGGCTCTATGTTTGTGCCCCTGCAGAATCTAGTACAGTGCTATGTGCCATGCACCACTTAAATTCTTACTGCTAGTGAATGAGGGCCCCCTAGGACTCAGATCCTCATAGCTCCAGCTCCGTTTGCCCAGATTAATGTTTTCCAGACCCAACCAGCTGCAGTCTTCTATCCCCTATTAAAACTAAAGGAAGCACAAATTAATAGAAATATCAAACCATTGGCTTTTGAAGGTGGGTAGAAAACAGCACTGACCAAAATATTTTTAATCCCACTTTCTTAAAAAATAAGGTATCAAACAAAGAATAATTTACTTTCAAAAGTACAAACTTAGCAGTTGTGTGCTCCTCACAGTTGTATAGTGTGATTTTTTCATCAATTTTAGTTACATAATCACTAAATAATCTGCACTAGAACTCACATTCACATAGCTGGTTTTAAAGCTGAACACAACTGAACCTTGAATGGAATTGGGGACAGTATTAAGTATTAAGAACAGTTTTTTTTTTTTGTTTTTTTTTTTTTTTTAGATGGAATTTAGCTCTTGTTGCCCAGGCTGGAGTGCAGTGGCGCGATCTCGGCTCACTGCAACTTCCGCCTCTTGCATTCAAGCAATTCTCCTGCCTCAGCCTCCCAAGTAGCTGGGAATACAGGTGCAAGCCACCATGCCTGGCTAATTTTTGTATTTTTTGTAGAGAGGGGGTTTCACTATGTTGGTCAGTCTGGTGATCCACCTGCCTTGGCCTCCCAAAGTGCTGTGATTACAGGCATGAGCCACCGTGCCCGGCCTATAACAGTTTCTTATACATACGTTACTGGCCAGCAGTTTCAGCTAGCAACACAAATCAGGTGAGAGGTGAAGTGAGTGATAACCTCATTTCACCTTTCTCACTTGACACCTTTATCTGTTCTTTGTTATGGTTCACAGAGTGTTCTACTGATGTGTGAGTTCAGTCATGCTATAAACCTATTTTATTTTGTGGGCCTGTATTTCGTTATTGAACCACAGTCCTGGAGCCAGCCATCTTCTCCACAGATTAAGAGGCTGTTGCTAGAACTCCACCATCACCACCCATAGAAAAAGCACTTTAAATTTTCATGTTGTGGTAATGGGGTTTGAAAGGTTGGTAGCATTTTTGCATAAGCAGATCAGCCCATTCCCAAGCGGCTTTACACAGCCTCTGACAGTAACAAACCACGTTCTCATTGGTACCTTAAAGAGTTTAGGAGTCAAACCCAAGGATTTGTCCATGACTGAAATAAGAGCTTAATTATAAGTAATTAAGTCAGCAGATATTTGAGTACCTGTAAGCAGCAGGCGCTGTGCTAAAAAGTGGGGACACAGCAGTGAGCAAGATAGGCATGTGCTTATCCTTAGATAAACTTCACTTTTAAGACTACTACTGGAGCCTGAAAGAGGAAACAGATGTAGGGTGGTCAAAGGTGTGACCTAGAGGAGCCTGAAGAGCAGAAGTGCCCTGACTTGACCAACTCACAGCAGTTCAAGTAAGATCCTGTTGAGTTAGGTGTGCTATGATATCTGCCCCTTCACAGCCATACTGCACATGCAGGCTGTGTCACTTCCTAAAGAGGCGCCCACTCTGCTTGCTTCTCTACCCTGCAGTCCTCCTTTAAACCATCTGCCTAATCAGCTATGTATCTGTACTCCCTGTCCCTGTCCTCCGCCCAATTCTGTATACGTTTATTCTTTGCATAATTCTTAATAAGTAGTTGATTGGTGCCCTGTTTCTTAAGAAGTTTCATAATGGAAAGAGGAGAAGCTGATGAGGAGTCTGCGTGGAGAAGTGATGGTACCACAGAAGTGGAAGGAGGATTAGAAATGCCAGTCGATCAATCTGTGAGGGCTGTGGGAGATAACAGAAAAATGGAGGAAAAAAATCATAGATTATATAGCATGGTGTTCGTGGCTGGGATCACCAAATCCCTCTTACCCGGGGTAAAGGACTACATACAAGGCTGTGTTAACTTTCATTAACCTTGAAAGGGAAGAAATTTAATTTGAATTTACTGTGTGGCCGGCCCTCTTCCAAAAAGTTCAAGATGCACCTAATGCAAGAACTAATTCTTGTTCTTTTTGTCACTTCCAGATACCAAGGCTCAAACTGTTTAGCAGGAATCACTATCCTTCACCTGTACAAAGCATTCTGCCACACCAGGTTATAGGACAGATTGCCACCTTCTGTCTCCCCCCTCCTCCCACAGACTACCTACTAACAGTTCATTCTTCACTCACTTTTCTGTCTCTGAAACATCCCTTTCTTTAGTTTTCTCTAACCATTATTAGCACCTAATCCCACCCAGATTAAGGCACCTAGAGTGCCCCCAAGACACAAAGGTTTCAAGTCAGTGAAAGAAGGTCTGACCCTCCCCACAGATGGCTCACCTTTTTCAGGCAAATATGCTCCCAATGGTGGAAGCTAAGATGATCGCAAGGATAATACAGCAGATCATGATCATGATCTTCTTCTGCTCATCCAGACAAGGAAAGAAAGAATACATGAGAAACATCATCGCAAAAAGTATTCTGCAGGGAGATAAGTGCATGTGGACATGGAAGAGGGTGTGAAGGAAGAGAGCAACAGAAGGAAAAAGGAGATGGATCTGGCTTCTAGGACCCAGAATGCCAACAGAAATGTTATTTTTGGTGAGACATTCAAGTTAGATTAAAAGGATGTTTGGTATGGTCATTCCACCTTCTAGATAACATCGTGACAGATCTCCCCCATTTCCTCCTAAAGCCAGATACTCCCAAGGACTGAACCAAATTCTTTTGGGGGGAACACCTCAAATCTGAAACACAAACATAGTTACACTGCATTCTGTGGGAGTTAAACCATGTTCAAAAATTGCACTTTTGAACCATCTGATCCAGCACATGGCTTAAAAAGGTGTGAACTGCATTCTAAAACCTGAATAAAAATCACCACATGGTGGCACCAGATCATTGTGTTTCTGCATCGAGACAGAGCCAGAACCGTTTCACAATCAATACAAAGTCATTTTTATTTTTAAATTAGCAATAAAATAATCAAGTTTACATCTAAAAAATACAAACAACAACAAAAACCTTCACATGTTGTATTCCAAACTGTAAGCCCCAGGCCTCAATGTCAGAGGAGAGCAAAGGCCTTTAGTTATTTTGTCTCTTGTTGCTGGAGCCCATCCACTGTCTGACATCATAGCCATGGGCAAGAGGATATTGCCTTGGCTCTGTCTGAGTGCTGGATTGTGACCGGCCATAAGTAGCCTTTGCAAAGGAAGCTAATGGACAGTGCCTGAATTAAGGGTGCTTACCCTATCCTAGAAAGCGTTAAAGTCAAAGCGGAAAATATACATGGTACCCAAAATCAAGGAGACTGCCAGAGACCAGCAGGGGATCTAAGGGATTTACCACTGGGTTAGCACAGACACTACACTTGAAGATTTCCTAGCGGCTGCTGCTGCTGTTTCCATGATAAGAATTCAGTGAGACAAAGAACCTGCCAAGCTCATTAACCGAGTAGCAGGAAGAGCTACTGTGTAGCCTCTGGTGTTCCCCAACTGACTCAGCCCTGCAGATGGGACATCCTGTAGGTCATGTGAATATCAAGTTACTGAGGGATGTTCTCAGGACAAGCCTAGCATAGGCACCAGGTGGGAAAGGGTGTCAAAAAATTATACCTTCTGTCTGCTAAGCAGAAAAACTTAATTGGGATCAATTTAGCTCACTCCAGAGTTCTCATTTTATTCTCCCAGTATTCATCCAGAAAACAAGTTTCTTGATGATATGGGAAGATCACATTTCCACAGTGATTCATTTGCAGGTAAGCAAATGTCCTTTACCCAATTTTTATCCTAGCTCAAAGTTGGCTTTTTTTTTTTGAGGTCATAATAGCTTCCATTTTTATTTCCTACTTCCTGAGACACACACACTTATGTGTACATACATTTCATACACAATTAGAATACATCTGGAACACATGAGTGAATACACCAGTGTCATGAAATATTTCCAGAGCTTAGGATTCTAGCACCTTGTCCCTTGCCCAATTTAAAATCCCTGATTATTTTTGGCCCCAAGACAATAGTCTCACAAAGCATCACTTTCTAACAATGAGCAGCCAGTTTCTAAGACTCAGACATGGAAACATATTCCATACCGTCAGCCTTTTGCAAAGCATAACCTCAGATGACTGTATCATCCTGGTCCCTCCTTGAGTAAATATGAGAGACTACAACACAGAGAAAAATCAAAGTTGCCCCCCAAGCTGAACAACTAAGAGCTTAATTTAAGGCTGAATTTCAAACAAGTCAGCTCTTTAGACCAAAATGACATCTGCCAGTCCCTCATGTTTTCAGGACATACGGACAACAAACAGGATTGGCATCCTGCCAGGTAGAAGACTCAGATCCAAGCCTTCTTGTTGCCAAACTTAGAAGAATCATTCTGCTTTGTTAAAGATACTCCCCTAAAAAAATACATTGCAGTTTCTGGGAGAATACTCCATGAGGTAGAAAAATACAGCACCTTGGGAGAGTCTCACAAGAGCTTTCCCAAGTGCAAGGCATAATCTGACACACAACAGGGAGGAAGAAAGCTGGGTGGGTCCACACAGTCCAGGAGAAAAGGTACTTGAGAGCTGGTGGGGCAGGAGGAGGCTCTGGGGAGAACTCAGGGTCGCATCAGGTAGATCACATTCCCCCAGGGCTAGATTGTTAGCTGAGTCAGGTCCAAGGGTGGTTGCAAGGAAACAAAGGAACGGGTCGCACTCGCTCTCAGGAAGGCCATTCAGACTCCATTCTCATCTGAAGACAAGGGTGGCCACACCAGTCTGGAGTGAAATCAGTTTCTAGGAGGCAGGGAAAGGAGGAGCTGATCAGTACACAGGAAGAAGGCAAAGGGCAACAGAAGGAGTCAGCCACAAACCTGGAAGGTGGGGAGGAAAGACCAGAAATCACTATGAAATAGACAAACCCAGGACAGAACTTGGAGTTAAATATCCCACTGTACAAAGAACAAAAAGCCCTACTGTGAGAGGGGAAAAAAATAGAAAAGCCTCTAGGCCTTTTATAAGCCTTCTCACAGGCTGTCCACACCCATGGAAGGACGTGGTGGGAAGGGACAATCCCTAGTGAAAACACCTGCTCTGCAGGTCCCACAGCAACACCGCTCCTGAAGACAGGCTGCAGGAGCTGCTTTCTGGTTCTCGATCTTCATGAACTCCCTGCTGCCTTTCTTTTAGAAAACAGAAGGACACAATGAAAAGCCTATGGAAAAAGTTCAGGGGTCATATTATGGCTGCTCCACCTTATGAGCTATGTAGTCTTGGGCAAGTTCCTTAACTTCATTGCTCTTTCCCCGTCTGTAAAATGAGGATACTATGATCTTAGAGCAAGCAGCTGGCACATTACTAGGAAATATAAACACACTGTCTACCCTCCTGTTCAGAGACCTCTCTCCCTTGGGTGACATGGAGGAAGAGGAGAGTCCAGACCTAGGCAACAATCAGTCTTGACTTTGTTAGGGAACATGGAATACACTACAAAAAAAGCAGCTTAACAACTGCTCAGCAATTTAGCAGGTTAAAGATAGGGTTAGTCAACCAAAAACAACATATTAATTAGTCTGCTCCTCTTTGAGGAGTTACGTCCTGAAAAATGATTCATATACCTTCTGAAGTCCTGGAATTAGGAATAGAAAGGGGCACCACAAATTTGCATATCATCTTTCATCCAAGGATATGGAAAAATAACAACTCTTATATCTTTTTAAAATTTCAACATCTATTTCAATCAGATTGTTCAGAGCCAAACCAAAATTTAAAGTTCACATACAAAAAAGTCAAGGGCTAGACTCCAAGTGCCAGAAAAAAGAGGGGAAAAAAAAAATCAACCAACCACCTGTCTATGAGAGGTTGTTCATCTCACTGTTGCTTATCTTTCAAGATGAAGTTGAATGCTCAATGCTGTAATAAGCTGACTTTTAGATCCCCTGGTCACATGGAAGGAGGAGGAATAAGAAGAGACACACTGAAACAAATATAAAAGGAAGGCACAGCTCTGGGTACTGGCATGGTATTATGTGCCAAGTCTTAAAAATGTTTATACCTGTTATTTCAGTACTCCAACTTATATGAGTTGGTAATAAAGAGAAAATTTAAATGAGAAAAATATTAAATAAGGTTAGTCACACTGTTAGCTACAGCAAAATAACATAAACCTCCAACATTGTGAAAATGTTAAATATTTGAGAGTATGGCCACAATCTCATATTGAAAATTAGATTTACAAAGAGATTTTAATGCTGTGGAATGATGCTTATAATTTTCTAACTGGGTACAAAACTGGATAATATAGTCTGAACTATGTAAAACTATGTCTGAGTATGTGAACGTGCCACAAGGTTATCAGCAATAATATTAAAAGTTCATTAGTTTTATGTTTTCTGTATTTTATAGGTTTTTTTTTAACAATGCATGCTATATTTTATTCAGAAAAATATTTTAAAAGTCACTGGCTGGGCGCAGTGGCTCATGCCTGTAATCCCAGCACTTTGGGAGGCCAAGGCAAGTGGATCGCTTGAGTCCAGGAGTTCAAGACCAGCCTGGGTGACATGGCAAAACTCCATCTCTACAAAAAATATAAAAGTTATCTTGGCGTGTTGGTGTACACCTATAGTCCCAGCTACTCAGAAGGCTGAGGCGGAAGGATCACTTGAGCCTGGGAGGCAGAGGTTGCAGTGAGCTAAGATCGCACCACTGCGCTCCAGCCTGGGCGACAGAGCAACACACAATCTCAACAACAAAAAAAAATTGTTTGTTTTAAAGTCACAAAAGTCTTAATAGTCCCAATAACCAGATTGATATGCTCACTACTATTAAACGTGATTCAGGCCGGGTGCAGTGGCTCACGCCTGTAATCCTAGCACTTTGGGAGGCCGAGGCGGGTGGATCACCTGAGGTCAGGAGACCAGCATGGCCAACATGGTGAAACCTCGTCTCTACTAAAAATACAAAAATTAGCCGGGCGTGGTGGCAGGCACCTATAATCCCAGCTACTCGGGAGGCTGAGGCAGGAGAATCGCTTGAACCCAGGAGGCGGAGGCTGCAGTGAGCTGAGATCGCGCCACTGCACTCCAGCCTGGGGGACAAGAATGAGAAACAAACAAAAAACAACAACAACAAAAACGTTTTTTGTTTGTTTTGATTCAGGCCGGGCGCAGTGGCTCACGCCTGTAATCCCAGCTTAGGCGGGCAAATCACCTGAGGTCAGGAGTTCAAGGCATTCTGGCCAACATGGCAAAACCCCATCTCTACTAATAATACAAAAATTAGCTAGGCGCTGTGGCATGTGCCTGTAATCCCAGCTACTCAGGAGGCTGAGGCAGGAGAATTGCTTGAATCCAGGAGGCGGAGGTTGCAGTGAGCCGAGATCATGCCACTGCACCCCAGGCTGGGAGATAGAGCAAGACTCCGTCTCAAAAAAAAAAAAAAACCAGTGATTCAGTGGTAAGTCTATCACTTTTAACAAATTTTCAAGAAAATGAATAGTCTAAATTTTAGCATCGCTATCCTCTAAGGTTCTCCAGGCTTTATAGTTAATGATAAGTGGCTACCTTCTTTTACAAAGAGAAGCTAGGTCCACTATTAGCTGTGTGAACTTGGCCCTGTTATTCAACATTCTCTTTGACTGAGTTTCTTTGTCTGTAAAATGTGCATAACACTGTATCTGTCTCAAAGGATGTTGTAAGGATTCAATGATATGTGTATAAGGTGTTTAGTACATTGTCTGGTACAACACAACACTCAAAAGTGTGTTAACTATCATCATTTAAGACCCAACCACTCAGCAACAGAGAAAACTCTGCAGATCCAAATCCCAATTCAGAGTTTCATTTACATTGAAAAGGATACAGAAAGTAAAGCCCAACATCCATGAAAATCAGTAAGAATTCAGAAGACAGACTCCAGATCCAAGACAGAGATGTACCCAACTTAGAAGCATGCTTCCTGAGTAAGGGGAGTCACCTGGGGTGCTCAGGTATGCTGGGAGAAGTGGTAATACGACAAGACAGAGATTGGGGACAGAATCTACAGGATAAGAACAAACGGAGAGCTCATCCACGTACTGCAGCCAGAAACCAATAGAACTATAAGGAGATAAAGAATCCACAGGCTACTGAAAGTTTTAGAAAGCTCAGTGTGTCCAAGGACAATCATAGGGGGAAAGAAGAGGAATTTGAAATCCCAAGCTAATTTCCTCTTGAGGAGCCAAATCCAGAGTCCCCAAGAACCACTCGTTTACTTACATTTCAGTGCAGCAGCCTCTTAGGCCACTCTTAATTCAGCCCAACGGAAAGTCCAATAATCAATGCTAAAATGCCCAGCAACACAACTACTAGCACAATGATAATTATCAATTTCTGGAGAGAGGAATAAGACAAAAACAAATCATTATTACAAACAACCAAAAAAATAACAACTCATCCAAAACCTAACCCCTGTCACCTCTACATAGAAAATATCTTACCAGTCTGAGTAAGAGGCCTACATCTCTACATACAGACATCCTTCTAGGATACTTCATTTATTTTTAAGACAGGGTTTTTCTCTATCACTCAGGCTAGAGTGCAGTGGCATGATCATGGCTCACTGCAGCCTCGACCTCCTGGGCTCAAGTGATCCTCCTGCCTCAGCCTCCTGAGTACATAGGACTACAGGCATGCACCACCATGCTCAGCTCATTTTCTTTATTTTTGTAGAGACAGGATCTTCCCATGTTCCCCAGTCTGGTCTCAAATTCCTGGGCTCAAGCAATCCTCTCACCTCGGCCTCCCAAAGTTCTGGGATTATAGGTGTGAACCACCACACCCAGCCTAGGACAGTTTAAATTTCTTAAATTACTTCTAGGCTAGGAATGCCAGCAGAGGGAAATATGGGGCCTCTCTCAGCTCTCAGCTCACACTGCAGTTCTGTATATGTGGACAGATAGAATCAGAGCCACTATCGTGGGGTCTCTAAGGAGCAGTTGGCCAAGATAAAAAGTCACTGACTGATTTTTTCCATTTTAAGAGGGAATGTAAAGGCATTTTTGATAGAGTTCTAATTTCCTACTTTTGCCCATACTCCTACCTGTCAGACCCAGTACACTGCCTGGATATCAGAAAATGCCACCCAGCCTGGATTCACCATGTAAAATAACTTCCCAGTCCCCTAAATCCCTGCATAAGCAATAGGTAAAGTTGGATGAAAAACAAAGAACTAAACAACAACAATATCAGAGCCCAAGAGAACCAGTCAAAGGAGAGAAGTCTAAAAAGCAGACGCCACCAGAGCTGGATAACCACAGTCGTGAGCACAGAAGCCTAGAAGTCCTTAAGCGGCAGGGGCACCAGAGGGTGGGCAAATACAGTGGTGTGGTAGAAACAGAATGATTGGGATCTGAACTTGAATCCCAGTGCCTCTACTTACTAGGTGGCCTGAAGCCAGTTACTGAGCCCCTGACCCTCAACTGTCTCATTTATAAAGTAGAAATAACAGGTGCTCCATCAGATATGACATAATGTATAGATAGCAGTTAGCATGAGCTAGGTACAAGGTAGAGAAAAAGAGAAGGGAGGCGGAGCTTGGGCGCCTGGAGTGGAAGACAATGAAGAGAAGGTTTCTGAACAGAGGAGTCAAGTGTAACATCTGAAAGCCTCATGAGCTAAGTCCAGGAGAAGATTAGCAGCACCACCTGGGCCATGCATCCATCCTACAGAACTGCCTTTCAAGTGTGGGTTTTTGGGGAGATAGCTTGTGAGCCAGATCCATGCAAGGCACACCTGGGAAGGAAGGGCAGGCAGCTTGTCTCTAGGAAAAGCTGAGGGAGGGGTTGATGAGGCTACGACAGGGAGGGAGGCATGGGCTCAAGAACACAGGTAGGGGTGGCCAGGGAGAAGAGATACTAGTAAGACAGCTGAGACGAAGGACAGTTGAGATGAAGGTGCTCACCCTCCGGGCTTCACTCTGATACTTGACAGCCTTTTTGGTATCTGCCACGGCCCGCTCCACAAAGCCCACTGACTGGTCCATGTTGTTCTCAATACGGTCAATCATGGATCCCTTTCCCCAGATGCAAGAGGTGGTGGCAGCAGAAACAGAGACAGGGAGAGGGAAGAGAAAGAGCGAGACACAGCAAACAAAATGGACTCTCTTCTCTGAAGGCCACAGGAGAGTCTCACCTTCCGGGCCTGACTCTGGTATTTCACAGCTTTTTTCGTTTCATCTCGTGCCTTCTCCACGTGGTCCACTGTGTGCATGACATTCAACTCTATGTTATCTAACATCTCACCCTGCAAAGAACAGACTCTGATCACACCAAGTAAACGTCTCAGGTCAGTCCTAGCCAATGCGGGGAAGGGATTCTCTTTCTTACAATCTTCAGTGGCAAGAAGAGCATCCACAAACCTTGATGCATGGCCTTCCATAGGACACCCATTCACAGTCCTTGGTGGTGGGGTGGCAGTCACTTGTTCAAGAAACATTCAGTGAATTTTACTACTTCTCTGTGACCAGCACTCCACCAGGCATCCAGAACATACTATCTAGATACCTAGTAACTACCTATAAATATACTCTGAGATATCCCCAGACAACCTTTGTTATTTTTTTTACACTTAAGCACATGGAGAGGAACCAAAATAAGGATATCTCATTGTTATTAGGACATCACTAGGATGCTGGCCTCTTCCTGGTCATTCAGACCTGAATCAACATCATTCAGCCTGAATTGAGTATATTCACTAACTGCAGAAGAGTGCCTGGCACACAGTAGGTGCTCAATAACTATCTGAGGTGGGGAACATTTGCTTTCTCTAAGTTATTTCCAGGCCCTTTAACTGACAGACATTGGGTTTACCCAAGCTATTTGGTTATATTTTCCCTTCCAGACAGTGGTCTCTTGATAAGCTTCCCAACCATTTCCTAGCAATCACTTCCTGACAGGGAAGTTTGATCATTCCAATTAATCTTAGGCATTTTAGGAATTCTCCTCAACTACCCAACCCAACTCTATCACTTTATGGCAGTCTGTAAACAGAACAAGGCACTTACCACCACTTGAATCTCAAGCCAGTTCCTCGGCAAGGCAGTGTGGGGGAAAAGAAGAGGTGGGATGGAGGGACTTGAGAAATGGTCTCAGAGGCCAGTAGGGAATGGGGGGAAAGCATCCAGGCCCTCGGCAGGGAACCAATGTCAAAAACTAGTCAAGCTGTGCTCGAGCTTCAACTAGGTTGTGCAGTCTGCCTACTATGGAAGCAATTTTCTCTCCTATCCCAAGTGTCAGAGCAGCTGGAAGTTCATGGCAACAGTGCACAGCACCATGACCCTGTGGCACACTTAACTGTCCCATAAGAACTAGGAACCATCTAACTATGCGAAACTAGCGCCCTATGCAGGCAATCCAGAATTCTATCCCGAGCAAGCATGCCTGGGACAAAGTAAGCTGTCAAACTAGCACCACGAGTGTTTCGAGTCTTTCTGTCAATGCTATTTTGCTACTCCTTCATTCATGTTGTTGTCTGCTCTGTGCCTTAGCAAAAGGTGCCAAAATTAAAAAAAAATACAAACAGAAAAAAAATGGAAAAAAATAAAAATTTATGTTAAACCTGAGTCTTCCCTGTGAACTAGAGAAAAGATCACATTTTCAATGTCATCAGTGAACTAGTCCATATCAGGAGGCTGTTTTAAAACGTCACCATTAGGAGCCCGGATCTCTGATTTTTAAGAAAGAAAAAAAGACAAATCCTGGGAGGATTGCTTGATCCTGGGAGGTCAAGCTGCAGTGAGCTGTGATCACGCCACTGCACTCCAGCCTGTGCAACAGAGCAATACTCCATCTTAAAAAAAAAAAAAAAATCAAAAATCCAGGAAAACTGGGTACTTGACAGAACACATCAAACCCTGTATCAACTAGCAACGACTGCAAGGCCAAAGGGACAGGCAAGAATGACAAGGTTAAGATCACCCAAAGTGTCAACATTCAATTTGAATGCACACTTTCCCATGGGATTCTGTTTCTCCTTTATGCAAATTCCCAATGGTTCTCCCACCCTACCTCACTGGCTTCCAGTATTCCCTTTCTCCCTGTTCTCAGTAGACCCTGAGCTTTCCTCTCCTCCCTCCCCACGCTGGGACTCACTGCCACTTACCTGATTCTCCACCAGCATGGCGATGTCCATAAACATGTCGTGAAGCTCCTTGATGCTGCTCTCCAGCCTCACAATGTCCTTGTGTCGTCCCTCAATCTCACTGAGGGCTTGCTTGGAAATCTGTGAGTCAATGATCTACAACAGGCCACACACAGACTGTTAGCTACCCCTGCAAGAAAGGCTGCCCCTGCCACAGCCCTCATGCACGCTCCTGGGGAGCTCCTTGCCTCCCTGAACTCCCTGCACCTGCAGCTCCCCCTCCACCTGCTGGACTGCATGAGCTCCGCAGTGGCCTCCCTGCTCACGAGAGGGATGTGCTATCCGAGCACACAGGGCACTCACCCCAGAAGTGAAGATGGCCGGGTTGCCACTCTCCAACATCTCCTCCAGCTCCTCATCGGTTGTCTTTTTGCCAGCTTTGTAACAAAAGAAGTAGAGCGTCAAATATAAGATCACGGTGAAACACCATCTGATAAGGACCCTGAAAATTAGGAACGTGACTTCCCTATAAAGACCGTGGCCTTTACAACACTCCCCCAATTGCCTCCTGACTCATCTTATTTCTGCCCTAATCCAAGCCATCCTTAACACTATCAGCAGTTACCTTCCTAAAGCACTTATCTCATTACATTGCTTCCCAGCTCAGAACATTTCCTTGCCCCATTCACTACACTATGGTGTCCAAGGCCCTCATAACATGCTAGTTCATGGGCAAGCCCTCCCTCAATCCATCCTAACCTTATGCTACTCCAGACACACCCTTTCTCCAGACCCTAGACAACCTGCCACTCCTAAACACACTTGCTCTTTCTTGATTATGTTCATACCATTCCTCTCATCCAAAGCACCTTCCACTCCACGGGGCCCTGCCTTCCACATTACTACATTCCTAAAGGGTATGGCTTTATTTATTTCTCTAATCCTCCCAGCAACTTACACCATACTTTTATCCTCCCAGCAACTTACACCACACTTTTTATTTCTTAAATGTGCTTTGCTGTCAAACAGACAGCAAAATGATACAATGAGTCCACAAGAGAGCAACTGTTTGGCAAGCATTTCCCCTCTATATAGGAGACAATGCTGGACCCCATACAATAAAATTACTTGGGCCTGATAAACACGGTGTCACCTTTCAGCCTACAGCACAGCATTCGGGATGTGCCAGTGGTGCAGGAGCTGCCCTAGACTTAGGCACAAAATGTGCTTCCTGCTTGCTCCACCAGGGCCTCAAAACTTGGGATGGACAACCAGGTGGCAGGAAAGGTGGAGGGCACACGCCAAACCTCAAGTACATACTAATTTCGAGCTGCCGCTGGATTCGCCCTTTGCTGCGTTCTCGGAAGTCCACTTGAGCTTCATTGTATTTGGTCATCACCTCCACAAACTTCCGAGAAAGGACAGAGTGCTGTGGGATGATGTAAAATGCAGTCAGGCCCCAGTGGTTCTGTAACTGTTATAGAACCCCTCCCCACCCCCACATAGCCATCTACAATAGCACTGGACTTGGAATCAAAAAACCAGGTGTCAAACCAAGTTTTTTGTTTCCTAGCTTTGTGCCACTGGGAGAGTCCACTGCCCTTTCCAGAGCATGGTTTCAGCACCAGTTTACTGAAACCGGTTTACTGCTGACCTCACGTGGTAATTGCGAGGCCAGAGGTCATCTCTAAATCTCTGAGCCCTACATCCACATGGACTAGTAGCATTTTTCTGGCACAACACTTGGCTTGCATTCTAAAACTGTCAGATTCCCTTCCCACATGTCATACTTACCAAAGATCCTTGAGTTCTTACGCTAAACTCATCTCCCCAACTCTTCTTGCTTATAAGTAGATGCATTATCTCAACAGCCCTGCATGCCTAAGCTAAAACCTTCCTAATAATTTTTATTCCTTGCTCACCTCTCAGCATCAAGCCCTACTTACTGGTTTCTCCTTTGGAAAATCGCCAATATATATACTTTTTCCAAACCCACTACCACCATACAAATTTAGACCAAAACCCTTGCAAAAACCTAACTAGGGACCTTCCAGTTTCCTGCTTCTTTCCCACTTGTAAACGGCTTTCAAATGGCTACCATAATAATCCTCCTAATATACTGCCGCCTGAAGCAAATGCCTGTAAGTTATAACATCAGATCCAAATTCCCCAGACTGGTCCTCAAAGACCTCTAGAATGTGGCACTACATTATCTACTAAAAATTATGTGTCCACTATCCCACAGCAAACTTTTTTCTACAGAAAGCCTATTGTCTTCACGTCTGCCCCTTACGTCTACCCACCACCACTACCAACCACTGCTGCCAACACACACATATGTGCGTGCCTCACTCCTGCCCCTGTGCCTCTCAGAGAGGGGAAACTACTTCCTGAGGCTGCTCATGTTGGCACTCTGGCCCAGCCTCCTCTGGCTACCCCCCATTCTTCCTGAGATCTTTTGATGCTGAGAGCACCATGCATGTGTCTTCTTATCGCATCCTCCTGCTGGGTCGCATCCTCCTGCTGGGTCTTAGGTAATAGCTTTCCATGCCGCTTCAATGGCATGCCAGTTCTTTAAGGACAAGGATCCTATCTTTGATGACCCCTAAAGTGCCTAGCTCCAAACTGGACAACCAATGACTAACAATTGTTAGAAGACATTAATTTCCTCTCCTGTAAAACAAGAAGGCACGCTAAATCCTAAGCTGTGCTCTAGGAAGCCTGAAAAGCTCTTCAGGGGCCTCCTTAGAGAAGGAGAGTACAGGAGAGGAGCCAAAAGGGCTGGACTCTGGCCCTGACCCCTATTTCAACCTGGAGAGTTCTCCTTTACCAGGTCTTCAAATTGAGTTTCAAAATAAGGATTGTATTAAAAAAAAAAAATCCCTCCACAGTTAAGGGAAAACAATAAGAGATTGGACTAGCTAATCATGAGACCAGGAAAAGTCTTACCTGGGATTTCCGAATCCGAAGGTCTGCCGATGACCTGACCTCATCTTCTTCAATATGCTTCTCCATGCCTAAAGAGGAGAGGAAGGTTATACTTGCAACCTATCTCCGCCTCCAAGAAACATGCTATTCAGTGAAACTTCCTCACTCATTCCCACACATCCAGCCCACGGAGATGTAACAGGTAGGTGTCACCTCAAAAGGTCAGCTCCCAGATGAGCCACAGGACGTGCATTCCACAGCCTTTACGATGACCAGGTTTTGGCATAACAGTTAACAGCATGGGTTCTGGTCACCATGAGACTTAGGCTTGAATCCTTGCCCTGGCACTTACTGGGTGTGACTTTGAAAAAGCCACTTAACCCCTCTTAATGTACCTGTTCTCTCATCTGTAAAACAGAATAACAGTCCCTCCCTCACAATACTAATGTGAAGATTAAATGAGAAGACACATAAAGTGCCTAGCACAATGGCAGGTGCACTATCACTGTTATTACTGGAATCTGCTACTAATGACTCCTCCAGTTAAAATAGTTATTGCAATATACTTGGGGGGAAGAAATGGTAAATTGAGCTGAGCAATAATGCTTTCTCTTCTGATCAATAGCATGCATGCACCAAATACACTGGGCAAGAATGCAGGCTCTAGCAACAGAACTAAGTAAACCTTCTAGGCTCTGGAAGAACTGAATCTATGACAGTAGCTTCATTGAACTATACTCTCCCAAATGGGGGGAGTGAGGGTATGGGAAGGTGGTATGCCTAGCCCACCAAGAAATATCTGTAGACTGAATGATATCTCTTGCATTTATATATCTCTAAAATGACTATTCAAATGTATGTAGGTGGCCGGGCATTGTGGCTCAAACTTGGAATCCCAGCGATTTGGGAGGCCCAGGCAGGTGGATCACTTGAGGCCAGAAAAGTTCGAGACCAGCCTGGCCAACATGGCGAAACCTCGTCTCTACTAAAAATACAAAAATTGACTGAGCGTGGTGGTGCATGCCTGTAATCCCAACAACTTGGGAGGCTGAGGGATGAGAATCACTTGAACCCAAGAAGCAGAGATTGCAGTGAGCCAAAATTGAGCCACTGCCTTCTGGCCTGGGCAACAGAGCAAGATTCTGTCTTAAAAAAAAAAAAAAAAGTATGTAGTTGCCAGGGAAATAAGACCAATAAGAGAAAAGTTGATGGGCCAGGTGCGTCCCAGTTACTCAGGAGGCTGAGGCAGGAGAATCACCTGAACCCAGGAGGTAGAGGTTGCAATAAGCCGAGATCACACCACTGCACTCCAGCCTGGGGGACAGAGTGAGACTCCGTCTCAAAAAAAAAAAAAGAGAGACAAGTTGAAAGACTAAGTTAAAGGACCAAGTCACAAAACTACTCAGCAGCTGAAAGCACATTTTAATTCTCATCTCCTAGCTTCAATTCTGGACTCTTTCCAGTACAGTCAGGATTTAAGAAAAGGTAAATTTCTGGGGCTACAATGGATCATTGCGGGGACAGAGCCCAAACCACAAGCAAAGATGGACCAAGTGGTGTCACTTCCATCAAGAGGAGTTTCAGTTCGGAAAGCTGGACCCTAGGGGAGCTGAGATAGATGGTGGTGGGGACGGCCTTGTTTTCTTTGTTCCCTTCTTACTCTTCAGTTTGTTCCGGACGTTGTTGGCCCTTTTCTTAATCTCAGTCGTGAGCTGCTCTAGGTCATCCTTGGTTTCTGGGTAAATAAAGGCAGGCAGAATCCGTTAGAAAGGAGAGGACTGATTCCTTTGTGAACTACAGCAATCATCATCAGAGGAGGGGAGCTTTATCGGGCATCCACTGCCCAGAATGGTATTTATCCCTACGCACTCCCCAGCATCTGTCATTAGAATCACAGAGTGCTTATTTTTTTAAAGGCATTTTCCAGGCACCCCATCTCAGTCTACAGAATAAAAATACCCAGGGTTGGAACCACAAAATCAGCTCTTTCAACCCTCCTGAGTAATCCTGCAGCACATAAAATTGTGGAAACTCTGCTTTTAGAGGAAAGAGCCTACCACGGGAGCTTCGGTTGAGAAGGTTCTAGGGAGCTTATGGGGAAAATAGATTTCAACCAAGGCTAATCAACTTAAAATGAGGCAAATATTTATGACATACCTACTACACACATCCTAGGTTGTATGGAGCAAACTAAGTGTTAGCTATAACCATTCATTCAAAAGCCATCCTTCAGCCCCTACTACAACTTTGGAACAGAGCTAGAAACTATGGAATCAGAAAGAAGATCTAGATTTTTCCTGCAAGGTGTTAGAGTCTAGTGGGAGACAAAGGAGAAATAAATCAGCAGCTCTAATATGCAGCGTGGAGTAAGGTATGAGTTCTGGTCAAGGTGTGCACAGCCTGGAGGGATCTGGAAAAGCCTCTAAAGATGGAGATGAGCAGGACTGAGTCTCAAGGACTGTGAGTTGGCCAGGTAGAGAAAGAGACTAAAAGCAGGAATTCCACGAGAAGAAACAGTAAGTAAAGGGTATGAGTGAACAGGAAATGCCTGGGGAACCAGACAGAGTTGCTCTGGCTGAAGCGTGGGAAGCAGGAGGAGGATGGCAGGAGACAGGCTGGCTGGGAAGGCAGGAATGTGATCAAGACAATGCCCATATGCTCTGCTAAAGTGTTCCCACTTCAGTCTTTAGGTAAGAGGGCCCATGGGAAAAATGAAAGAGTGGAATGACAGTGTCAGGCTTGTTCCCTGTTCTTAAGGAACCAAAAATATAGCCCTAAACCACCCGTGTCCAAACCGTGGAACGCACGGATTTTTTTGCTTATCTGTAGTGGCAGATATCAGGAAAATTATGCACAAACCTTTCTTTCAGCGCTTCAGCTATCGTTAGTGTTAGTGTATTTTATGTATGGCCCAAGACAATTCTTCTTCCAATGTGGCCCAGGGAAGCCAAAAGGTTGGACACCCATGCAAACAATTAGGGGAGAAAAAACGTTTGCCTAGGTGGTGGTAACAAACAGGAGTTTAGGGATAGAAGGAATTTCTGTGAACTCGAACCATTTTGGAACACCTCATGGAAAGAAAAAATGGACTTGATCTGGTAGGATTCAGAAAGAGGGCTAGGAAAAGCAGTTCAGGCTGGGGAAATAGTACACGCAGAGGCTCAGAGGAGGGACAGGGCACAGGGTATGTAAGCAGCAGTGGGAATCGTCGCCAGTCAGGAAGAGGGACTAGCTGGGAAACAGGAAAGTCTAGCTAAATGGTTGGAGTGGGACCATGAAGACAAAACCTTGACTGTGGCCAGGCAGTAGGAGCTCAGGTAAGGTAAAGGGGAGGGAAATGAGATAATATGTACACTAGTGCCCTGTAACTTGTACACTTCCCTACTGCTCACGAAGGGCAAGAAAACAAGGCTGGCTCAGCTCCAAGGAAAGGGTGATTGTTGGATGACTCAGTTCTAAGTAAACACTCACTTGGCTCTGGAATCGGTGCAGAGAGAATGATACTGTAGAGTTTCTTAGCCTCCTCTACATGTTCTGAGATCTTGTCAATGTTAAGCCGAGTTTCCTCAATCTATAATCAGAAAGACAATAACCTTCATCATCAAAGAGGAAGTACAGGTCCATGGCTGAGATAAACGTTTGGCAGAGCTGCTGGTGAAAGCTGCCCATCTTCTGGGTTTGTGGAAGAAGATAATGACTTAAAGTCCTCAGCTGCCCAGTGAGTACCCTTTCCATGGTCAGATAAAGTAATCTCAACAGAACAGTTGTTAAAAATCCATACTTGTTGCTCCCTAAGAGTAATACATTCACCCACTTTGGATGAAAGGATTCAGGCCAAAGTCAAGAAGAGCTAAGAAAAACCATGAAGAATGATCAGAGGGGGAGAATCAGCAGACCTTAGCAGGCAGAGCCTTAAAGCCCAAAAAGTGAGAACAGAAAAGAGTGAGGATGAAGGAGAGGGGAAAAAGGAAGGAAGGAAAGAAAGAAGTGAAAGGAAAAGAACAAACCTAGAGAGTGAAAAACACAGAATGAGAGGAAGAGAAAGACAGAAACAGATAGGCCAGGCGCGGTGGTTCATGCCTGTAATCCCAGCACTTTGGGAGGCCGAGGCAGATGGATCATGAGGTCAGGAGATCAAGACCATCCTGGCTAACACAGTGAAACCCCGTCTCTACTAAAAAATGCAAAAAAAAAAAAAAAATTAGCCTGGTGTGATGGTGGGCGCCTGTAGTACCAGCTACTCGGGAGGCTGAGGCAGGAGAATGGCGTGAACCCGGGAGGTGGAGCTTGCAGTGAGCCGAGTTCGCACCACTGCACTCCAGCCTGGACGACACAGCGAGACTGCCTCAAAAAAAAAAAAAAAAGAAAGAAAGAAACAGATAAAGAAAACAAGGAGAGAAAAAGAGAGATACTAGGCAATGAAGGTCTCAGGAGACAGCCCAAGCTTCTCTAGGACACATATGTTCTTGTACTAACTGATTTCCTCAGACGATCAGGACCCAGTAGCTCGAGCCACAGCCCATTTCTGCATATTTCTAAGGCTCCTGATTGTACAAGGCTGTGAGTATCATAAAATATTTCCAGCAGCACTTCATTCCCAGGTAGAACGCCACTGTCAGACATTCCTGTGTGAGCTTTGACTGCAGCCTCAGCTCCCCGCTTCATAGGTGCCCATGCCACTGGTACCACAGCCCTGCTGCAGTGGAAGCCTATGTACAGGGAGCAGGGCAGGAAGGAGAGACCTCAGCACCTGTAGGGTCTATCTGCTTCACTCTCAAAGTGAAGGGCACATCAACATTGCAACAATTGACAAACAGAAATCTTGTAAAATGTCATACAGTAGGATCCTAACATCTGAGATGCAACAAAAATAAAACTCAATGCATATGCAGCTTCCAGCATCCCTCTTTTCCTGTGGACACTTCACCTTTTTCAAAACCTGATTATAGCTCTTCATATTCAATAGAAAATAGGAGAGGCCAGGCACAATGGCTCACACCTGTAATCCCAGCACTTTGAGAGGCCGAGGCAGGCAGATTACTTGAGCCCAGGAGTTCAAGATCAGCCTGGGTAACATGGCAAAACCCCGTCGCTACAAAAAATACAAAAATCAGCCAGGCATCGTGGCATGCCCCTGTAGTCCCAGCTACTCAGGGGGCTAAAACGGAGGATCCCTTGAGCCTGGGAGGTTGAAGCCACAGTGAGCCATGATCATGCCACTGCATTTCCCGCCTGAGCAACGGAGTGAGACTCTGTCTCAAAAACAAACAAAAAAAAAGGGAAAAGAAAGAAAATAGGAGAAACAATACTTGAGCTCTCTAGCCCTCAAATCAGTACTTTTGCCACTGGAGCACAGGATTTTCCCCTCTATAAATATATTGGCTTAGATGTGCCAGAGTTTAAGAGTAGAGCTGCTTGCTGAAAGATGTAGAATAAAATTACAATGTAATAATATCATGGGAGTGTAAACATACATACAGGTAACTACCCAAATATTTGTGAAGCATTTTAAGAGTTTACAAAGCAACCTATAAGACTGGACCAGTACCATTATTCAAATGAGGAAACAAGTTTAAAGAAATTATAGGTCACATAGCTAGTGGTAGGGACAGCATGCAAATAGTGCCCTCCACACTCCAACTGGGAAGCTTTTTTCCATTAGATTGAAGAGTTAATTTTTTTAATTATCTGTACTGTTTAGCAGCATTCCAGCCCTACCCAGCTATAAAAAAGGCCTCTGTTACAACCTATGATACTCACTGATACAGTTTGGCTCTGTGTCCCGACCCAAATCTCATCTTGTAGCTCCCATAATCCCCATGTGTTGTGGGAGGGACCCAGTGGGAGACAATCGAATCATGGGAGTGGGTCTTTCCTGTGCTGTTCTCATGATAGTAAGTCTCACAAGATCTGATGGTTTTAAAAACAGGAGTTTCCCTGCACAAGCTCTCTTTTTGCCTGCTGCCATCCATGTAAGACGTGACTTGCTCCTCCTTGACCTCTGCCATGACCGTGAGGCTTTCCCAGCCACGTGGAACTGAAAGTCCATTAAACCTCTTTCTTTTGTAAATTGCCCAGTCTCAGGTATGTGTTTATCAGCACCATGAAAACAAACTAATACACTCACAGACTCTAGGGGTGTGACCACCTCAGAATCTACTGGCCCCTCTTAGAACTCATGTCATTGCATCACACCATGGTTTCCAGTTCCACCACATAACTGTCTTGCCAAAGCAATTACACTGTTTTACAGGATTGAGGGAGGGAAAAAGGCTTTCTAGAAGAAAACACACTAAACATTTTTAAATGAGTTTATCAAATTTTAAATTTTAACAAGTCATGAAGGACTTAGATTTTGCATGTTCAACAGATTGGTTGTCACAGAAATTCTCTCATCTGGAAAATTATTTTATAAACTGAAGAGTATTCTGACCCAAAGTTCAGTCAATGGTAGAAGCACAGGAAGAGATAGGAAGTTTCTAGGATGAGACTGGCAGGCCTCAGGCTCAGTGTCACTACAGGCATTTGGAGACTGGATGGCTGATACTCACCCTGCCCTATGCACAGGAGAACTGGTCCTGGGTGCTCTATCCGCAACCTGCCTACGGGACTTCCCAGGCCCAGGGAGCACTCCATTCCACCCCACCCATCCTCCACCCACTGTAGCTGGTCTCTTTCCTCTGACCGCATCAACCTTTCTATTTGGAGGCATTTCAGGGAATCTGATTTCACAGCAATTTAGTCAGTTCACCAAATAATCACAGGACCTTTTTGGGACCTCAGGATGGGCAAGTGGCCAACCATAGAGCTTTCTTTTTTTGAACTTCGTGGCTTTGCTTTTTCTTAGAAGTACTGGTTTTCCTCAAAGGTGACTTTCTGAGTATTTAATGGTGTGAAATGGCAGCTACATGTGGTTTCCTTTTGTGCATTTGCCACATAATCAAAAAATCATGAGGCAATTGCAGGGAAGGGGTATAGGAAACTGACAAGTGCCCAATCTAAAAGTTTAAGGGCTATTGCATGTGTTTGTCTGGGGTTAAGTATACTGACATCTAAAATTACTCTGCATATTCATATATTTAAGAACTAAAATTGACTAAACATATTCTTGTATCAGAAATGATGCTATGCACTTCACAATACTTCTATGAGGCTACCATCATCATCTCCTTTTTATACATATGAGAATATCGAGTCTCAAAGAAGTAGAGAAATTTACTCCAGGTTATACTGCAGAAAGAGGCAAAACTGAGGTTTGAACTCAGGAATACTAAATCCTGTCTCCTGAACCAGGTAAACGCCTAAGGAAGGCTCCTATATCTTCTCTCCCAAGTTCATGCATATTCAGCTCACATCAGGTTAATGTGCATGTTCAATCCACTGTTTTGGGAGAATGGATCAGTTGCCTTTCACAGAGATCATCCTTATTTCTCTGTCTTCTCACCACCGCTCCCTATAGAAAGCTTTTTACAAAATGAGCCCTCAAGAAGTATTGCTGACCAAGTGTTGACATCTAAAAGTGTTTTTTTTTAAATCACCATGTAAAATTTACAGCTAATATATTCCCAGTGCCTTCTCATTGCACATTGTTTATTAATTTTTTTTTTTTGAGACAAAGCCTTGCTCTGTTGCCCAGGCTAGAGTGCAGTGGCATGATCTTGGCTCACTGCAACCTCCACCTCCCGGGTTCAAGTGATTCTCCTGCCTCAGCCTCCCAAGTAGCTGGGATTACAGGCACCCGCCACCACACCAACCTTTTTTTTTTTTTTGTATTTTTAGTAGAGACAAGGTTTCACCATGTTGGCCAGGCTGGTCTCTAACTCCTGAGCTCAAGTGATCCGCCCACCTCGGCCTCCCAAAGTGCTAGGATTACAGGTATGAGCCACCAGGCCCAGCCTAAAATGTACTTTTCAATGCTTTGTTAGTAATACGGGAATCCAGATAATATAGGATTTAAGGAATTAAGATCAAACAGACCAGGTTCCAGTTTCTGCTCCATCTCTCTTAGCAGTTTTATGACCTTGAACGCACCCTGTAAGTGTCCCTAAGCACCAGTTCTCTCATCTGTGAAATGAGAATTATCACAACTCCCACTTTAGAGTTTTTGTGAAGATTAAATTAGACAATACATGCCAAATGTTTAACATAAAGTACATGTTCAATAAATGTTAGGTGATGACAATGATAAATACAAAAATGCCAGCAATTACTGCACATTTGTCATATGCCAGGTACTATGCAGTGCATTTACAGGCATGTCTCATTTAATCCTCATAGCAATCCTGTAAAAAAGTCTTAATAAAACAGTCTGACCTCATCAGTAGCCACCCAAGGAAATCTAAGGTCAACACCCAAGTCAATCACTCTACATGTTGGGCGTGGCCAAATATAATTACTATATTATACTAATAACTATAACTAAAAGGAAGGAGTTATTTTCGAGATCTGGATGGCCTCTTCCTTCTGGACCTAATTAGCCAGTGGAATCTAATTAAACAAGGAAAAGCAGAGAAAGTACTAGTTTGTGGAACTGGCAGGTTGCATGGGGTAAGATGGAAGGCTAAGCAAAAAAGCTCTGTTTATTCTCCCTAAGAATTAGTCTCGGCCTCTCCTAAACTCCCAGGTACCTTGTACCTCTAGTTGAGCATTAATTGCTGCATATTTACGTATTGAAAACTTATTGCGAGGTGACAAGAGCAATGTGATTTTAACTGTCAAATGATCCCTCCTTTTCACAATTTATACACCTTCACTTTCCCCAAAAAATGACAGAATCCCAAGCAGTCTTCATATTAGAGCTGCTCAGTCAAGTCCTCTTTAATTTGTTTGCTTCTTTGCTTTAGAAAACAAATGTTGCTCTCTGCACGCCAGCCCGCCCGCACCCACCATGGCCACAGTTCAGCAGCTGGAAGGAAGATGGCGCCTGGTGGACAGCAAAGGCTTTGATGAATACATGAAGGAGCTAGGAGTGGGAATAGCTTTGCGAAAAATGGGCGCAATGGCCAAGCCAGATTGTATCATCACTTGTGATGGTAAAAACCTCACCATAAAAACTGAGAGCACTTTGAAAACAACACAGTTTTCTTGTACCCTGGGAGAGAAGTTTGAAGAAACCACAGCTGATGGCAGAAAAACTCAGACTGTCTGCAACTTTACAGATGGTGCATTGGTTCAGCATCAGGAGTGGGATGGGAAGGAAAGCACAATAACAAGAAAATTGAAAGATGGGAAATTAGTGGTGGAGTGTGTCATGAACAATGTCACCTGTACTCGGATCTATGAAAAAGTAGAATAAAAATTCCATCATCACTTTGGACAGGAGTTAATTAAGAGAATGACCAAGCTCAGTTCAATGAGCAAATCTCCATACTGTTTCTTTCTTTTTTTTTTCATTACTGTGTTCAATTATCTTTATCATAAACATTTTACATGCAGCTATTTCAAAGTGTGTTGGATTAATTAGGATCATCCCTTTGGTTAATAAATAAATGTGTTTGTGCTAATATAAAAAAAAAAAAAAAAGAAAACAAATGTTGATGAAAAGGGAGGGAAAAGGCCACCTCAGTCAACCAAGCAATGGAAGTCAAGTCCCAAAAGCATTTTATCAAGACCAGGACTAATGTTTCAATTCTCCTTTTATGAATGAAAAGAAAAGAATGATCTCAGAATTATACTGACCAATGAAAACAAGTATTCTGAGACAATAATCTCAAGTAAATTAAGTGTGTTGGGGCTTTGCATCACTCAAAACTTAGTCAGGAAAGTGAAAACCTATCTAGTTATTTTAATCAAAGTAATATAATAAAGGGATTGTTTATGCAGGGATGGAAGCGTCAAGAAGCCAAACAGAAGTTTGCTGGGGCACTCTGAAAATTAGCAACAGCAGGTCAGAGCGAAAGAGAAGGAAGGCAGGGTCACCAGAGCCTAAAGCCAGAGCTGTCTGATGGGGACCAGACCATGGTGGAGTTGACCAGCAGAACTGGGACCATGGAGGCGGGGTCTATTGAGAAAGAGCTGAGGCCATGAAGAAGGCATGTCTGAGGTAGAGAGAGAAAGGAGGAAAACTATGGTCTCTTCCCTCCTCCTTGAGTCTTCTGCTAGTACCTCACTGTCTTAATCTGTTCAGGTTCCTGTAAGAAAAATACCATAGCCTAGGTGGCTTAAACACAGGATATATTTCTCACAGTACTGGAGGCTAGGAAGTCCACTGGCAAATCTGATGTCTGAGGAGGACCCTCTTCCTGGCTTGTAGACAGCTGCCTTCTTCCAGTATCTTCACATGGCTGAGAGAGAGATCATCTTTCTCACGTCTCTTTTTATAAGGGTACTAATTCGCCCTCATGACCTAATTACCTCCCAAAAGCCCTACCTCCAAATACCATCACATTGGCGATTAGACTCCAGCATATGAATTTTGAGGGGACACAAACATTCAGTCCATAACACTCTCCTTAGTCAAATATACCAAAAGCAATTGGCAGGGGAAGCTGGGAAATGTAGTTCCCTGTGATACAGAGAAGAGCAGAGGAAGGACAGTAGGGAATGGTCCTGAATGCAAATAGGCAAATGACTGGCAAGGCTTCCTGCCTGCCCCATTGGAAGAGCCCAGAAATGCAGAATCTACCAGTTTGCCTGGTAGGTCATTGTCATCCAATATTCTACTTAAAGAATTAAAAAGTATTTAACCTGCTAGATTTAATGTGTGGATTTCCAAGTTGGATTCACTTTGAGGTTCTTAGTTCTAACAAAAATCAAGCATACCTAGCAAATCCATATGCTTCAAGACTGGTCACCTCACAGCTCCTCCAGCCAGGTATTGCTCCACCCACCCCTCACCCCAGCCAGGCTCTGCTGCACTATGCCCACAATTTATCCACCCTAACTTCTCCCAGAACTGATTCAGATCCCCTCAAGCACTAGGACCACGTGTTGCTCAACTTAGACTACTTGATATTCATCACTGTCAAGCATGTGGGTTACTCAGTAGACATTTGCTGAATAAATAAATGAATATAAGTAACTGCAGGAGACAAGTATGCTTCTTATATCACTACAAATGGTCTGTTATACCACTACAAATGCATACTTCTT
This sequence comes from Homo sapiens, assembly GCF_000001405.40. NCBI lineage: Eukaryota > Metazoa > Chordata > Mammalia > Primates > Hominidae > Homo > Homo sapiens. Next base: position 59,779,516 of record NC_000011.10, on the reverse strand, counting down.
ATGGACTGAATGTGCTCTCCCAAAATTAATATGTTGATGCCTAATCCCCAATGGGATGGTACTTAGAGGGAGATGGGACCTTTGGAAGGCATTTAGGTTGTAAGGGTGGAGCCCTCATGACTGTGTTTTGTGCACTTATAAGCAGAGGCCAAAGAGCTAGCTTGCTCTTTCCACCCTGTAAGGATACAGATACAGCAAGGTGGCAGTCCACAACCCAGAAGAGGGTCCTCACCAGAACCCGATCATGCTGGAATCCTGGTCTCGGACTTTCAGCCTCCAGAACTGTAGGAAACACATTCTTATTGTTTATAAGCCATTCAGTCTACGGTACTTTCTCATAGCAGCCCAAACTAAGACAGCATTCAAAAAAGTAAATTTTTGGCCAGCGTGGTGCCTCACACCTATAATCCCAACACTTTGGGAGGCCAAGGCGGGCAGATCACCTGAGATCAGGAGTTCCAGACCAGCCTGACCAACATGGTGAAACCCCGTCTCTACTAAAAATACAAAAATTAGCTGGGCATTGTTGTGGATGCCTGTAATCCCAGCTACTTGGGAGGCTGAGGCAGGAAAATCGCTTGAACCCAGGAGGAGGCGGAGGCTGCAGTGAGCCGAGATCACACTGTTGCATTCCAGCCTGGGCGACAAGAGCGAAACTTCATCCCCAAAAAAAAAAAAAAAAAAAGGAAAAGAAAAGAAAACTTTCATCCTTATTAATAGAAGTTCCATGTTAGAAAGTGTTGCTCTGAAAAATTAAATGCTAGGATAGCCAAGTTAAGCTGATTTATTACAGGACTTCTTAGAGCTTTCAATAAGTTAACGTGCATTTTAAGTTTCCAAGAGAAGAAAGAAGCAGGAAGCATTTCTCAAACATATTTGATCACAGAAGGCTTTTTGCACCTCACACTGCCATCTGTGACAACGCATTTTCACTGACCCAACAAACAGCCATTCCCTGGCCCCTTCCCTCTCTTTCTTTTTAACAGAAATCTGACTTTGTTTGGGTAGTGGCATTGCCAGCCCCAGAGGATGAATCATGATGTGTTTGATGGCAATCCTGGCAATCCTGTCCCTTTGCTGAGTACTCACTTTCCTGGTGTCCCTTCCAGCTAAGGAGGCCCACACCATGTGACCCAGTGCTATCCAGGAGGCCACAAGGGAAGTCAGATTGGAGGATCTGGGCAGTTTTCCTCTCTGATGAAAGGACCTTTGGACTTTTCTAGCTGCACCCTTTCTTAATGCTTGCAACGCTGTCACAGGGTGATGCCAAATAGAGCTCTGACTCTGGTGGTTTCAAAACACAGGCAGGTGGGACCTATGTACCGCTCTTTTAATCTGGCAGGCTTGTGACTGCTTCAGTAACAGAGCCAAGCAGAAGTGATGTGCTATGTAACTTCTGTAGCTGGAACACTTGCCTTGCATCCCTGAGCTTCTATGTAACAAGTTCAATAGCCCTAAGTGGGCCAGCTACGAGAAGCCCAAGCCACAGAAAGAAGCCAAGTGTAGGTGCTCTGACTGACAGTCTCTGCTGAGCTTTTCCCTTGAGCCACCCCAGTAAAGGCACCAGACAGTAAAATTTTAAAAGCCTCTACAAGATTCTAGCCTGCAGTTGTTCAAGTCTTCCCAATAAAAGCCCCAGAAATTGTAGAGCAGAAGTAATCCGGACCCACTTTGCCCTGTTTGAATTCCTACTCCACAGAATCTGTCAGCAAAACAAACAGTTGTTTTATACCACTAAATATTGGGGCTATGCTGTGATATAACAATAGATAATCACAGAACAGACTCTCTCTCTCACAATCCTAAGAGAAAAGCCAAGAGGATCACAGTGATGCTGACCTAGAACCCCAAGCTGACCTTTAAACGGCACCATCCCTAACCCCAAACTACTTCATATGCAAAATAATTACATATCTTTGTTGCTTAAGCCACAGTTAGTCAAAAGCATCCCTAAATGATAGGCTACACTGCTGCTCAGGATCACAGATTCAGGTCAAGGCTCCATCGCTGGCTTGCTGGTCTTTCCATTTCAGGTCTTTCGCACCCTCCACAAACTGCCATCGGAGTGAATTTTCTAAAACACACTCTGAGCCCATCACTTCCTTGTTTAAATCCTCGAAGGTTCCCCATCACTTTGCAGTGGTGCATAGCTGCAGTAGGCAACAGAATTATCCGGAAGACATTCCTAAAAATCCAAAAGTCTGAGCCATTCCAGTCCCTAAGAATCAGGTATGTGTATGTGCAAAAAACTCCCCAGGTGATTCTGATGACAAGTCTAGTTAAGAACCAGGGAAATCTTCCCTCACCTTCCTCTCTGCAGGCAGAATTTAACGCTTCCTCTTCTGTGCTCCCATGGTACCTTACTGACACTTTTCTTATCATATAACAACATTTTAAAAATTTCTATCACCCTTACCAGATAAGGAGACAACAGGGGGCGAGAATCCTGTCACAGAACATTGGATCCCCAGCACCTAACATGCTATCTTGAAGACAGTAAGCGCTCAAATACTTTGATGAATAGATAAACGAATACAGAAAAATAAACCCCTAATGTTTCTGCCTCCAAAGGCAGGTCTGTTTCATCTGAACATTACTTTCTGCCAACTGAGCAAACAAACCAAGAAAAATATAGACAACTGCAAATTAGACAAAAATGTGGCGTTTATCATTTACCAGGCTCTGGCTTGATCAGCCAAAGTGGCCTGAAAACCCAAGGGCCAATCTTTTTTTCCAACGATCAAGAAGCTAGAGAAGATACAATGGAATCTGACAGTGCAAATCACATTCTGAAAACACCCTGGTCCTATGACTTCATGTGCACCTTGCAAATACCTCTATGACTAAGCTGTGATTCATGCTCTCAGCAAATAACCAAGGATGACCTCCTGGAACCAGTCCAAACAGTAAGTTTTATCAAGAGTGCTTTCCCAAGAAAGCGACTTAGTTATATAACCTGCAGGGTGTAGTGGGCATGATCACCAGTCACATAGAGGGGGACAATCTCTCATTTCCCCAAATCTCTATTCTCTGAAACATAATTTATCCCAATTTCAACAGTATATCTACACCACATTCTATAAAATAAACTTTGTGGTCTACTTATTCATAAGTACACTGGGGGACAGAAGGGTGATAAGAACATATGTACTAGATGTCAGGCACTGTGATAGGTGCACCCATACCCTTTCTCATTTTATATCCATAAAATCCAACAGGTAATATTCTCTTTTTAGAGAAAACTGGGGTTTAGAGTAGTTAACTTTTCCAAAATTGTACCACTGGTAATGGGCAGAGCTGAGATTCAGACCATGTTAGGTGGGGCCAGAGCCTACTTGATCCACTCCCTCTTACTTCTCCCCACTCCCCCAAGGCCTTATCCTCTCTGTGCTCTATCAGATCCAAGAAAAGAGGAAAGTAACACTGCTGAACCCCATGCTAAGTACTTTCTGAGCATTAGCTCCTTTAATCTCTACCAAATCTATGACATGAATATTTTTCTCCCCAGTTTACAGATAAACCCACTGATACTTGGAACAGTTAAGGAATGTGAACAAGATCACACAGTTAGTGGCAGATATGGAATTTAATTCAAAGATCATGTTCTTTCCACCTCCCCATGCTGTCCCTCTTCTCCACTCTAAATATAAGTTTCACGGGGTTTTTCCCTAAATGACAGACACACACATAACAAAGAGAAAGAAATAAGCAATGCAGCAGCCCTGAAGGTCTTGTTAAATCTTCAACAGCCTCTTCAGAAGTAGCTACCACCCATCCAGTGCTTTTATGTCTGACGATCCTTCCCAGATGTGTGATCTCATATGATCCTCATGGCATCCTTGAAAGGTAAGTACTAACACTCCCAATTTCCAGAGCAGGACATTAAAACTAAGAGATGTTAAGCAACCTGACCAAGGTTACACTGCTACGAAATGCTTGAAAAGTGGACTCAAACCATGTTTTAGAGGCCAAAGCCCACCATCTTCACACCTAACAAAGAGGGTCCTCTCAGGGACCCTCTGACTGGCTCAGAAGAAAAAGGAGAACACAGTTATTGGAAAAGATTCCTTATCTTAGGGAAGAAGTTCTTTAATGTATCTGGTTCTCCAAGGCAGACTGAGATGAGCTAGAAAGACTTCAAACATCTCCTTAAGTCCACCCCCATCACGGAGTGAAAGGATATTGTCCTTCCACGATCCACAATTGGAGTAACACTGGACTCACAAAGCCTAAGTGTTGTTTGATCTCACTATGACTCTGATGGACCCGCCTGTGAGGAGGGTGGGGATCTGTGGAGAGTTTACAGCCAACTTCCCAATCAGGCCAGCACACATTCAAGTTTATTCTTAATTCCTGTTTATTACTCTAACAGATAAATGGGCACGAACCGTCATGCCCCACTCCATTCCTTTCAGAAAAAAAACTGGAGGGTTACTTTTCCACATCCACAGTCTAGAGGATGGGAAGCATCACATTCTCTCTGCAAAAAGAGCACGATACTTCTTGTTTTCTTTCCAGGGGAAATTAAAAACCTAAGAAACCATAGTATGGTGGCAGAAACTTCAACAATAGTGAGCTTTTTGTTTTTGTTTTTTGAATTATCATTCATTAAGCACATATATGCCAGATGCTATGCTGTGTTACAAACATTATTCCTCTTGGTTTTTGTTGTTGTTGTTTGTTTTTGAGACGGAGTCTACCGCTGTCACCCAGGCTGGAGTGCAGTGGCGCAATCTCGGCTCACTGCAACCTACGCCTCCTGGGTTCAAGCGATTCTCCTGCCTCAGCCTCTCGGGTAGCTGGGATTACAGGTGCCCACCACCACACCCAGCTAATATTTGTATGTTTAGTACAGACAGGGTTTCACTGTGTTGGCCAGGCTGGTCTCAAACTCTTGACCTTGTGATCCGCCCACCTCGGCCCCCCAAAGTGCTGGGATTACAAGCGTGAGCCACCACGCCTGGCCTGTCCCTCTTAATCCTTATGCAACTCAATGGGGATTTTTGTTGTTTATTGTTTTTTTCTTTTCTTACCTAAACACTGGATCACCAGTGAATTTTTTTTTTTTTTTTTTTTAGGGGACAAGGTCTCACTCTGTTGCCCAGGCTAGAATGCAGTGGCATGATCATAGCTCACTGCAGCCTCAAACTCCTAGGCTCAGGTGATCCCACCTGTGGGAAATTACATTATCAATCCTAATTTACAGGTAAGGAAGCCCAGACACAGATTGTTAAGGAACGTTCATGAAATCAACAGCTTCTCAGAAGCAGGGTTGAGATTTGGGCCCAAGTTTACCCAGCTCGAAAGCCAGTGTTTTCATCCACGATATACTACTGCCTCTACAAGCTTTCCTCCACCACCTACCTATCATAGTACCATCCCATTGAGGACCTTTAAGATCAGAGTACATGGATCTGTAGACATGAACCCATTTTTGCCCCTGTTGAACTTTTACAAAACTAAACTGGCAGTTTGGTTTCTCAGTTACCACTAGAATTAAGTCAGAGGGACTATAATTTTTTTTTTTTTTTTTTTTTTTGTGTGTGTGAGACAAAGTCTCACTCTGTCACCCAGGCTGGAGTGCAGTGGTGCGATCTCGGCTCACTGCAACCTCCACCTCCCGGATTCAAGTGATTCCTTTGCCTCAGCCTCCCAAGTAGCTGGGATTACAGGTGTGCCTGGCTAATTTTTGTATTTTTAGTAGAGGCAGGGTTTTGCCATGTTGGCCAGGTTGTTCTTGAACTCCTGACCTCAAGTGATCCACCTGCCTTGGCCTCCCAAAGTGCTGGGCTTACAGGTGTGAGCCACCATGTCTGGCCCCAAAATTTTCAAAACTACACATTTGATGTATCTGAATCACAAGCCTAAAGATGCAATGTTTTATACTCATGGTTGTGATCCTATGGTTGATTCTGTATTTGTTATGTACTTTAAGCAAGAAAGGATATCATTAAAATGTTGTCATACGGAGTAAGATTTTAAAAGCATCTCTTCAATTACATATAATTGACCCTCTGCTGACTTTCTTAAGATTTTTAAAAATCCAGATTCAAGTAAATATTGAAAATAATGTTATTTTAATTTCTTTGTCTGGCCATCCCACCCTAGCAAAAAACTGTGACCTTCCTCTGCTACCCTGAAAAATCTAAGGTTTTTTATTCTTACTAAGGAAATAGTGTTTCCTTATGTACATTTAGAAAAAAATACAGGAAGGTTGCCTACCTCAGAAAAGAACTCGTCCATAAAAGCCGTGTTGTCGATAGCAATCTCAACCGCATCAGTATCATCATCCTGTGTCAGCTGCTTCTGCAAAAGGCAAAAAAGAGCAGAGTGAGGCTAAAAACACAATAAATGGCTAAATTATTGAATGCTCACGAAGTACTAGGAACTATATTCAGCATTTTACACATAATTTCCTTTAAAACTCATAACAGCTCTCTGATATATCAAATTCCGGTGTCTCAACATCTGAAATTAAATCCTAGCTCTACCAATTGCTGGGTTGTGTGTGTGTGTGTGTGTGTGTGTGTGTGTGTGTGTGTTTCTTTCAGGGGGTGAGGGGTGAGAAAGGGAGGAACTGGCAAGTTACCTATCTTGCTGTGCCTAGGTTTCCTTATCTGTTAAATGCTGATAAAAACACTACCTGCTTCATAGGATTGTGTAAGGTATAAAAGAGATAATGAATATAGGATGCTTTTGTATGGTGCCTGGTACACTGTAAGTTCAACACATGCTAGGTTTTGTTGCTGTTGGTTGTGGTGGTAGTTACTGTAACTCACTACAGTTGAGGAACCTAAAACTTAGGGAGGTTAGGTAACTTGGCAAAAACCACACAGCTAAAACATGGCAACAGGTAGAATCAAACTTATCTTTTGGATCTGAACCCCAGGGTCGCTAAACCCTTCTCCATGCTGTTCAAACAGGTTCCAGACACAATTCCTACAAAGGACAAGCTTTCAATTTTCACATTAGGAGTAAAGATTTTCCTGTTTTCAGAAACCACCTATCACAAAGGAAACAATGCTATGTCACTCCCTGTCAGAAGCTCCTGTTTATAAGAAAGAGGAAGCTCTCCCCCGGCCCCCAGCCACCTCTGGGGACCCAAGCTTTCTCAATCTCATTCAACTTCCTCTGTAAAAATTCACAAAATGGCCATCTAAAGGAAGTGATTCCATTCCCACCCAGCATAAGGGCCTGAGCTGTTTCTACATTCCTGTTCAATGTTCTTCCCAGACAGCTGCTGCACAGCACATTGCTGATTTCTAAGCACAGAGAACTGACTGTTGTGAAAGGTGGAGGTGAGGCAGGGGATAAACCCCCCACACCTGCTTCTTCACAAGCTTCATCAGCCTCTGACCCTCTAAGTCCAAGATATAGCACTCTCGAACACTTAGAATTCCATGGGCAATGAATGCCACCAGAAGCCTCTTTCCTTCACCCACGACCATCCCCCTGAATCCACGGCAGAAGTTGTTACTGGGAAATCCTATGGCTATTTGGGATTCTCCAGCCATGTGGACAGTCTCTTGATTGGCTCCCCCAGCATCTCATTCTCTGGCTGGTCTGCAACAATCAGCATCCCCAGGTTAATAGCCACATTCAAGGGAGTCGAATTTGAGGGCACTGCTACCACCTCCCCGATCAACTTCCCTAAACTCAGAACTGATCATGTCCTTCTGCCACGTAACATCATCCAATGATAGCTTAGCTCCTATAATTTAAAGGCCCAGTGCCTAACAGAGCACGTGGGGCCCTTTAAGATCCAGCTCCACCCATACTTCTCCTTCTATGATGCACACTCTAGACCAAGCAAGCAGTTGGACACACCATTCCCTGGACACACCATTCTTTTAGATCACTCTATCACACAGGGAGTTCTGCTGAAAGGCATTGGTCCAACTGACAAACATTTCCTTAGCCCTTAAAACTCAGCTCGGACAACCTCTGTATGCCTGACCTGGGCATGGCTCCCGCATGCAAAAGTTAAAACCTCCCTAAGCTCCCACTGCACTTTGCACAAACTTTCGACACCAACCATCACAGCCCTTTACTCACCTGTCTTTCCCCACTGACTACAAACTCCTGGAGATTCTGTGGGCGGGCGGGGGGGGGGAGGTGGGGGGACGGGGGGCAAATTTATGCAGGAAGACTCACTCTGTTGCCCAGGCTGGAATGCAATGGCGCAATTACAGCTCACCCCACCTTCAACCTCCTGGGCCTAAGTGATCCTCCTGCCTCAGCCTCCCAAATAGCTAGGACTGCAGGCATGCACCACCAGGCCCCAAGCTGGTCTCAAAATCCTGGCCTCAAGTAATCCACCCGCCTCAGCTTCCCAACGTGCTGGGATTATAGCTCTGAGCCACTGCACCCAGCCGAAGTGGATACTTGTATGTGTGTCTGTGTCTGCTCGAAACACCTTCCTCTGTGGAGCAACCCCTCACGCCCTCCACATGATTTGGGGGAGTCGATCAACCGTGACCCAGGCTCCCTGAGGAATCTGAATTGTGAAAGGAGTCTGAAGTGAATGGGCCCGAGTCAGTTGATGGCTGCCCCCAGAGATGTCCATGAAATTCCCAGAGCTGCCCTCATTCCCATGCTTCCCACAACACCCCTTGGCTTTGGGCAGGTTCTACAGATCTTCCCTAGTCTTCTTTCAATGAGTTGAACAGTATCCTCCTAATATGTCTTTTTTAAGTTCATTTAGCCAGACTTGAGTTTTGTCACTTGCAATTAAAACTGAGCACTGTACTTGTCATTAATTAATTTATTCCACATTTCCTGAGCGCTCACCCTGTAACCAGGCATATAATAGAAATTTAACCAATTTTAGCTGAATAAATAACTAGCTTCCACAAAGACTAGCAGCCAGGATTCACCACCAGTTTTTAAAGTTTGAGACAAAATGTTCCCTTCATCAAGTATCATCAACTCTCAGGCCCCTCAGCAACCTCTAGAGAGTTCCAGCTCCCAAGAGGTTCACTGTGACCCGGTCTTCCTCTAGGAGAGTGAGTCAATAAGCTTTTTAGGGAGTATCCTTTCTTCAGAGTCATCTAGAGAATGACTGAGGGGACAGACCTCAAGTATATCTGTATACATACATATACCCACACACACACACTCCTCACAGACACACACACCCTATACATACACACACTCCACACATACACCCGCCCACCCACACCCCATATACACACACGCTACATATAAACACACACCCTACACACATACACTCCACACATATACCCACCCACATACACTCCACATACACACACCCTACACACGTACATTACACACATACACCCCACCTCTTCATATACCTTTCATACACATACAGCACACACACACACCCCTTACACGCACACCCTATACACACATGCTGCACACGTACACACTCCACACATACACCCACACCCATTCCACATACACAAACACCCAACACCCACTCTACACATATGCCCACACCCATTCCACATACACACACATCCCACACACACACACTCCACACATACACCCACACACACTCATAACCCTCCCACACACATCTGCAAGCTCCCACACACCGACACCCACAACCCACACCCCACTACACACATACACCCACACTCCAACACATCCCCTCCAAACATACACCCACACACCTTCCCCCCCCACACAAACACATACATACACACACACACACACACACACGTGTACACTATAAGACATCAATTCAGTCTTCAAACACGTGTTAAGGAAATGGGAAGAGGCTACCATCATGGGATGGATTAAAGGAAGTTTCCAGAAGCTGGGAACAACTGTGACCTGGAGCATGGGAGGCAGACACTTATCACTCCATCATGACGTAAGTTCTTGAGACCCCTAGTATCCACACAGGGATTCCCCACATCCACAATGGCTACTTCTTAGCTTTGTGCAGATGTAGCCAGGCAGCCTGGTCGCCTTCAGTGAGAATCTGTGAAACGGGCAAAGAGAAACCTAGATCCAAAACCTGCTGTTTCCAATTACTGGCTGGGATGCCTCAGTCAAGTCCCAAACCTCTCTGAGTTTCCAACCTGTAAGTAGTAATACCCCCACAGACCTTATGACCTTTATGAGGACTGAACGAGATCACATATGGAAAGCACAATACCAGGCATACATCAGCGCCTAACCCCGCTGCCCCGCTGAAAAGATGTGGGTCTACATGAGCAGAATCCCCTGTGAGTCATCACTGTCCGCACCCATCCTCATCCTCCTCCTCCTCCTCCTCCTCCACAGGAAGTTCTCAAACTAAAGGCTAAGTCAGTAAGATCGGCTCCATGGCAACATAATGGCCAGGGCTCTATACCACGGTCCATCACATGCTACTCACTGAACATTAAACAGATGGTTTAACCCCTCTGAGCCTCAAAAATATGGAATCAACCTAAGTATCCATCAATGGATGATTGGATAAAGAAATGTATGTGTCCCTGTTTCCCAATACATGTGTGCAGGGGAGTAGATGACAAGAAATTACTTAATGGATACAATGTATACTATTTGGATGATGGATACACTAAAAGCCCAGACCTCACTACTATGCAATAGAGCCATGTAACAAAACCACACTGCTACCTCCCTGTAAAGTTACACACATGTAACACATCTCTGAGCCTCAATTTCCTCATCTATAAAATAGTAATAATAGAGTATTTTTGGACCTTGCTTGAGTAGCAGACCCTGTACCATTACAACAGTCTCCTGCCCATACCCACCTCCATTATCTCTCTGGTCCAATCCCATTATGTCCCTGTTTCCCAATACATGATGGTTCCCTATTACTTACTGTATAAAAGTCCTCAGCCTGTCTGTCATAACCCTTTGGAAGCTGACCGTATTTATGCGTTTAGCTATATTCCCACTATTCTCCCCCAGACACCTTCTGCTCATCAACTTGATCTCCTCATGTCTTCTGCACACATCCCATTGCTTCCTGCTCCTGGGCTTTCTTAATACCATGCCCCCTCATTCCCAACCACCATCAATAGTCATATTAGCACTATGTCCCCTTATTCCCAATCACAACCAATATTCATATACTCCTCTGCTATTCAAACACAGGGCCCATTTCTCCCACAAAACTTGCCCCACTTCATGTTTATCAAATAGTTTAATGAGTTGCAGTCTCAACTTCAAGCTCAATTTTAACCAACCTGAAGTCAGGGATAGTATCTCGTAAGTGTTACTAGTATCTCCTGGGCACCTGACACAAGGCTGGGCACCTAGAAAGTTGAAGTTGATATCAACTGACTGAATCTGCCTGTCACATGCAATGTGACTGCATGCCTACCAGCACTGCCAAAACGTACTCTTTGGTTTTACTGCAACAGAGAGAATCCCTGCAAAATCCACCCCTCTTCCCTGCCTCCTTCTTCTATAAAAAATATATGCTATCTGCCAGGGATGCTGTGAGAATTCAATATGATAATATTTTAAAGTTCCCTATGCAATGTAGAGCACACAGTAAGAACTCAATAAAGCAACCATACATAAGATCTGGCCAAGTCAACTTCTCTACAGCTTTGACCTGGATATGAGTATCTTTAGATACAGGACTTTCAGAGCTGAATGCAATGTTAAAGATTTTACCATCAAATCCCCTCACTTAGAAAAAGGGAAACGTTGAGGTTGAATTCTGGGTCCCTGAACTCTTTTCACTTTCTGTCCAGAGAGGAGGTCTGGACAGAAACCAGGGGGAAACCAAGGCCCAAAATGAAATAATGAGTTACTGACACAGAAAGGAATAGAACCCAGGTTTCTGGATTTCCATTTTCCCATGCAGAGTTTTTCCCACTGTAGCATGCCACTTCCAAAAATACAAAATAACAACAACAAAGTTTGGTCCAGATCAGAAAACTCAAGGAAGAGGCCATCATCGCATGTTATCTGGAGTCACATGAAACTGGAGCTAGCAGCAGGCTTCCCTACAGAGCAAGCTCAACCAATCTCAGGGTAAGGGCTCCTGCCCTTCTGACACACATGTGCTCTCTTGCAGATCTAGAGGCATCAGAACCCAAGGGCAAGGAAAGCACACAATGCCCTTATCTTCAGCCCACATGACTGAGCTTAGCCAAGAAGAGAACTTCAGCATCTTTATCAAAGAATCAACATATCTGGTAATAGGAACATTACAGTAGCTGCAATATCAGCCACAATAAAAAACACAAGTGAACCACAAGCCCAGCCATCAACTTCCTCCCCTCCCCAACCTCCAGATGCCTCTCGCCCAAGGAGATGAGAGATATCACCAATGACTTAGGCAACACTGAACTCCAACCTGGGATCTATCTCCCCCGACCCTACCCCTCAAGTGTGCCCCCAAATCCAGAAAGGACAGCCAGGGTTATGACCTCCTCTCTGGACAGAAAGTAGAAAGAGTTCAGAGGCCCAGAATGCAACCTCAAGCAACTGAACTGCAATTCCTCTCTCTCAAGGCTCAGTGTCTTTGTCTCAACTGCCTTCTCTATCATTGTTAGTCTATCTGACCACAGGTTCCTCTCTTCATTAGCTCATATAATTTATAAAAATATTTGCAACCCCATAGAGCCCCTAGTAGGTGCTAGGTGGCCACAAGACACTAGCTGCTTTGTGTACACCATGTCAACGAATCCCATCTGCAGTATGTAGTTGAGAACATGCAGGTCAGAGAAGGTGTAAGTTATTCAAGGTCTCCCAGCTACTGATTTGCCGAAACAGGGCTCAAGCTTAAGTCATCTGTCCTAAGCCCTTCTTATCGCACTGCACGCTGCTCAGGGCAGCCTGTCACTGAGAGCAGCTGGGGCCCAGAAGCTAAGCAGCCCAACCCTGCAGAAAGCATCCTGGGCTGAGAAAGTGGAGCTGTGGCCCTTTGGGGACAACATTTGTTTCCATTAAGCCTTTCTCATCAATTAAGGAGGGGCTTGGCTTTCCAGTGCAGATTTGCGGAAACCCAGGAAACTTCACATGTGCCTCAGAAACCCCACTCAGGGTACTCAGGGAGTGGGGAGCCAATGGGGGGACGTAGCTGTCCTGAGCCTCACCCCCTCTTCAATCTACAGAGCTTTACTTTTATCTGCTTTATACACTGGGATTCAATATAAGATTTCATTTTAAGAAAGAGTCCTACTGTCACAAAAGAAAGAAAAAAAGTTGGAAAATCACAGAAATAGATGAACAAGTGCTTTCTAAAAAGAGTTTGTCCCTCCTTTCCAAGTTAAAACACATCTGCAACGTAAGTTTAAATCATCAGTATCTCCTTAAGAATGTTTACAAATCAGAGCAGCAAGGCAGAATGAGACAAAGAAAAAGGAAGTCATCCCAGATGAAGAGCACAGTGTTCACCAGCTCTGATTCTCTTCCTGCCACAGGTGCCAGACCCCAGGCAGACAAAAGGGTCCCAGGACAAGGCAGAAAGCCCAGGAGCCCCCAGGAAAGTTTCTGGGTCAAAGAAATAACAGAGGGGAAAGGGTATATCTGGTCCTTAACTTCCCACAGTGGGGCATTAAAGATTTGTGGGCCGGTGGGGCAGCACCCCTCCTGGCACAACCAAGCGAGTACAAATTCTTGCACCTTCTCTTCTCCAAATTTAAACAATTATTTCTCTGGAGACACAGATGCTTCTTTATAAATCCAGATTATCTCCCAATAAATTTAACTCAAAGAAACAATGACACACCTGGGTTTTGTTTGTTTTGTTTGTTTGTTTGTTTGTTTGAGACAGAGTCTTGCTCTATCTTCCAGGCTGGAGTACGGTGGTGCAATCTCGGCTCACTGCAGCCTCTGCCTCCTGTGTTCAAGTGATTCTCCTGCCTCAGCCTTCCAAATAGCTGGGATTACAGGCGCACACCACCACACCCAGCTAATTTTTCTATTTTTAGTAGAGACAGGGTTTCACCATGTAGCTCAGGCTGGTCTTGGACTCCTGACCTTGTGTGATCCACCCTCCTCGGTCTCCCAAAGTGCTGGGATTACACGCATGAGCCACCGCACCCAGCCTGACTCCTGGTTTTTCTTGTCCTTGCTACCCACTTCTCCCAACTGCCTCCCTCCAAATGAGGGTCTGGGGATTCCTAAAGACAAACACCACCACTTACAAAGGTTACACAGACACACACAGACACATACACACACCCATGTGCACACTGCCCAACATCTGGTCTTTCCAGTCCCTCTTCTTTAAAGAGCCAGAAATTCTGAGTGTAGGTTCTCAACAGGCACTCCATGCTCTCTGTTTCCTATGTGAAGAGTCAAATGACTCTTCTCCAGTGCCCAGTTCTCTCACTAAGCTGTGATTTCTCTTCCAGTGAAACCCTCCCAGAGGGCACACTTCCCCTTTTCACTTAATTCCATCTTCCCCAACACACTCATCAGATGAAATCAAGAGGAGATTGACAGATAATGATATCCTAAGTGAGCCTCATGCTTTTACTTTGAAGAAAGCCCTAGCTGAACAACTTGAGGAAAGAATTAGCCCTATTTGAAAGATGAAGACACTGCAGAATAAATCCTATCAGTGAGCCCAAGGCCAGTGAGCCAGTGGACAACTGGACAAGAGCCAAGGTCCCTGAGGACCCCACTCCACTCAGTGTGCCCTAACAATAATAATAATAATAATAATAATAATAATAATAATAGATAATGTGTGTGTGTGTTGTTGCAGGCACTTTTGTGGTTTCAAATGTATTAATTCTCACATCAACCCTCTGAGGGACAAATATTACTTTCCCCATTTCCAGATAAGACAACTGCTTAATTAAATAATTCATCCAAAATGATTCAGCTAATAAACGACCTCATTAGGACTCACAGGCAAGTCTGTGGGAGCCCAGGGCTTCTGCTGTTCCCCACTACACACACTTGAAGGCATCCTCCCCACTCAGGCTCAGTGAACACGCTCTCGCTTATTTCAGGGGATACCACAACATCCATAAAACTAAGTTGGATTAACCTATATGCATGAGTGAAAAAGATACCAGTGTATATAATCCAACTCAGGCAGTCAGATGTATCTCTGTACCTCTACAGAGATACAGAGTTGAAAACCTGGCTCTACCATTTAATAGCTATATGGTCTTAAACAGATTACTTAACTTCTCTGTGCCTCAGTTTCTTCATTTGTGACATGACAAGAATAATCTGCTCATAGAATTGTTGCAAGGATTAAATCAGTACCACAGGAGACATGTTTAGAGCAATGCTAGGCACATATTAAATGCCCAAGATCATGTTATCTAAAGCAGAAAATTGGGCCTTGTTTTTGCTAAGAGTTTCTGGCAAAGATGCAATTCTAATGCCAATTCTTAGATGGTGACACTAGATGTCTCAGGAGGAGAGAATTTCATGTATTCATTGGCATTTACCTCATGTGCTTTAAATCTGTCATTTTTCTACTATATGCTTTTAAAGAAACAGAGCTCCCTCTCAATTCTTCTTCCACTACTTCTCCCAAATTTTGATATTTACCGCTCTTGTGATCATTCCTTTTATTTTTTTTTTTTTGAGACGGAGTTTCGCTCTTGTTGCCCAGGCTGGAGTGCAATGGCTTGATCTTGGCTCATTGCAACCTCCACCTCCCGGGTTCAAGTGATTCTCCTGCCTCAGTCTCCCAAGTAGCTGGGATTACAGGCATGCGCCACCATGCCCTGCTAATTTTGTATTTTTAGTAGAGACAGGGTTTCCGCCATGTTGGCCAGGATGGTCTTGAACTCCCAACCTCAGGTGATCCACCTGCCTCGGCCTCCCAAAGTGCTAGGATTATAGGCATGAGCCACCGCGCCCGGCCGATCATTTATTTCTAAATAGTTTGTCATTTCTACTTTGATTTATCTTTAGCCCAAGAGTTATTTAGAAAGGCGTTCTTACATTTCCAATATGGATTAGCCTGGGGAGGACAATTATTGTATTAATTTCTAATTGTATCACTGTTAGGAAACGGCCTATATGACTTTTATTCTGTGAGATTTGGCATTTTCTTTGTGTCTTAATACATGGTATTTCTTAATCTTCTATGCGTATTTCAAAAGAACTTGCATTCTGCTTGTCGGATACAAAAATCATTGAAGTCCAATCCTCACATGCCATCCTACCTGCTTTTGCTTCTCCAGACCTGAGGTGGGTCTAGACAAGAAAGACAAAAACTCCCAAGAAAGGAAGAAGAGGGGGAAAAGGCCCTCTAGGTAGATGTTATGTACACTAACAAGGAATCTGTGGCTAGGAAGGTTAATTCATCCAGAATCACACAGTAAGGAACACAGCCAAGATTAGAAACCTGGGTGGTCTAATCCAATGTTCACTCCTTCATTAACTCAGAGAGGCATCTCAAGGTCTCATCACCCATCAGCACAGCCACAATGTTCCATGCAAAGTAACAGATTCATTTGTTCATTCTTTCATCCGGCAGTATTTATTGCACATCTAACATCTGCCAAGCAACAGTCCATGCGATACAATACCACATGACACGTGAGGACAGTGCTTTAGCCCAAGGAATTACACACCCAAGAGAAGACGCAGTGCCCAACCTTGCCTGAATTCAAGGTTGAGCCTGGGGAAGATGGAAGCTTATTAGAGAATGTTGGCAGAAGTGACTCCTTGGAGAAATTTTGTGGAATGTGTGGATTTACCCAAATGAAACCTACAAGAAGGCCACTCAGGGTGAGGAGATCAGACCTTCTTCCTGCTTTCTTTCTCATCCCAGGAGCCATTCAAGGAGATTCAAAGAAGGCCTTCTTCTTCCTCCTGGAGATCTCAGGTGTCCTTTAGATCCTTCCTCCTCCACCCCACACTTCTTCCCTCTCTTCCACTCCCTTCCCCTGTCTCCTGTCCTGGCCTCTGGACACCACCATGGCATTCAGTTCTCAAGGACACAGAGAGGAGGAAGAAAGGAACTAATACTGTCTTACTCCATCCTCAGCCTTCTCCCCAACCCCTCCTTTCAGCCTCTGTCCCACAAGCTTCCTCTCCCTCATGGTCATTCTAGAATACTTAAATAACAGTGACAACGCGCAACCTTCATTAAACACTCAACATGTGCTGAGTGAGGATCCTTCTAAGATGTGTGCTTTCTATTGACCATGACAGTTAATCCCTAGGCCAGTCTTCTGGGGATATTCCCCATCTTACAGCTGAGAAAACTAATGCATAAAGACACCAAGCAACCTGACCAAGATCCTGCAGACAGTGGGCACCTGAGCTAGGAGGGGTGCCTGGGCAGCTGGCTGCCGGGACTTTGTCCTCAGCCATCTGGAGTGTTGCCTCTTAACGGCTGCTCCACCACCACCCTAGCTGTAGCATGTAGCACTGGCCACAGGAAATGTGCTTCCAGAGCACTAGAAAACAGATGCCGGAGCCCTGCCGCCAAGGTCACAAAAAACAAGAGACTAAGCAATTGTCAGACAGGCCAGAGGAAGCTAAGGAGATGTGACAACCGAATGCAATGTGGTGTCCTGGATCGCATCCTAGAACAGAAAGAGGACATTAGTGGAACAACTAGTGAAATCCAAATAAAGTATGGAGTTGGGTGAATAGTAATGTACCAATATAAGTCTCTTAGTTTTGCTAAGTGTACACTGTAGTATAAAATGAGACCAAGTGAGGGAACCAGGAGAGGACTAGACAGGAACTCTCTGTACTATCTTTGCAACTTTTCCATAAATCTAAAAGTAGGCTAAAACTTAAAAATTTATTAAAAAAAAAAAAACCCTGATGCCATACTGAGCTGTCCTAACCCAGACAGCTGAACATAACCAGACAGTATTTGCTCCACTAATCTCTTTAGGTGGGGGGTTGAACTTCACTCAGTTTCCAGATGGAGACTGGGGAAAGTTGCCATGGAAATGGTCCAATGCCAAAAAGCAGGCTACCCTGAGAGAGGAGATGGGGTGGGGGCAGTTGCAGAGGGGCCTAACATAAAGGTGGCTGGAGGTAAGGCCCCTCAGGGACTACAGAATCTGCGGGCAAATAAATTTACAGAATATCCCCATTCATTGACAGGACAGTTTGGTTTACAGCTTTACAGGCTTTGGGCTGGGAAGGTATAAGAGAGAATGAGACATATGTGGTCTGTGCTCTCCCAGAGCACAAGAACTAACAGAGCCAGTGGCATCTGAAATTGCAATACCATGTGGCTATTTGTATACACCACCAAAAGTAAAGTTTGCGGGGTCCGAGGAAAGGCATGCTCAGTGCTGTCAGCCTGGGAAGCTGGATGACACTGGAACTGAGACTTTGGAGATATGTAGGATTTTGCCAGGAGAAAAATGGAGTACCTAAGTTTTCACCATGGTAGCCACATCTTCGCCTTCATTGTCTTTCTAAATAGGGGCAACCTTCCATGTCATCTTGGGCTAGGTGTTTAGGTGTAGTTAGGAGCCTTGGAACTCCGTCCTTGGGGATGGACCTGTAAGGTCTGGCTTCATTAGCAAACATATGGATTCCCTCAGTAAATGTTCCACTTCAGGTAGGTAAAGATTCACCAGCCCACAGGGAATGGAGCAAGAAAAATAAGTCATAATAATGAGTAAAGGATGTGTAAGGGTCAAGCTGTTATTAATCAACTAAGAGACAAATGTTTAATACAGGCTTACCATGCAGAGTGCTAGGCCCTGGGGCTCCAGAGGACTATCATAACTGCTGTTGCATCAGAGGCATATAGTGCAGTTAGGGAGATGATCGAATACAGTGTAAGGGGATACGAAGAAGCAAGACACACACGTTCAATTCTTGAGCCCACCACTTCCCAGATGGGGATCTCAGTCAAACCTGAGACTCAATTCCTTCACTTGTAAAACGAGAATAATATCTCAATTCCTTGCTTGTAAATGAGAATAATATAAAAACCCACTTTGCTTTGCAGGGTTGAGAGAATTAGAGACAAGGTATGTAAGGTATGTAGCACAAGTCTGTCCAATAGTAGCTGCTCAATAAATGATTGTTGTTATTGTAATTGATGTGGTGACAAGAAGTACTAGAAACACTGACCTTAAAGACAAAAGGACCTAGAAGATAAAGGGGATAAAGGGTCTAACTTATAAAAAGCAACGGACAGTGGTTTCAAACCCACTCCATGGTAATTAAAAAAACAAAACAAACAAACAAAAAAAAAAAACCCACAACCTACTGCAAAGCAACATGCACCCCGTGAGAGCTGCAAGAATGGAGGAGAGTATTCTAAGTTGCAGTTACAGAACACTACTACCTATAAAAAATGAGTTTTGGAAGATGGGTAGAAATTTTGACAAAAGGCAGGGAGGAAGCTTTGGAAGAGAGAGAGGACAACATGAACAAGTGTCCCTCCCTTAGCTCCTGCCAATTCCCCCGACTTCCCCCACACTCACAGGAATAAAAATAAAATTAATCCTCTTCTCTCATCCAAGCATTTTCTGGCCTCCGGCTGATGGGGCTGTAATCCCTACTCAATCCCCATCACTCTCAGCTCTGGTTCCCGTCTGCTCACAGAAAAACAGCTCTTCCAGAGAATGAATCCTCCCAGGTACAGAGAAGAGGGGAGGCAGGAATCCTGACTTGAATGAAATTTTATGACTAGAGAAAGACAGAATCTCAGTGAAGCGCAGATTGGTATGTTAAGGTTCAGTTATGATCCAAAGCACCTGGCACATAAAAGCGGCTCGATAAATATTTATTAACAAATTAAGCTTTAAAGGAGAAGTACACAGCTCCATGTTGCTGATGGGGTTATAATGTTATCCTAAGGAACTATGATTCCACAAAGATCCTGGAGCTTCCAGTGGGGAAGGAGGCCAATAACAGCCATTTAGGAAGCAGCAAGACACAGAGAGAGTAAAAAGTTAGTCTGGCCTTTAGAGCCCCAGGTGGTTGATTTCATTAGTGTGTCCTTATTAGTGCTGGTCTTTGAAGGGCCATTACATCCACGTCATTTCCAGTCCTCTACAGATCCGTCTCCAAGGGAGTCCAAAGCCTTCAACCTCTATTCCATACATCACTGGCTTCTCCATTACCACCATATGGCTTTGATTACTGTTGGCCCTCTTGTCATATACTACATGTCTTTGTCTTCCCTATGTGATCATTTACCCTTTGATACTAGGACTTTGTCAATCCTGCCTAAACTTGACGCCCAGCAGGATGCTAGGCACACAGAGGTCACAAAGCTCTGATCATGGTGGTCAGCAGGTACCATGCACATGCGACCCTGCTGATGCTCCCTTGAGTTGTTTATATGCTTGATGGTTTATACACCAATGCGAGAGTGATTAAGACAATCTAGGATCCTTGCCTTTCTTGTTAAGCCTCAATTCACTCACTTGCAGAATGAGAATAATAGAAAAACCCACTCTGCTTTGCAGGGTTGAGAGGATTAGATACAAGGTCTCTTTACTTATCTGGTACGTAAAGTAACTTATGTATCTCCAACCACCTTTACATATCTGAAAAGGTCAGATTGGGCTGGAAGAATCAGCTGAGCTCAAGCATTACTACTTCTTGGGAACCCACCCAAAGCCTCATGCCCATCTCCCATCTTCCAAAGACTGGCCAACAGGGTCTTCCTGTGGTTGCTTCTATCACAAGGATGATATCCTCATGTCTATTTCTTCTGTTTCTTCCTACCTGACCATGAACTTTCTAAGGGCCAGGAACATGCGTTTATCACCATTACACTCCAGCATCTAGTACAAGGACTGGCACACAGTGGGTACTCAGTACTCAGCAAATGTTTGCTGAATGAAAACAGGGCCATGCAAAAGCATGGAACTGTCTGGACTCAGCAGATTCAAAGTTCAGCTGCTGAGAAGTCAGAGAAAACCATGTCCTGGGATAGGCTGGGTAGAGGCACTGCACATTCTTGGCAAGCCTGTCCTGTGTCACTGAAAAAGCAGGCTGTCGAGGGAGCCCACCAGGAAGAGCAGTGCAAGAGAAGAGATGAGATGAGACCAGGTGAGTCAGATCTTGTGACCATGGCCTCAGGAAGGGATGCCCTTCTGTGTGGACGCTGTTGCCAGCAGGCCAAGACAGAGGAACTAACAATAACAGTGGTGGGTGATTGTCACGGATTATCTCATTTTATCCTCACAATGATCCTATGGGAAAAGGGTGATGAGCCACTTTACAGGGGCAACTCTTGAGGCCTCAGTCCCTGTAGACTTCAAAGCCTCAGGACAGGCTCACAATTAAGCATTTTATAAAACCACACATTCTTAAGGTTGGTGAAGGCCTTATATCTCCTAGTTCACCTCCCCTCCAAGAGATGCTCAAATTCCTACAACATTCAAAATCCCAACAAGCTTCTTGCTTCCTTCCCATGCTGGAGGGTGCACCATCTACTCCATCCTTGGGCAGCTCTGTCTACTAAAAACGCTTTCTTACAGATTCCTCATTTCTACCCATCAACCCCACATGTTCTCTTTGTATCTACCCAGAACAAAGTCAATCACAGGCACGGAAAGCCCTCCAGTTATCGGGAGGCAGTTACCACCTCCCCTCCCCAGGATTTAGAAAGAACACCACAGAAAGAGATTGCATAGGCTGCTCAATGTGCAATTTGTTTCATGCAGGTTAACAAACGCTTCTAATTGATAACGGAAATCAGAGGGAGAAGACGCATATCTTGTTTCAGTGAGGGTGATCCCTGGGAGTCTGGCTGGGGAGAGGGGATAAGAGGAGGTGAACTGACACCAAAATCCACATAAACCTTAACAGTCTTCAAAGAAAAACCTATAATAACGCCAGAGGGGGCTTCTGAGATCAACTCAATTCTTTGTTGTATAAAGGAGGAATTGAGAAGCAGAGAAGTGACGCAAAGAAGCACAGTGATCAGTCTTGGAACCTGCCACCTGTGTCCCTTTGTCCCACGCTGCCATGCATCTGCTCCAAGACGCTACAGAAGCCACCCTGTGATTTCAGAACAATCCTCCCATAATACCACCACCATCTCCAGTCTCACTTTCACCACATCCCCAAGAGGGAAGGGGAGGAAACCTATCATTAATTCCATTGTACAGAGGGTAACCATGAGGCACCGAGGAGAGGCAAAGAGACTTGCTCAGCGTCCCCAGGCAAATTAAATTTATTCTTGGAACTCAAAGCTCAGTTAAGACTCTTTGCTCATTGTTGACAATGAGCTACTGAAAGGGGCCATGGAGTATCTTCCTCTGGAAGTGGATTTCCTAATAAATGGAAGAGCCTGCTGTTCAGTTTTGTACTTTTTTATGGTTGCTGGGTGTGCCGACACAGAGAGATCTTCAAAATCGTGCTCTTCTTTTCCTTCTGCCTCCCCAACCAGCGTGCTTCAAGGGAAGGAGCACTGTGGAGAGTGTCAAGAGCCTGGGTTCCTCTCCTGGTGGTGCCCTGGCCGGCTCTGTGTCCTGGAGCATCCCTCCTACCCCGTGAGCAGCAGTTTCCCCATCTATAAAAACAGGGGCAATAAATTCTGCCCCATCAGTAACCTGGACGCTGTGAGGCTGAGATGACTAAGCACAAGCCTGAGGCAGAGAGGCCACTCCCACAATAGGCAACTGTCCCTTTGCTTCTCTCACTTCCCCAGCTACCTGCCTCCTCCGCAGCCCTGCTACACAGAACAGGTGAAACAGGAATGAAGGTCTCATCCAAGCAAGGGAGAAAAAGGATAAACTCTTGTAACATCATCCCAGCAGTCCCTGACATCTGCATTTTCCCAAGAGCACTCACAGTTATTAGCATATTTCACCATTTATTAAGTCCCCCGTGCCATGCACCCTAAAAGTGTTCTTAAGCATCTTCTGTTGCATTTCGACCTTACAACTACCCATTTTACAAATGACAAAACTTAGGCTGGGATTTTAAGGGATCACCAGTAAGCAGTGGAGCCAGGAGACAACCCCAGTTCTAATCCAGTCCAGTGCTTCCCAAACTGTAATGTGCCCATGAATCACCTGGGGAAATGGATGAATAATTAGATTCTGATTCTGCGGGGCTAGACTCAGGCCTAAGCTGCTACACTTGTAACAAGCTCCAAAGTAGATGGACTAAACTCTTGAGTGTCAAGGGCTAGATTTTAATTCTATTAAGGTAGAACCTGTGCCACTGAATCTCCAAGGCTTAGCACTGGACCTCCCCATAGAATACACTCAATAATTATGTACTGAATGAGTCAATGAATATCTGGCTTAAAACCCTATGCGTTAACCCTTTTCTGTATCAAGTTCCATTGTATCAGCTGATCCTCCCAACAAATTCCTAGGGTATGATCATTCCCATTTGATAGATAAGGAAACAGAGACTCACAGTAAGTAACCTAAGGCTTTACAGCTTTTGCGCAGCCAAGGCTGGAGGTAGTCTACCTTCAGATCCTTTGACCTAACCACAGCTGTTCCAAAAGATACGGCGGGGGAGGGGGGGACAATGACACCCGGGGATAACAATTACAGACCACCGGTTGGAGAGGAGCTGACCCATCCCAGCATGTGACCGGCTCACAGCTCCAGAGGTCACCAGAGAGCTCTGAGCTGCTCCCTGGGGGAAGGGGCAGCCAGGCCTGTAGCACCTCAGGAGAGAAACAGGAAAGGGAGAAGGAGGCTGGTCCTGGGCATAGTGCCAGGCAGCAGTGGGCAGGTGGTGAAGGGACCCCTGACCTCCCGGGCCCAAGCACCCGCTTCGGGAACCAGCTCTGGACAGACACTGTCCAGCTTGCGGGGTGGGAGAGTTAGAGGCGTTCAGGAAAATCATTGCCTAGCGATGAATCACCGGGCACATGACCCCGCAGGGGAGGGGAGGGGAGGGTGCGGAACCGGCGCGGGAAGCGGTGGGGGCTTGGGGAGGGCAAGCCTCCGGCTCGGGCCCCCCTCCAGCCTCGACTTGGGGAGCAAAGGGAAGCCCCTCTCCCATGCAGCACCCCTCCTGGCAGCACCCCGCCTGCGGCGAAACTCACGGCCTTCAGCTGCTCCAGACGGTCCTTCATCCTGAAGCCCAGGCGCCCGGAGGCAGGTAGCGCGTCCCAGGTGAGCGCGTCCCAGGTGAGCGCTTCCCAGGTGAGCTGCCGGAAGCGGCGGCCGGGCCCGCCGGGGCGAAGGAGCTGGAGGCGCAGGCGGCGGCGGGCGGCGGCCGCTAGCTAGGAGGAGCGTCCGAGGCCACGGGAGCCTCCGCCGCGCAGCCCCCTCCGCCCCCACCGGCGCCTCGCGCTCCAAATCCGGCTCCCGGGCCGGCGCCGGCGCAGCGCTGATCCGCCCTGGACCCGCCCCTACCTGGCCGCGCCCCTCGCTCCTTCTTAAAGGGCCCGCGTCCCGCCACCGCCCGGCCGCCCGGGGCGTCTCCAAAGCCCCCTTCCCTAACCCGAGAGCCCTCCAGACACGCGTGGAGTCCGGGGAGAGGCCCCTGCACCGGCGGATCCTGCCGCAGGGCCGAGGAAGAGCAAGAGCGACTGTCTGGCTGCGGTCATTCGCTGTCTGTGCCGGGCTCCTCGCTAGGATCCAGTTCTTAGCCGACTCCTTGCTAGGCGGGGACAAGCTCCCGAAAACAAATAAGACAATGTGATGTGGGCTACATTGGGTGGCAGTCGAGTGTTCTAAAAATATCCCGCCAGGAGGAAGGCATTCCGAGTAGCGGGATCCCGCGCAGCCTCAGGGCTGCTGGCAGTGAAAGTGGGGGGATGGAGGAGGTGTCCAGAGGAAAGACCTGGAGATCTGGAGATACAGGACGGTCAGGGTGGTCAGAGAATTTGGATCTTTTGCTTGTTGGAAATCGGGACCGCTCCGAGAAACGTAAGCAGCTCGATGTTGTTAGTGCCAGTGGAGACACTTGGCACTCACAATTTGCAGACGTTTGGGAAAGCATCGTTTCTCAAGAGGACCCCGTTCCCGTGTCTGTAAATCAGAGATGGTACCCACTTCGTAGTTCGCTGTGAAGCCTGTGAGCGAGGAGGGGCTTTAAAATACAGAACTTTGCACTGGAGCGCTCCCCGTCCTCGCAGCCTGCTTGGTGTGCAGGTGGTTCCCAGGCGGCTTCTGCTTCCGAAAAGCAGATCGTCCCTTTATCTCGAGTCTTCTCCCCGCCTCTCCCTCTTCTCCCTACCCTATTTGTCTTCTTGGGAACAAATGGCACATTCATCAGAGTGGAGATCCATAAACGGGACTGGCGAGCCGAAGATTTAATTCTGAAGAATAGGATCTGCTCTGTGCTTTCAGGTTAAAAAGCTGTAAATATCTTTGTAATTCTAGCAGTACTTTGCCCTCTTCTGCCATCTGAACGCGTGCTCCCTGCTGACCTCATCGGCTCCCATAAAGATACGGTGCGTATGGCAGAGGTCGGGCTTTGAGCCGGCCCCGCGGGTCTCGGCCGTAGTTCTCTCTCGCGTCCGGCACACTTCCTTCTGCCCGCTGTGCTCGCTGGGCAGGTTGTCCCCGCCTTAGTACCAGGAGGGCTTCCGCGCCCCCTGGTGGTCATACTAGGAAAGGCGAGTAGATCAGAAATACACACTGTCCCACCTCCTTCCCCTAACACATTTTTGGGGAGTTTGGGGGTTGTTTGTTTGTTTGTTTGTTTGTTTGTTTGTTTTTTAGACAGAGTCTCATTCTGTTGCGCAAGTTGAGTGCAGTGGCGCGATCACCGCTCTCTGCAGCCTCGATCCCCTGGGCCCAACCCATCCTCCCATCTCAGCCTCCCAAGTAGCTGGGATTACAGGCGTGCGCCACTACGCCCGGCTAATTTTTGTGTTTTTTTCGTAGAGATAGGGTTTCGCCATGTTGCCCAGGCTGGTCTGGAACTCCTGTATTCAAGCCATCCGCCCGCCTCGGCCTCTCGAAGGGCTGGGATTACAGGCGTGCGCCACTGCGCCCTGCCCCTTAACAGATTTTTGTTAGTGGGAATACGTAGTTCCCCGCGCTTCAAGAAAATAGAGTCTTCCGCGAGAGGCCGAGATATGAACAACCCTTCACGTTAGGAATCTGAAAAGGACCATTGGGGTCTGGAGTAAAAAATTCTCTTTCCACAGCAGGAATCAAGGGTGGCCTGTCTGCCTCTGCTCAGAGGGTTCCTGTTACAGGATAATTGTTTTGAAAAGAGTAAAATCATGACTCCTCTACAAATATAAAATGCACACACATCAAAGACTTTAATTCATTAATGAATGAGGAGACCAGTAAAGCTAGCCCTGTCCAGAGGAAAACACAAAGTGTACACACATATATAGGCAATCAGGAATGCTGAAACGAACATGTTAATAAATGCACAACTGGCCGGGTGCAGTGGCTCATGCCTGTAATCCCAGCACTGTGGGAGGCTGAGGCGGGCAGATCACTTGAAGTTAGGAGTTCAAGACCAGCCTGGCCAACATCTTGAAACCTCATCTCTACTAAAAATACAAAAAATTAGCCGGGCGTGATAGTGCACGCCTACAAATCCCAGCTACTCGGGAGGCTGCGGCAGAAGAATCTCTGGAACCTGGGAAGCAGAGGTTGCAGTGAACTGAGATCACACCACTGCACTCCAGCCTGGACCACAGAGCAAAACTCTGTCTTAAAAATTATATTTTTAATAAAAATAAATAATAAATGCAGAACTGGCCTCGGGGTGCTGGGAGAGCAATTGCACTTCTACCAGGCATCTCTATGGACAAGAATCATTGGCATTCCTATGAATTTTCTACAACTTACCAAGTTGGAAAATAGCTGCAAGATTTTATAAGGCAAAAATCACTAAAAAATCAGGTAATCCAGAAAGGTGCTTTAGATAAGGCCTAGCATGCCACAGGACACCCAATAATTTTTGGAGTTTTTGCCATTTTAACTTTTTTAGTTTTTCCAGACATTCCCAAGGTGGCACCTTCCATAGTTGTACAGTTTCAACTGTGTTAAAATTTCTTTGTCGGGGACTGTTGTGGGGTGGGGGAACGGGGAGGGATAGCATTAGGAGATATACCTAATGCTAAGTGACGAGTTAATGGGTGCAGCACACCAACATGGCACATGTATACATATGTAACAAACCTGCACGTTATGTACATGTACGCTAAAACTTAAAGTATAATAATAATAAGAATTCTTTGTCAGCTTGGGCAACAGAGTGACACCCCATTTCTACAAAACATACATAAATCGAGCCAGGTGCAGTGACTCACGCCTGTAGTCCTAGCACTTTGGGAGGCTGAGGCAGGTGGATCATGAGGTCAGGAGATCGAGACCATCCTGGCCAACATGGTGAAATCCCGTCTCTACTAAAAATACAAAAATTAGCTGGGCGTGGTGGTGTGTGCTTGTAATCCCAGCTACTTGGGAGGCTGAGGCAGGAGAATTGCTTGAACCCAGGGGGTGGAGGCTGCAGTGAGAATTGCTTGAACCCGGGAGGCAGAGGTTGCAATGAGGCGAGATTGCGCCACTGCACTCCAGCCTGGTGACAGAGCGAGACTCCGTCTCAAAAAAAAAAAAAAAATTAGCCAGGTATAGTGGTGCTCACATGCAGTCCCCAGCTACTCAGTAGGCTGCGGTGCAGGATTGCTTGAGCCCAGAATTTTGAGGCTGCAGTGAACTATGATCACGGCACTGCACTCCAGGCTGGGTGACAGAGAGAGACATGTCTCAAAAAAAAAAAAAATTAAAAGTATATCTATTCCTTTAAAAAGAGGAACAGGATATTTATAATGAAGCACAGATAAAGGGCAATTGGATAATTGTGGCTTTAAACTCCTTGTAATTAAAGAAATAAGCCATCTAATGTATTTCCTCGTTTGAATGTTTGAATAGCCATACTGAATTTTACTGCACTTTTATAACTTTGTTTTGTCCTGATATCTCACAATCACTCAGGGAGGGAGTTAGGGTACATATTATTATCCCCATTTTATTATAAATTAAATTAAGTACAGAGAAATAAGATGATTTTCCCAAGCTCACATAGCATGCTGATAGACATGCTGCAAAAGGCAGTGGTTGCCTGCCCAGGCTGTGGAGCCAAACTACCCAGGTCAAATCTCAGTTCTACCACTAATGGTTGTGTGACCTTTGGCAATTGATTTAATGCCCCTGTGCCTCAATGTCCTTATCCGTAAGCAAAGATAATAATAATACCCATCTCAGCCGGGCGTGGTGGCTCACACCTGTAATCCCAGCACTTTGGGAGGCTGAGGCAGGTGGATCACTTGAGGCCAGGAGCTCAAGACCAGCCTGGCCAACATGGTGAAACCCTGTCTCTAAGAAAAATACAAAAATTAGCCAAGGGTGGTGGCTCATGCCTGTAATCCCAGCAACTCAGGCGGCTGAGGCATGAGAATTGCTTGAATCTGGAAGGAGGAGGTTGCAGTGAGCCAAGATTGCACCACTGCACTATAGCCTCAGTGACAGAGCAATACTCTGTTTCAAAAAACTAATAATGATAAATAATAATAATAGTACCCATTTCATGGGTTTTTGTGAAGATAAGTGAGTTAATATATACGAGAATTGTTAATTCCGTAATTCAATAACTTGAAAAAAAGTCTGCTAACCCTTTATAACTGCACTGCTTTTTCAGAGAGCACGGGAAACTGAGAAATGCCTGGAATATTTCATTCACAGATAAAATAATAACCATCTTGGTATTCAGAGTCAGCATTTTCCAACATAAGTTCAGCATTCTCCAACATAATGCTGCATTTATCAACATAAGTTCAACAACACAACCCACTTCAAGACGTCCTCCAAAGAAAAAAGAGTTTGGAAAACATCGCAAAATAAATCCCTCAGCTTAGGGAATCATGACCACACATTTGCGGGAGAAAGGGGAGGGGAATGAATAGTCGTGGGGAGAACAGTTTGGAGGCAGACTGATACAGAGCCAGTGATTCATATGGAGACCAATAAGCTCTGGTATAAAGGTAAGAAAAGAGATCGGGTGTGGTGGCTCACACCTGTAATCCCAGCACTTTGGGAGGTCAAGGTGGGCAGATCAACTGAGGTCAGGAGTTCGAGACCAGCCTGGCCAACATGGTGAAACCCCGTCTTTACTAAAAATACAAAAATTAGCCAGGTCTGGTGGTGTGGCACCTGTAGTCCCAGCTACTTGGGAGGCTGAGACGGGAGAATGCTTGAACTCGGGGGGTGGAGGCTGCAGTGAGCCAAGATTGCACCACTGCACTCCAGACTGGGCAACACAGCAAGACTCTTATCTAAAAAAAAAAAAACAAGAATAGAGAAGCTACCGAAACTCCAAGACTCCGATATTTTCTCCATCACCTTTCCCTGGAATAGAAATTAGGATGAAAGATTATTAATTCAAAAAAAAGCACAAACTCAGTGGTCCCAGTTTCATTTGAATCCTATTCCTGGCTTAGCCCCACGTGTGCACTGTTTGGGCCTGCTGAGAACCTGAGAACAACATCTGGAGATAAATCCAAGGTAGGGCAGATTTTACATGATGATGAAGATGGCAATAACCACATTTACTGCCATATCTCCCTTTTTTTTTTTTTTTTTTTAGATGGAGTCTCACTCTTGTTGTCCAGGCTGGAGTGCAGTGGTGCAATCTTGGCTCACTGCAGCCTCTGCCTCCTGGTGATTCTCCTGCCTCATCCTCCCACGTAGCTGGGATTATAGGCACCCGCCACCATGCCAGGCTAATTTTTGTATTTTTAGTAGAGACAGGGTTTCACCAGGTTGGCCAGGCTGGTTTTGAACTCCTGACCTCAGGTGATCCACCCACCTCAGCCTCCTAAAGTGCTGGGATTACAGGCGTGAGCCACTGTGCCCCGCCCATATCTCCCTTTAAAAGTCACAAAGTACTTTCACTTAATATATCTATTGATCCTCAGAAGTACCCCCAGAATTTAGATCCTGCAGGTAGTTTAATCTCTATTTTGGAGGTGAAGAACCTGAGGCTGGGAAATGGAAAATGACTTTTCAAAAATAATATAACTAAGAACTAACAGTATAAAACACAATCAACTGTTGTGCCCCTTCTCCTTATCTTTCTGGCAGTATGCCATGTGTCTCTGCCCAGCAGTATTGAAGAGTGGCATGTGTTTAGAGCAGCGGGACCCTCGTCATTGCTCTCTTCAAAGCATCCTTAAGTTCTGTGTTCCTCATGCTGTAGATCAAAGGGTTCAGCACAGGGGTAATGAAGGTGTAAACCACAGACACTGCCTGGCCCCTCTCAGGATAGTAGCTAGAGCTGGGACACAAGAAGGCGAGGCGTGTACATCAGTCCTGGAGGAGAACCACAGTCAGGTGGGAGGAAAGGTGGAGAAGGCCTTGTGCCTCCCCTCTGCAGAGCAAATCTTCAAGATGGCGGCCATGATGGAGACATAGGAAAGAGTGATGAGCAGGAAGGGGACGGTGAGAAAGGTGGTGCTGACCATAGACATAGTGGCCTCATGGACCCAGGTATCTGCACAGGCCAGTCTCATGACAGGGAGGACATCACAGTAGAACGTGCTGATTTCTTTGCTGCTGCATAAAGGGAGTTGGAAGATAAGCACGGTCAGCTGCATGGCTAAGAAGAACCCCAACAGCAGAGACCCCAGGGTCAGCTGGACACACAACCTCCAGCTCATGATGAGGCCGTAACAGAGAGGACAACAGATGGCCACAAACCAGTCAAAGGCCATGACGGCCAGCAGGATGCAGTCAGCCCTTCCCAGGAAGATGAAGAAGAACATCTGGCCTCCACAGCCGGGCAGGGAAATGAGGTTTCTCCCCATGGGTAGGACATTGGCCAGAGTCAGAGGGGCAATGGTGAAAAAGTAGAAGATCTCCAGACCTGCAAAGTTTGTCAGGAAGAAGTACATGGAGGCTGGGCACGGTAGCTCATGCCTGTAATCCCAGCATTTTGGGAGGCAGAGGCGGGTGGATCACCTGAGGTCAGGAGTTCAAGACCAGCCTGGTCAACATGGTGAAACCCCATCTCTACTAAGAATACAAAAATTAGATGGGTGTGGTGGCATGCCCCTGTAATCCCAGCTTCTAGGGAGGCTGAGGCGGGAGAATTGCTTGAACCCAGGAGGTGGAGTTGCAGTGAGCCGAGATTGAGCCATTGCATTCCAGCCTGGGTGACAAAGTGAGACCCTGCCTTTAAAAAACAAACAAACAAACAAACAAACAAAACTGCATTCTTTTAAAGGCTGAATAATACTCCATTGTATGTATATGCTACCTTTTGTTTACCCATTCTTCTGCTCATGGACACTGAACTATTTCCACTTTTTAGCTATTTTGAATAATGCTGCTAGGAACATTGGTGCACAAATACCTCTTTGAGTCAGCACTGAAATTTAAAACACACTATACCATTCCCAGACCACAAAGCCCTCTACTTCTATCTCTTGCCTGGTTGTCAAGAGTACAGCCTCTAGTCTAGGTTCTAATTCCTGGGCTGATTGACCAAGAGTATGACCTCGGATAACCTGTTGAAGATTTCTGCTGCAACTTCTTTATCTATAAATATAACGGTAGGACGCAGCTCAAAAAACTTGTTGTGAGAATAAGTGTATCTGGCTCCCAGTCAGCTCTTCATAAATGTTAGCAATAATCATTAATACTATGAAGTGAGCTTGCTGGGAAATGTCTCAGGATGTGCTAGGGAGGCTGAATGTTGCCTCCTTGGTTCCCTTTTCCCACCTCTTGGGAAACAGGGGATATAGGGAGAAACTTCACAGCTAGACCACCTGGGTCCCATATTTTGGGGTTTTTACCAAAGTGTTTTTGTCTGTGGATAGTTGCTAGTTGACCTTTCTGTGGGGGGAGTGAGGCCTGGGACCCCCTAGTTCACCATTTATTGATGCCACTCATAATGTCTGTTTTGAAGACTTACTTGTTGTTAGTATCATTAGCATATAATGTCACTTCATTAGCTCCAGGCGGTTAAACTACTGTAAATGTTTCAATTCATTTGTAACTCCACACCAGGAAGTCCCTCACAGGGTTAGGAAATCCCAAAGCCCATAGGGTTCACTGGTCCATTCCCCAGGGTTTAGACCACATAACAGCCCAATCAGCCCAGTCTTCCCTTTACCCTTCCTTGTCTCCTGCCCAGAGAGGCTGATGATCACATCCTTACCAGAAACTGAGTAGAGCCCGAGGTAGAATCTTCT
This sequence comes from Homo sapiens, assembly GCF_000001405.40. Taxonomy (NCBI): domain Eukaryota; kingdom Metazoa; phylum Chordata; class Mammalia; order Primates; family Hominidae; genus Homo; species Homo sapiens. Next base: position 59,747,511 of record NC_000011.10, on the reverse strand, counting down.
CCTTTACTATCTTGGGAACCATGGAGTCAAATCTCGATAAACCGCCTTTCACCGAGGGAAGCACACATTTAGATTCTGTTAGTCCTTTCCTGCTGCTGCTTCAAAAGAGAAGGCGGTGGGGCTTTCATTGTAGGTTCTTTCTCAACTCTCTCTCCTTCTCATATCATTTCTGGAGAATTCCCTGCCTAATTTGGTTCAGTAAAGCCCCAAGAGGATAACTTAGCTTTCAACTTGACCATCCCCAGTAGGGTTAAAGTTTGAACACAAACAGGAATTGCTTAAAGACAAGATAGTCTAAACTGGTTTAATTGTTACTGGACATATATATATATATATTTGAGACAGAGTATCGCTCTGTTGCCCAGGCTGGAGTGCAGTGGTGCGATCTCAGCTCACTGCAACCTCCACCTCCCGGGTTCAAGCAATTCTCCTGTCTCAGCCTCCCAAGTAGCTGGGACTACAGGCACACACCACCACGCCCAGCTAACTTTTGTATTTTTAATAGAGACGGGGTTTCACCATATTGGTCAGGCTGGTCTCGAACTCCTGACCTCAGGTGATCCACCCACCTCGGCCTCCCAAAGTGCTGGGATTAAAGGCGTGAGCCACTGTGCCCAGGCTAGACTTAGCTAGCTCTATTTTAATCATTGCTTAAGTTTTTATTCTCCACATTTAAGATAAGTTTGGCAAGATAGCCAGCTTTAATTCATCAAGGCAGAGGCTAATTTTGTGCACCTAGACAAATTCTCAGAATCTTCAAATTTCAGCCAAGTGTCTCCTGTCAAATGAAGCTTAATTCTGATATATACTTTCCCCCACCCTCCTCCAAGAAGGAAAAATTATTCCATGTTTCATGCTCTGTACTGGCTTTGTGCCCACCCCAATTACAGCAGTTATCACTCTGCGATATCATAGGACTTGTTGCTCCACCTCTACCAGGATAGGTCCTCAAAGAGAGTAACTTATTCAGCTAGATATTGCATTGCATTTTCTCATGTGGTGCTAAGCATATAGCACATGTTTAGCATTCATTGATTGCAGAACATTATGTCATTGGACATTCCTTCATTCATTCATCTAATGTTGTTCAAGACCATACACACTTTTTATAAATGAAGCGTTTTATGCAAACTGCTGATATTGATACCTGGTCAAGATTGTATAAAATATAGAAAATAGGTCAGGGGTGGTGGCTCACAAATGCAATGTCAGCAATCTGGGAGGCTGCGGCAGAAAGATCACTTGAGCCCAGGAGTTTGAGACCAGCCTGGGCAACATAGCAAGACCTTATCTCTACAAAAAAAAAAAAAAGAAAAATTTATTTTTAATTAGCCCATTGTGGTGGTGCACACCTGTAGTCCCAGCAACATGGAAGACTGAGACAAGAGGATCCTCTGAGCCCAGGAGTTTGAGGCTGCAGTGAGCTGTGATGACACCACTGCACTCCAGCATGGGTGACAGAGTGAGACCCTATCTCTTAAAAAAAAAAAAAAGGAAAAAATAAAATTTCCAAACTTGCATTATTCATGAACAACCTTCATGACTTATATTTTATCTCAGTTATTGATATTATTTACTTAACATTTTTCTTAAATTCAACTCACTCACTTTTTGTTACATAACAATGTGTATTGTACTATTTATATATATTTATCCCTCACTTATAAATAAACACAAAAGATGTTTAAATCCTTATTCATGTAGAACCTAAAACTTTCACTTCCTATACCAATAGCTCTGAAAACTCTGGAATCATTGTTGAAAAGAAGGACTTACAGGGTGTGTGTGTGTCTGTGTGTGTGTGTGTGTGTGTGTGTGTGTGTGAGAGAGAGAGAGAGAGAGAGAGAGAGAGAAAATTTGGCAGGAATTTTTCAAAGCAGTCTTGAAAAAAAATACAAGACCTTTCCTTAAGAAACAGTCACCACCCATTTAAGAGTGTATGTGAATCCTGGGCTGGGATATATTTTAAGGACATACAAGTGGTCAAGTGTCCACTCAAACAAAACCATTTTATTGCATTAGAGCAGTAATTGCAAGCTGCTGGCCTACAGGCTACAGACCATGAATAAGCTTTCGGATGGGTTGTGTTTCAAGGTTTTGTTCTACTGCCCAGTGCTTCAGGATGCACGTGGTGGAGCAGCTGCCATGTTTGAGTTGCAATTCAATTTATTTATTTATTTTTATTTATTTTTTATTTTTTATTTTATTTTATTTGAGACGGAGTCTCACTCTGTTGCCCAGGCTGGAGTGCAGTGGTGTGATCTCGGCTCACTGCAACCTCTGCTGCCCCCAAGGTTCAAGCAATTCCCCTGCCTCAGCCTCCCAAGTAGCTGGGATTACAGGCGCCTGCTGCCACCACGCCAGGCTAATTTTTGTATTTTTAGTAGAGACGGGGTTTCACCATGTTGGCCAGCTGGTCTTGAATCCCTGACCTCAGGTGATCCACCACCTCTGCCTCCCAAAGTGCTAGGATTACAGGCGTGAGCCACCAAGCCCAGCCACAGTTCAATTTATTTGGAGTCTACACTCTTTCTGCTAAAGCCAGAAAAACAGTCTCTGCATAACACAGAAAGCAATATTTAAAACAAATTTTTATATAATGGTTATACATATTTGGGGGGTACATGTGATATTTTGATAGCTGTATACATGTGTAATGATCAAACGGGGTAATTGGAATATCCATCACCTCAAATATTTATCTTTGTGTTGGGAACATTACAATTCTTCTCTTCTAGCTACTTTGAAATATACGATCAATTATTGTTACTGTAATTTCCCCACTCTACTATTGAACACTAGAACTTATTCCACCTATCTAACTGTATTTTTGCACGTCTTCACGAACTTCTCTTCATCCTCCCTCCCTGCTTCCATTCTCAGTCTCTGGCAACCACCATTCTATTGTCTACCTCCATGAGATCCACTTTTTTTAGCTCCTACATATGAGTGAGAAAGTGTGATATTTGTTTTTCTGTGCGAAGGCACTACTTGACAGTACTTTATTAATTCCAACCACACAAAATATTTTTAACCTTCTCTTTCTTCTTTAAGTTCTACATTTCATTATCCCTTCTCTTTCCTTTTCTTTTGCCTGTCTTTTTCTCCATTATCTATGCCTCTAAGTATGGTTCTCTATTTGCTGAATTTTTTTTTTTTTTTTTTGAGATGGAGTCTCACTCTGTTACCCAGGCTGGAGTTCAGTGGCGCAATCTTGGCTCACGGCAACCTCCACCTCCCGGGTTCAAGGGATTCTCCTGCCTCAAACTCCTGAGTAGCTGGGATTACAGGCAACTGCCATATCACCTGGCTAATTTTTGTATTTTTAGTAGACACGGAGTTTCACTATGTTGGCAGGCTGGTCTCGAACTCCTGACGTCAGGTGATCTGCCTGCCTCAGCCTCCCAAAGTGCTGGGATTACAGGCCTGAGCCACCGCACCCAGCCTATTTGCTGAATTTAATGTGCCTTTAATGGTTCCCTATTTGCTGAATTCAATGTACAAATGAAAACTCATTTTTTAAAAAAGCTTCAGGGAGAAAAGTCTATTGACTCCTTTGCAAGTGGCACCAGCCCTTAGCCATTTTCTGGCCCATCTTCTAGAATCAGACTCCAGGGAGTTTGGAAGAGAAAGTGATGGGATCCCAGGCGACTATGAGGCTATTACTATGATCAATGGATCATTTTCTCCCACATTCCCCATTGATTTACTGAGAGCCTCTAGCTGACCCCATCATTTCAACCTGAGTCTCCCAAATGCAACCACTAACCCCAGTGGACACAGTTGGCAAGTATGGGCTGTGTCTCTATGGCTTGAATGGGGGCCCAGCCAAGCTTGCTATTGGTAAATGAGGCCTCAACAAACACCTACATCTCCCCTCTCTAAGAATAGTAAGCATTTACACTCCAGTAAATGTTCTATGCCCCTAAAGATCTTTTTATTTATTTTTATTTCTATTTATTTATCTATTTATCTACTTATTTTAGAGATAAGGTCTTACTATATTGCCCAGGCTGATCTCGAACTCCTGGGCTCAAGCAATCTTCCTGCCTCAGACTCCTGGATTGCTTCAAATTACAGGTATGAGCCACTGCTAAAAGCTAAGAGTGAGGAGTGAATTTCACTTCAAAAAATTAGTAAATCATTGTATTTTTAGTGTTTTCTTCTTGAAATTTTTTGGTTTCTAGGTGAAACTTACCTGGGTAACAATCAAACCTTAAAATATATCTAAAGGAATTGTGTTCAGTAATGCAAAGATGGACATGAGCCTAACAATTTGCATTTTCAGTTTGCTCATGGGCCAGGTGCCCAACACTTTGGGAAGAGAGGTAGGAGGACTGCTTGCATCCAGGAGTTAGAGACCAGCCTGGGTCACATAGTAAGACCCCATCTCTACAAAAAAAAAAAAAAAATTAGTCAAGTCTGGTGACATGCACCTGTAGTCCCAGCTACTCAGGGGGCTGAAATGGAAGGATCGCTTGAGCCCAGGAGTTAAAGACTGCAGTAAGCCATGATCATGCCACTGCACTGCAGCCTGAGTGACAGGGCAAGATCCTGTCTCAAAAAAAAAAAAACAGTTTGCTTATGAGTTGATGTCTACAGCCTGGATTCTGTTACAGTAGACTTACTTCATTCAGCACTAAAGGACCATTCCACCTAGTACCATTTCCTTAAGTCTTTGCTGTTGGTTATTTACATAACCATTTCTCTAAAAGTATTCCCAGAAGATTGTCTTCATTCGGCTAAATTCATAGGTGGTTAAAGAAAGAGTTCTCATGATCAAATGTTTTGGGAAGCTCCAACCCTACAAAGATTGTTTCACTCTAGGATGCCCCAGATGAAGTGCATGTGAGTCTTCAAGAGGAAAGCAGTGTTAGTATGCACTTTTCTCCTCTTAGCCATGGAATTTTTTTTTACCAGTCATTTGAGGAAAGTAGGCACCTGAAAGTAAGCCAGCATTTTAAGAAATGCTGATTTATTCTGTTCTAGAAGAGAAGATGATACACCTCTTACGGTAACTCCTTTTCAGCAGCATTTGAGAATTCTGATATCTTGTGGCTACTGGAACTTGACACACTTGCCTTCTTAGCTAATAGTCACCTAAATAATGTAAATGCATTTCAGAAAGAAAAGAGAAATGGATTTTGTTTGTAGGAAGCAACAGAATCAAGACCCCAAGTCATCTGAGATCAGACTTAGCAATTTATATAGGACTATTAGGTCCACGGTCTCACTTGATGGTACTTTCAACAGGCCTCACAAGCAGGCTGATTTTAGAGATGAAAAAAGACATTGTGTCTTCACAGCCAGAAAAGGGATACAGCAACAAAAGGAGAGTCAATAGAATTTACAACAATTCCTGACACTTAGGTGTCTTTTTTCCCTTAACTTCTGTATGGTTCATTCAGTTTTCTTTTCCAGGTAGAAATAGCTTCTTGATCAACAATATCCAGAAAGAGTCAATGTGTTCTGAGCAGCAAGAACCTTGCAATTTCTTCTTTTTTTTTAAGAGCATGCTTGAGTTCCTTCTTCCTCATGCTGCAGATCAAGGGGTTTGGCACAGGAGTGATGCATGTGTAAACCGTAGACACTACCTTGCCCCTCTCATAAGAGAAGATGGAGCTGGGGCACAAATAGGTGAGGCTTGTTCATTGTGCTGGAGGAGAATTAAACCAGGTGGAAGGAGCAGGTGGGAAAAGCCTTGTGCCTCCCCTCTGCAGAGCGGATATCAGGATGGCAGCCACAATGAAGAAGTAGGAGAGTGTGATGAGGAGTTAGGAACAATTAGGACATCGACACTGACCATATGATTTGTGTTATAATTTAACATTTACAAAGTTTCATTTATATTTCATTTCAATCCTATAATACTTAGTATCTTGGGCTATGGTTAACATTCAGCTCTGCAGATGGCAAAACCACAATTCACAGAGGTGAAATGATTTTTCCAAGCTTGCACAGTTCATCAGTGGCTGATGTGGGATTTTAACCTAGACTTTTGACTTTATATGTGGATCTTCCTCCACTATTGTGGGTAATCAGCAAAAAGAGACCGTGAGTGTCAGAGGGGGGCCACCTAAAGCTGAGCTATGGCCTGCCTGACATCTTTAGTTTAAAAAAAGAAAGTTGGCTGGGCATGGTGGCTCATGCCTGTAATCCCAGCACTTTGGGAGGCCAAGGTGGGAGGACTGCCATACCCGACTAATTTTTGTATTTTTAGTAGAGACAGGGTTTCACCATGTTGGCCAGGATGGTCTCAAACACCTGACCTCAGGTGATCTGCCCACCTCAGCCTCCCAAAGTGCTGGGATTACAGGTGTGAGCCACCACACCCGGCCAGGAGTAGCTCTTCTTATATCAGACTAAACAAACTTTAAAGCAACAGCAGTTAAAAGAGACAAAGAGGGACATTATATAATGACAAAAGGACTGTCCAACAGGAAAATACACAATTCTAAATATATACGCATCTAACACATTGGAGCTCCCAAATTTATAAAACAGTTACTACTGGACCTAAGAAATGAGATAGACGTCAACACAATAATAGTGGGAGACATTAATACTCCACTGACAGCACTAGCCAGGTCAACAAGACAGAAAGTCAACAGAGAAACAAGGGACCTAAACTATACCTTACAGCAAATAGATGTAACAGATATTTATAGAACATTCTACCCAACAACTCCAAAATATACATTCTATTCATCAGCGCATGGAACATTCTCCAGGATAGGCCATATGATAGGCCACAAAACAATTCTCAGTAAATCGAAATTACATCAAGTACTCTCTCAGTGGAATAAAATTGGAAATCAACCATGTATTTGCATGTTTAAGGAACCCTTAAACATGCAAATACATGGAAATTAAATAACCTGCTCCTGAATGATCGTTGGGGCAACAATGAAATCAAGATGGGAATTTAAAAATTCTTTGAACTGAATGATAATAGTGACACAACCTATCAAAACCTCTGGGATACAGCAAAAGTGGTGCTAAGATGAAAGTTCAGAGCATTAAATGCCTACATCAAAAAGTCTGAAGAAGCACAAATAGACAATCTAAGGTCACACCTCACAGAACTGGAGAAACAAGAACAATCCAAACCCAAACCCAGCAGAAGAAAAGAAATAACGAAGATCAGAACAGAACTAAATGAAATTGAAACAAACAAACAAGAAATACAAAAGATAAATGAAACAAAAAGCTGGTTCTTTGAAAAAAATAAGTAAAATTGATAGGCTAGGGGTGATGGCTCATGCCTGTAATCCCAGCATTTTGGGAGACTGAAGTGGGCGGATCACCTGAGGTCAAGAAATCGAGATCAGCTTGGCCAACATGGCAAAACCTCATCGCTACTAAAAAGACAAAAAATTAGACAGGTGTGGTGGCATGGGCCTGCAGTTCCAGCCACTCGGGAGGCTGAGGTAGGAGAATCACTTGAACCCAGGAAGCAGAGGTTGCAGTGAGCCAAGATTGCACCACTGCACGGCAGCCTGAATGACAGAGCAAGACTCTGTCTCAACAAATTAAAATAAAATTGATAGACCATTAGCGAGATTAACAAAGAAGACAGAAGATCCAAATAAGCCCAGTTAGGAACAAAACAGGAGATAGTACAACTGATACCACAGAAATACAAAAGATTATTCAAGGCTTCTATGAATACCTTGAAATGTATTAACTAGAAAACCTAGAGGAAATGAATAAACTCCTAGATATATACAACCCTCCCAGATTAAACCAGGAAGATATAGAATCTCTGAACAGACCAATAACAAGCAGTGAGATTGAAATGGTAACCAAAAAATTGCTGACAAGAAAAAGTCTAGGACCAGACAGATTCACAGCTGAATTCTATCAGACATTCAAAGAAGAATAGGTACCAATCCTATTGACACTATTCCAAAAGATACAGAAAGAGGAAATCCTCCTAAATCATTCTATGAATCCAGTGTCACCCTAATACCAAAACCAGGAAAGGACATAGCAAAAAAAGAAAACTACAGACCAATATCTCTGATGAACATAGGTCTCATGAACATATCCTCAACAAAATACTAGTGAACCGAATCCAACAGTGTATCAAAAAGATAATTCACCATGATCAAGTGGGTTTCATACCAGGGAGGCAGGGATGGTTTAACATATGTAAATCAATAAATGTGATACACCACATAAGCAGAATTAAAATAAAAAATCACAGGATCATCTCAATAGATGCAGAAAGAGCATTTGACAAAATCCAGCATCCCTTTATGATTAAAAGAAATTGGCATAGAAGGGATATACCTTAAAGTAATAAAAGCCATCTAAGACAAACCCACAGCTAACATTATACTGAATGGTGAAAAGGTGAAAGCATTCTCCCTGAGAACTGGAAAAAGACATGGATGCCCACTCTCACCACTTCTCTTCAACATAGTACTGGAAGTCCTAGCCAGAGCAATCAGACAAGAGAATTAAATAAAGGGCATCCAAATTGGTAAAGAGGAAGTCAAACTGTTGCTGTTTGCTGATGATATGATTGTATACCTAGAAAACCCTAAAGACTCATCCAAAAAACTCCTAGAACTGGTAAATGAATTCAGTAATGTTTCAGGATACAAAATTAACATACACAAGTCAGTAGCTCTGCTATATACCAACAGTGATGTAGCTGAGAATCAAATCAAGAACTCAACCCCTTTCACAATAGCTGCAAAAATAATACTCAGTAATACACCTGACCAAGGACATGAAAGACCTCTACAAGGAAAACTACAAAGCACTGCTGAAAGAAATCATAGATGACACAAACAAATGGAAACACATCCCATGCTCATGGATGGTTAGAATCAATATTGTGAAAGTGATCCTTCTGCCAAAAGCAATCTATAAATTAATTGCAATTTCCATCAAAATACCACCATCATTCTTCACAGAACTGAAAAAACAATCCTAAAATTCATACAGAACCAAAAAAGAGCCCACATAGCCAAAGCAAGACTAAGCAAAAAGAACAAATCTGGAGGCGTCACATTACCCAACTTCAAACTATACTATAAGACCATAGCCAGCAAAACAGCATGGTACTGGTATAAAAATAGGCACATAGACCAACAGAATAGAATGGAGAACCCAGAAATAAACCCAAATACTTACAGCCAACTGCTGTTTGACAAAGCAAACAAAAACACAAAGTGGGGAAAGGACACCCTATTCAACAAATAGTTCTGGGATAATTGGCAAGCCACATGTGGAGGAATGAAACTGGATCCTCCTCTGTCACCTTATACAAAAATCAACTCAAGATGGTTTAAGGACTTTAAGACCTGAAACCATAAAGCTTCTGGAAGATAGCATGAGAAAAACACACTTCTAGACATTGGCTTGGGCAAAGACTTTATGACCAAGAACCCAAAAGCAAATGCAACAAAAACAAAGATAAAGAGATGGGGCTTAATTAAAATAAAAAGCTTCTGCACACAAAAGAAATAATCAGCAGAGGCCAGGCGCAGTGTCTCATGCCTGTAATCCTAGCACTTTGGGAAGCCAAAGTGGGCAAATCACTTGAGGTCAGGAGTTCAAGACCAGCCTGGCCAACATGGCCAAGATTGACCCACCACACTCCGGCCTTGGTGACAGAGCGAGATTTCATCTGAAAAAAAAAAAAAAGATATAATCGGCAGAGTTAACAGACAACCCACAGAGTGAGAGAAAATCTTCATAATCCATACATTCAACAAAGGACTAATATCAAGAATCTACAAAGAACTCAAACAAATCAGTGAGAAAAAAACAAACAATCCCGTCAAAAAGTAGGCTAAGGGCATGAATACACAATTCTCAAAAGAAGATATACAAATGGCCAGCAAGCATATGGAAAAATGCTCAACATCACTAATGATCAGGGAAATGCAAATCAAAACCACAATGCGATACCACCTCACTCCTGCAAGAATGACCATAATCAAAAAATAAAAAAAAATAGATGTTGGCGTGGATGCAGTAAAAAGGGAACACTTTTACACTGTTGGTGGGAATGTAAACTAGTAAAACCCCTATGGTAAACAGTGTGGAGATCCTTAAAGGACTAGAAGTAGAACTACTGTTTCATCCAGCAATCCCACTACTAGGTATCTGGTAGATACCTAGAGGAAAATAAGTTATTATATGAAAAGACACTTGCACATGCACGTTTATAGCAGCGCAGTTTGCAATTTCAAAAATATAGAACCAGCCCAAATGCCCATCAATGAACGAGTGGATAAAGAAAATGTTATATATATATACCATGGAATACTACTCAGCCATAAAAAGGAATGAATTAATGGCATTCGCAGCAACATGGATGGAATTGCAGACTATTATTCTAAGTGAAGTACCTCAGGAATGGAAAACCAAACATCATATGTTCTCACTCATATATGAGAGTTAAGCTATGAGGGCGCAAAGGCATGAGAATGACGCATTGGACTTTTGGGACTCAGGGGAAAGGGTGCGGGGTGGTGAGGGATAAAAGACTACACATTGGGTAGGTGTAGGCGCTTAGATGGTGGGTGCGCCAAAATCTCAGAAATCACCACTAACAAACTTATTCACGTAACCAAACACCACCTGTTCCCCAAAAACTTATTGAAATAAAAATATTTTTTAAAGAAATGAAAACCAATCATGTCCAAATCTTGTACACTAAATGTAAAACTTCTTACTCATTATTATTGCAGAATATAGGTGTTCCAGCTCTTGGGTAGAAACTATAATCAGAAATTTTCTCGTTTCCAATTCCTATCAAGATCCTGGTTGAGTAAAACAGCGTTTGTGGGGCATTTCTTGAAACGCTGGCTAATCAGGCTCTGATAATTTAGGTTTATTCCCTAAAATCAAGTTAGACAATCAAATAGCTGTATCCTTTTACTGGTTGTGATGGCCCGTTACAGAACTGCTTGAAGTGCCTTGTATGTCAATGACACACCATTAGCCTACATTGAGAATTAGTGGTTAAGGTCGCAGGCTCTGGAGTGAGGCTGAGCCAGCACTTACTACCTGTGTAATCTTGGGAAATTTGCTTACTCTCTCTGAGCCTCAGTTCTTTATGTGTAAAATGGGAATGATAATTGTACTTACCTCATAAGATTTTGTGGACTCAAATGAATTAACATGTACTAAGCACCTAAAACAATGATACATACTTAAATGCCCAATAAAAGACAGCTAGTGTTATTATCATTGCTGATGTGTTTTAATATATGGTATATTCTCCTTTGAAAACTGTAGGAAAAGACCCTTTTACATCTAAGGTTATGCCAAAAAAGTTAGATTTCTTCATATATTTGTATGTTATTATATGAACTTTAAAATTCTCAAATTTAATTGTGTTTTATTCTTTCTCTTGGCTACTGGGAAGCTCAGATGCCTATAGCTGGCCACTGTCTAAACCGCAGAGGAGCACATGCTTTGCCTTTCTGCATAGCAATCTTACTACTGTATTTTTTACTATCCTGATGGATTTTTTTCTTTACCCCAATCTTCTTGACCATGTGTTTTTAACTTTTGGATTAGATGTATCTTTAAGCTGCTTCAAATCTTTTGTGGAAGGAGATTGGGAATAGAATAGATGAAAAATAGAGAAGTAATTTATTAAGTTCAACAAATGCCATTGTTATAGATAAAATATTTATCAAATCTTCTCCACATTAGCACTATTAAAAATACTTGTGCTCAGCACTATGGTTGATCCTTGTAATCCCAAAAACTCAGGAAGCTGAGGTGGGAGAATCACTTTAGGCCAGGAGCTCAAGGCTGCAGTGAGCCATGATTATGCCACTGCCCTCCAGCCTGGATGAGAGAGTGAGACCCTGACTCTAAAAAATAAAATAAAATAAATAAAATGCTTGTATGACCCTTCACTTCTTAATGTTGTTGCCCAGCCAAGGACCCCAAGAATTCTTGCCACTGGGTTTCCATATTGGTTTTCTTCATTTTTTCCCTTTTTTGTATATTGCACGATTAGATATGGGATAGAGTGGCTTCTATCATCTATTGCATTGCATTTGCCACATCGAGAAGATAATGAGGGGCCAGGCATGGTGGCTCACACCTGTAATCCTAGCACTTTGGGATGCCATGGTAGGCGGATCATTCGAGGTCAGGAGTTTGAGACCAGCCTGACCAACATGGTGAAACCCCGTCTCTACTAAAAATACAAAAAAAATTAGCCAGGTATGGTGGCGCACGCCTGTAGTCCCAGCTACTCAGGAGGCTGAGGCAGGAGAATCACTTGAACTCAGGAGGCGGAGGTTGCAGTGAGTCAAGATTGCACCACTGCACTCCAGCCTGGGTGACAGAGGGAGACTCCATATCGAAAGAAAAAGAAAAAAAGCAGAAGAGAATGGAGACTATTTTCTTTTATCTTATTAAGGAAGGTATCTTGAAAATATCTTTCCCTACTCCTAATCTTCCATTTGAGCCTCTCCACCAATCTCTGTAACAACCCTGCTCATTGCCTATTGCGGTTTTGGCATTCCCCTGGAAGGATTGCAGGATCCAATATACTGCCATAAGAAGTAGCTGACTCTACTACTCACTTTGGGAAGAGCTGATATGACCTTCAGGAAGGTGAGACTTACACAACTTAGCGAGAGCTATTCAGTTGCAAGTGACTAAGAACCTTAAAGATACACACACACATATACACACACACGGCTTATTGTGTACTTTCCTATTATATTTTTGCATACCCATTATCTCATTTGACTATCATTCCAGTCCTTTGAGGTAGGAAAGCTGCCATTATTATTATTATTATCCCCTTTTTACATAAAGGAAAGATTAGAGCTCAAGTCTGTGCCCTGGACCCTAAGGCTAAGCACTTACTATGTGCCCAGCACTGTGCCAGAAAATACACAGAAAAAGTAAGCCATTTCTTCTGACCCAAGGGGCCTTATAGGCATATTATAGAGGCAATACCAAAATATATGAAACTCAGTTTATAGAAAGAAGTATGATTTAATGAAAAGAGAAAGATCACCACCAGATAGAGTTGCCAGGCAGATTTTCTTGAGGCAGTGGAACTTGAGCAGGCCTTAAAAGACAAAGGGTCAAAAAGACATACGGATATGTAAATCCATTGGGTCTGCATGCCTTCAGGGCTGTAGGCCCTCAAAACAGCAGACAGGATGGCATCCACTCTACCACCTGCTCCCACCAATCCATCCATCCATTCATTCATTCATTCTTTTTTTTTTCTTTTGAGATGGAGTCTCACTCTGTCGCCTAGGCTGGAGTGCAGTGGTGCAATCTCGGCTCACTGCAAGCTCTGCCTCCCGGGTTCATGCCATTCTCCTGCCTCAGCCTCCCAAGTAGCTGGGACTACAGGCACCCACCACCACACCTGGCTAATTTTTTTGTATTTTTAGTAGAGATGGGGTTTCACCATGTTAGCCAGGATGGTCTTGATCTCCTGACCTCGTGATCTGCCTGCCTCGGCCTCCCAAAGAGCTGGGATTACAGGCGTGAGCCACCACGCCCGGCCACATTCATTCTTTTATTCATTGACCTTCCTGTGCCAGTCCTTATTCTAAGCCCTATGGTGGAAGAGGAGTTTGTGGAGGTGGTAGTATCAGAGGCGTTTGAATCACAGCAACTCCATCTTGAATAGGGGCTGGGCAAAATAAGGCTGAAACCTACTGGGCTGCATTCCTAGGAGTTTAAGCATTCTAAGACATAGGCTGTGATAGGAGGTCAGCACAAGTTACAGGTCACAAAGACTTTGCTGATAAAACAGCATATGGTAAAGAAGCCAGCCAAATCCCACCAAAACTAAAATGGCGATGCAATGAAAGTGACCTCTGGTCATTCTCACTGCTCATTATACACTAATTATAATGCATTAGCATGCTAGAGGACACTCCTACTCTTCCCGGACCAAACTGAGGGTCGAGCTGCTATTTCTCGTGGCCCAATAACGAGATGCAGATGAACGGGGCAGGAAGACAGGTTTCATTTCTGTAACCAGAGAAGAGAGAAGGCCTGGAAATTATCACCAGACCAACTCAAAATTACAGTCTTCCAGAGTTTATATACCTTCTAAACTGTATGTCTACATGTAAGCGTGCATTCTTCTAAAGACACAAGTGATTAACCTTTTTTTTTTAGATGGAGTTTCACTCTTGTTGCCCAGGCTGGAGTGCAATCGCACAATCTCGGCTCGAGGCAACCTCTGTCTCCCGGGTTCAAGCAGTTCTCCTTCCTCAGCCTCCCAAGTAGCTGGGATTACAGGCACCCACCACCATGCCCAGCTAATTTTGTACTTTTAGTACAGACAGGGTTTCTCCATGTTGGTCAGGTTGGTCTTAAACTCCCAACCTCAGGTGACCTGCCCGCCTCGGCCTCCCAAAGTGCTGGGATTACAGGCATGAGCCACCATGCCCAGCCAACTTCTTTTAATCTATAACTAAGGTCTGAGTCCTGAAGACCTTTTTCTGGAGCCTCAGTAAGTTTACTTAATCTAAATGGGTCTAGGTGCTGGGGTGATTACCCTTATCATGTCTCCCGCTAAATCATAAAGGTTTGGGGAGTTCCTTTAGACCCCAATAAACTTGTTTGTGGAGGCCTGGGGAGTTTCGTCAGACCCCCAATAAAACTTGGTTAATCCTAAAAGGGTCCTGTTAAGAATTCCTTCATTACCTTGTCATGCTTGAAGGCCCAGGAAAAGCCTAGGCAAAACTCTTGGTGGGCTGTTTGTTACATTCCAGCCTTTGTATAAGGGCACTGGCTCAATCAGCTTTTAATATTTAACCTAGCTTCTCAGTCAGTGCTGGGACAGTTGTAATGGAGGCCTGCATTAGTGAGACCTGGCCTGCCATAATACCAGCACCATGACAGTTTACAGATGCCATGGCAATGTCAGGAAGTTACCCTATATGGTCTAAAAATGGGAGTAATCCTCAGTTCTGGGAATTGCCCACCCCTTTCCCAGAAAACTTATGAATAATTCACTCCTTGTTTAGCATATAATCAAGAAATAACCATAAAAATAGCCAACGAGCAGCCCATTCTGCTGCTCTGCCTATGGAGTTGCCATTCTTTTATTCCTTTACTTTCTTAACAAACTTGCTTTCAGTTTATTCTATGGACTTGCCCTGAATTATTTCTTGCACAAGATCCAAGAACCCTCTCTTGGGTTCTGGGTCGGGACCCCTTTCTGGTAACAGTAGGACCCAATCCAGGGATTCATCATTGGAATCTAATGAAAGGTGGAGAAATTACTGCTGATCAGCATTTCATAGGCCAAGACAGCCATTAAGGGGTTTGGATCACAATCTCGAACACCATACATAATCCTAAAAGTTGAAATCCTGAAAGATCAATATTTCTAAACTAAAAATCCCTTATATTTAAATTCCTCAAAATCACAATCATGTGACAGTTGCCTCACATTAGGCAGAATAAGGTAATAAGGTAATAACCTTATTATTGTCCCTATCTGGAAATAACTATGGTTTAAAGAGATGAATATTGGTGCCAAATTGACAAGGGTGGACTTGTGGACTCAATTTTTGGTGTCAACTTGTCTGGATTAAGGGATACCTAGAAACGTGTTAAAGCATTATTTTAGGTGTGTCTGTGAGGGTGTTTCCAGAGCAGATTAATGTGTGAGTCTGAGTGGATTAGGTGGGGGAGATCTGCCCTCAGTGTCAGCTGGTACCATCCAATGGGCTGGGGACCTAGAGAGCCCACAAATACAGAAGGCTGGGTTTGGTGGCTCGTGCGTGTAATCCTAGCACTTTGAGAGGCTGAGGCGGGCAAATTGCTTGAGCCCAGGAGTTCGAGACCAGCCTGGGCAACATGGCAAAAAATCCTATCTCTACCAAAAAAAAAAAGAAAAAATTAGTCAGGCATGGTGGTGCATGCCTGTAGTCCCAGCTGTGCAGGAGGCTGAGATGGGAGGATTGCTTGAGTCCAGGAGGTGGAGGTTGCAGTGAGCCAAGATCACACCACTGCACTCCAGCCTGGGTGACAGAGCAAGACCCTTCCTCAAAAAACACACACACACACACAAAAACAGAAGCAAACTGACTCTCTCTGAGATCTGGGACACACTTTTCTTCAGATGCCTTAGACATCAGAACTCCAGGCCAGTGGCCTTTGGACTCCGGGACTCACTAGCAGCTCCCAGGTTCCTGTCAGCCTCGGACTCAGAGTTACACCATCAGTCTCCCTAGTTATGACAGATTTGGAATTAGGTGCAATCAAGACTCCTAAAAATGAATTTCAAAGTATTACCAATAAAAAGCTTTTTTAAAAAATTCATCCCAATGCATTTGGTGAAAAATTCAGATGAGTGAATTGGCCACATGATATGACAAGGACAACAACTTCAGTGTGAGAATGGATAATTTGCCTGCATTGGCATTCCTTTCAGCTGATGACATGCCAGAAACTTTTAACAAATTAAAGTTGCATTTGCCTGAAGAAGCCAGTGAAGTTACTGATTGGTTCAAAAATAATTATGTGCAAGCTAAGATAAGAAGACACACAATGGTGTTGCTGTTTGATCACCAGTATTGTTTCTGCCAAATTTATGGTCTGCATATAAATGTATGGATTTCCACATGCCCAAAACAATATAGATGGATGGCACAGAAGATGAAAAAATTTAATAGGGAATGCTCATGTCCATGTGTATAGAATCACAGAAGAATTTCTGAAACAGCAGCACCACATAGAAAATGAATACGAGCATATTCTCCAGGAAGAGCCATGTCCTAAAAGAAAAAAAAAGCAGCTACTTATTGCAATGCAAGACTTCAAAATGTAGTTAATGATTATGAAACTCAGAAAGCTCTTATGGACTTCCTTTGTCTAATTGCCCATAATTTACCCCTGAAATATGCATTTTCATATGTCAAACTTTTGTTTTGTTTTTGTTTTTGTTTTTTGTTTTGTTTTATTTTGTTTCTTTTGAGACGGAGTCTCACCCTGTCACCCCAGCTGGAGTGCAACGGTGCGATCTCAGCTCACTGCAACCTCCGCCTCCCGGGTTCAAATGATTCTCCTGCCTCAGCTTCCCAAGTAGCTGGAATTACGGGTGCCCAACACCACGCCCAGCTAATTTTTGAATTTTTAGTAGAGACGTGGTTCGCTATGTTGGCCAGGCTGGCCTCGAACTCCTGACCTCGTGACCTGCCTGCCTCGGCCTCCCAAAGTGCTGGGATTACAGGTAGTTTTGTATTTTGTTTTTAGTATTTTTAGTTTTTTCTCACAATTTTAAATTGCCAGCATTATTTTTAACAATTCACTATGCTATGTAGTTTATCTTTGCATCATTTCCAATACTGGAGGTATAAATTTTGTAAAGACATTTAGAGAGTTCTAATACATTGTATGCATTTTTTGCAAATTTGACCCCACAAAAGTGCATTATTGCAACATCGACTTTGTGTGTAAGCATTGTGCGTAACATGAAAGTGTTAAAACTTCCTCAGTAAATGAAGAAATGTCCTTTTTGTGCATCTACTTTTGTGAAAGATAACATTTCTCAAGATATCAGCTCTTTGAGTGACTGCCTGAGCAGCGGTGACCCACTGCAGTTTTTCATCAATCTCGTCAAAAGACTTAGGTTGTCCCTACAGTATTTCAGATGACTGCAGTTATATGAGCTATTTCTTTGTAAATACGGTTCAGCATCTGCTCATAACTGTCATACTCATGTGACTGTCATTAGTGTACCTGAGTGCTTATGCTTGCAAAAATATGTATCTTATTATTGCCTATTTTAATGTGTAAAGTGCCCTATAACATACTCTGCAGTGCTTTTATGTTTCTCAAATAAATCCCCTTTTACAAATGTAAATAAATATCTTTTAAATAATTTTTAAATTCTTTTTTCAGAATTATATTTTTGGGATTTTGATCTTTCAAGATTTTAAGACTTGGATTGTGTCTTTTGGGATTATGACTGGCTCCCCATGCTCCACTTCTTCCTTTTTGTCTTTGAGCTTCCTGTCCCTTAGATCATGTCCTCCTAGTTAGGGAAATATTTTTTAAGAAGGAATATTTCTGGCTGTTAGAACAAGGACATTCTTGCCACAAGTCTCTCTACTGCATCAGTTACGTCTTGGTTCCATACGCTATAGATCAAGGGATTCCACACCGGGAGAAAAACATGTGAACAAGAGATACCTCCCAGCCCTCCTCTGGGGAGTAACTAGAGCTGGGGCAAAGGCAGATGAGGATGCAACACCAATACTTCAGGAGAACCACAATGAGGTGGGAGGAACTGGTAGAGAAGGCCTAGTGCTTTCTCTTAGCTGAATGCATCCTCAAGATGGTGGCTGCAAGGCAGCCATAGGGGAGGCAGACAAGGAGGAAGGAAGGGGATGGTGATGGTGGCCACACGGAAGTCAGAGAGCTGACTCATGCATGTGGTGTCTGCACAGACCAGGCACTTGCTGTGGGCATGTCACAGAAGAAGTGGTAGGTTTCATTAGGCCACAGAATGGAGGGTGTCAGATCAACATAGTCAAAAACAGTGACAACAGGAATCCCAGCCTCAAAGAGCCCAAAGTCATCTGCCCACAGAGCTACCCACTCATGATGAGATTGTAATTGAATGGATGACAGATGGTTATATACCTATCATAAGCCATGACAGCAAGCAAGACACACTCAGATCCTCTCAAAAGGATGACAAAGAGCATCTGAGTTCCATAGCCAGGGAGGGAGATAAGCATCTTCCCCATGTAAAGGACGGTAGCCAGTGTTGGAGGAGAAATGTTGGTGGAGTAGCCAATTTCCAACATAGTCAATGCCAAAAAAATAAAAATAAATACATTGGAATATGGAGGAAGGGATCTTGCCAGACTGTGGGCCCAAAGGTGAAGTGTCCAACAAGGCTTCTTGGTGCAACATCAAGGCCACAATTATAAAGGAAGCCACCACCAGGTCTGTTGAAAAGAAGTGGAAGTGGAAGTGTACCACTCCCCTCTGGTTTTCCTCTTCCATTAGACCTGGTACAAGGAAAGAAATCATAAGCAAAGTTACTCTTCTGTGTCATTGAGCCTGAGGAGGTTCAGCTATGTTAAAAACACACTATGCAATCACCGCGTATGTATCCTCATTGCTTCCTTTGGAGTTTAGTCAATGTTAGCTGCCACTCCTACTGCTTAATCTACTGGCAGTGTGACTTTGGAGAAGTTATGAACGTCAGCATTCTCTGTTTAAACATGGGAAGAGTGTAACACCCATCTCAGAGTCCTGGGGAAAATTAAATGAGATCTTATGTGTCAAAGTGCTAAGCCCAATGCCAGATGTGGAGTAGGTTCTCAGTAAGTGTCTTCCTGTTTTTATTCTTTCCTTGGTCTTCATTCCTTTTTTTTCATAACAAACCCTCCTGATCATTCTCATGCCTCTTCATTACTATGATTATTCCACCACCCAGCTTAAAATATATACAGGTTAAAAGTACAGATTTCTGGCCGGGAATGGTGGCTCATGCCTGTAATCCCAGCACTTTGGGAGGCCAAGGCAGGCGAATCACCTGAGGTCAGGAGTTCAAGATCAGCCTGGCCAACATAGTGAAACCCTAAAATACAAAAATACAAAAATTACTACTAAAATTACTACTAAATCTACTAAAAATACAAACATTAGCTGGGTGTGGTGGTGCATGCCTATAATCCTAGCTACTCTGGAAGCTGAGACAAGAAAATCTCTTGAACCCAAGAGGCGGAGGTTGCAGTGAGCCAAGACCACACCACTGCACTCCAGCCTGGGAGACAGAGCAAGACTCTGTCTCAAAAAAAAAAATTATAGATTTCTACAAACAGCAGATGATTCTCATATCAAGCCCAGAGGACAGAAAGCACAGATGTTTCCTCTATCCATTTTACAAATGTGGAAACCAGAAGCCCAGTGAAATTAAATAGCCCATACTGTTATCCTTCCTATTCTTCAAACCCAGAATTTTGGCACCATATTTTTTTTCCTTGAAACTTCAACAATCCTGTTTTGTTTTGTGCTGTGTACCAGATATTAACCCTACTCTTATTTCACTTTATATGTTGACCTTCATTTCTATGATGGTGTCTGGCCTAGATAGGCTTTTCATCCCCTCATGTGCAGCTCACCCTCTCAAAAACCCAACTTATCATACTCTTTTTTTTTTTTTAAAACGGAGTCTCACTCTGTCGCCCAGGCTGGAGTGCAGTGGCGTGATCTCAGCTCACTGCAAGCTCCGCCTCCCGGGTTCGAGCCATTATCCTGCCTCAGCCTCCCAAGTAGCTGGGACTACAGGCGCCCGCCACCATGCCCGGCTAATTTTTTCTGTATTTTTAGTAGAGACGGGTTTTCCCGTGTTAGCCAGGATGGTCTTGATCTCCTGACTTCGTGATCCACCTGCCTTAGCCTCCCAAAGTGCTCAGATTACAGGCGTGAGCCACCGTACCCGGCCCATACTCTTAGATTAATCTCTCTTAAACACTTTTTAATTTGTATTACTCCACTCTAACCATAAGTTTAAAAACTAAAGGAACTTCTTATTCTTACAGTATCATATTCGAATATTACAGGCTGATTCACAAAACATTTTTACAAATGAAAGTAGCACAACTTCCTGGGAGTATAATTTCAGGAAATAGCTCAGTAAACATGCTTCACTGCCCCATCTCACCCATCACACATTTGTTGATTTTTTTTTTTTTTTTTTTGAGACAAGGGTCTCACTCTGTCACTGCAACCTCCGCCTCCCAGGTTCAAGTGATTGTCCCACCTCAGCCTCCCGAGTAGCTGGGACTACACTAGCACGTGCCACCATGCCCAGCTAATTGTATTTTTTGGTGGAGATGGAGTTTCGCCATGTTGGCCAGGCTGATCTCAAACTCCTGACCTCAAGTGATACGCCTGCCTCAGCCTCCTAAAGTGCTGGGATTACAGGCATGAGCCACTGTCAATTTTTTTTAAATGTTACTGAGTTTTAATTTGCTGCAAGGTAGACCTTTCATGTGCATACAAGCATTTCTCTATGTTATGGTTGACCTTTCCAAGTTGGTTCAAATGGCCAAGGGTAGCAGCCTACAGAGTGATGTTTGCATTGATATTTTCAGGGGATACTCAGAGAGGCCACGCCATGCCAAAAAACACTATTCTGCTAAAATTGAAGGATGGGGTCAAAAAAATGCAAATTAAAACACTCAATCTGCATTTTGTTTGTTTGTTTCAGCGAGCCAAGTTTTAATATTGTGTTTTGTTTTGGTTTGTTTTTTAATAATGATCCTCAGTGCTGGTGAAGTAGTGGGGAAAGGAGTAGTTGCAAGGTCCCTGGTGAGGAGATGAAAGGTTGATTTTCTTCAAAAGTTGTCTAACAAAAATTTTCTGAAGTTTTTTTGCTTGTTTTTCTTTTTTTTTTTTTTTGGAGATGGAGTTTCACTCTTGTTGCCCAGGCTGGAGTGCAATGGCACGATCTTGGCTCACTGCAACCTCCACCTCCTGAGTTCAAGCGATTCTCTTGCCTCAGCCTCCTGAGTAGCTGGGATTACAGGCGCCCACTACCACGCCTGGCTAATTTTTTTTTTTTTGTATTTTTAGTAGAGACAGGGTTTTACCATGTTGGCCAGGCTGTGGCAAGGCTGCTTGCGAACTCCTGACCTCGAGTGATCCACCCACCTCAGCCTCCCAAAGTGCTGGGATTACAGGCATGAGCCACAGTGCCAGCCAAAGTTTTTGATATGGGGCACATAATCATATTTACAACTACCACTTAGAATCTTTCCTTTCCCCCAATTTAATTCCTCATAGTAAATGATCCAATGTAGTTTATATCTATCTGTCAAAAAATACGGGGCATGGATAGCTATGTTGAAAGTGAGGTTGAATTGCATCAGTAGCTCTCGACATCCTCTGCAACATAGGACTTGTGCAGTGTTTTTCCTATGATCCGCACTGTAGTAGTGATAGAACTAATAAACGGTTAGCTAATATGATACACGCTGCACATTCATATTTCATTCAATGCCCACAACTACTCTATGTAGGAAGAACAGTATTATTACCCCCATTTTACAGGTCAGGAAACCGAGGCTTTAAAGGGTTTATTTTCTTACTCAAACACACACATCCTGTGAGTGGCTCAGCCAAGGTGGAATCCATGTCTGTCTGAATACAGACCTGCTCTTTAAAAAAAAAAAAAAAAAGAAAGCTATTTTTTTTTACTTTTTTAAAAATTTCAAATACTTTTGGAGTACAGGTGGTTTTTGGTTACATGCATGAGTTCTTTAGCAGTGAATTCTGAGATTTTAGTGAAGCCACATCACTCAAGCAGTGTGCACTGTGCGAAATATGTGTGGTCTTTTATCCTTCACTTCCCCTCCCAACCTCCACCCCACCCCAGGTCTCCAAAGTCCATTATTCCACTCTGTATGTCTTTGAGTCCTCATAGCTCAGCTCCCACTTACAAGTGAAAACATATGGTATTTGATTTTCCATTCCTGGGTTACTTCGCTGATGATAATGGCCTCTAGTTCCATCCGAGTTGCTGCAAAAGACATTATTTCATTCCTTTTTATGGCTGAGTAGTATTCCATGGTGCATGTGTACCATATTTTATTCATCCACTGGCTGGTCGATGGGCACTTTGCTTGGTTCCATACCTTTGCAATTGCAAATTGGGCTGCTAAAAACATGCGTGTGCATGTGCCTTTTTCATATAATTACTTCTTTTCCTTTGGGTAGTTACCCAGTAGTGAGATTGCATTAATCAATGATAGATCTACTTTTAGTTTTACAAGGAATCGCCATACTGTTTCCCACAGTGGTTGTACTAATTTACATTCCCACCAGCAGTGTAAAAGTGTTCCCTTTTCACATCTATGCCAACATCTATTGGGATTTTGCTTTTTGGTTTTGGGGTTTTTGTTTGTTTGTTTTTGAGACAGTCTCCCTCTGTGGCACAATCTTGGCTCACTGACACCTCTGACTCTCGGGCTCAAACAATTCTCCCACCTCAGCCTCCCAAGTAGCTGGGACCACAGCTGCATGCCACCACACCTAGCTAATTTTTTATATTTTTGGTAGAGACAGAGACAGGTTTACCATGTTGCCCATGCTGGTCTCAAACTCCTGGGCTCAAGTGATTTGCCTGCCTTGGCCTCCCAAAGTCCTGGGATTACAAATGGGAGCCACTGCACCCCACCTACATCTATTGCTTTTTGCCTTTTAATTATGGCCATTCTTGCAGGAGTAAGGTGGTGTCTCATCATGGTTTTAATTTGCATTTTCCTGATGACTCGTGATGTTGAGCATTTTTTCATATGTTTTTTGGCTGATCGTACATCTTCTTTTGCGAAATGTCTATTCATGTCCTTTGCCCACTTTTTGATGGGCTTATTTGTTTTTTTCTTGCTGATTTGTTTGAGTTCCTTATAGATTCTGGGTACTAGTCCTTTGTCAGATGCATAGTTTGCAAATATTTTTACCCACTCTGTGGGTTGTCTGTTTACTCTGCTGATTATTTCTTTTGCTATGAAGAAGCTTTTTAGTTTAATTATAGAACTGCTCTTTTACTTATGTTTCTCTATTGCCTCAAACTCCATGTCTTGAAAATTAGCCTGCCTAATCATTTATTTTAAACAAACAAAATAAGTAAGTAATAATAATAAATAATGCATGTGTAGTATACCCTTATCTCAGGAAAATGTATGACTAATGTTAGGGCTTTTGAAATATTGAAATTACCTTGAAAAACCCTTAATAATCTTGAAGGCCCTTTGAGATTTGGGATTCCAAAGTGGCAACCACTAAATGACCTCTAAAATTCCTCCTAATTCTGTGATTTCATGAGTGACTTTGAAGAAGAAGATGATGAAGAAGCAGCTCTAGATGATCTCTCATTTCTCCAAGGAATTTTGGAAGAAAAACCATCTCCCCAGATCTTTTTTTTTTTCTCTTGAGACAGTCTCACTCTGTTGCCCAGGCTGGAGTGCAATGGTGTGATCTCGGCTCACTACAACCTCCCCCTGCCAGGTTCAAGCTATTCTTGTGTCTGAGCCTCCCAAGTAGCTGGGATTACAGGTGTGTACCACCACGCCCAGCTAATTTTTTTGTATTTTTTAGTAGAGATGGGGTTTTGCTGTTGGCCAGGCTGGTCTCAAACTTCTGTCCTCAAGTGATCTGCCCACATCGGACTCCCAAAGTGCTGGGATTACAGGTGTGAGCCACCATGCCCAACCCTCCCCAGATGTTTTACTTGAAGCATTAGTATTCACTAATTTTTAATAAATATTTATTGAGAGACTACTGTCGGGATCTGAATGATTCAATACATAATACCCAAGTGACTAATGGATTAAAAGTCCTATTTTAAATGTGTTAAATGTGAGAC
The DNA here is from genome assembly GCF_000001405.40 of Homo sapiens. NCBI lineage: Eukaryota > Metazoa > Chordata > Mammalia > Primates > Hominidae > Homo > Homo sapiens. The sequence goes on along the minus strand of NC_000011.10, from coordinate 59,723,147 downwards.
ACTTAATTCGTGACCCAATAGAGATATCAGGTAGATAAGTGCCTGAATAAGTTTGGAGTTCAGGGGCAAGGTTACCCTGGCTTGAGATACACCATTTGAGAGTTATCAGCATACTTAAAGTCAAACAACTAAATACTAACACTACAAAAATATGTCAATAGAAAACAGGACCTAGAACCAAAACTCAGCTTGTGTGGAAGTTAGGGAAATAGAAGTTGGCAAAGCAATTAAGGACAGTCAGACAGGATTAAAATTAGGAGGACAATATGCTAATAATTCTGATCTGATCACTATATATTATATGTATTGAAGCATCACTATGTACCTTATGAATGGGTACAATTATTATTTGTCAATTAAAAAAGAAAAGAAAAATTTGAAGGAAATTGTTTCCCAGAAACAAAGACAGTAGAAAATATTGTGGAATAGGGCAAAAAAGAATAATGTGCATGTGGAAATCTTTTTAATGATTTCTAGATAAGTGAAGTGAAAACAGTAATTTTTCTTTCCCCCAACTGACCTCATCATTGAACTCATGAAGAAGTCATTAAAAGACCATCCCTAGGGAAGATGTACCCATAGAATAATCCTGATGCAATGTTAACTTTTAGACTACATTTAATCGTGTTGATTTTTGCTTTCCAAGCGACCTCAGTCATCTCAGGGGACGAGCAATGACTTGTTAGGCAGGTTAGTTATGAATGTCATTATTTGATGATAATTTCAAGTCTGAATACCAGTACAACTTTAAAGGTAAGTTCCAGGCTACAGAGATGTCATAAGTAAAGCCCAGATGTTATCTTGTACAAAGAGGAAAGAAGCAAGATGGAGTATAACCCAAGGGTTAATCTGAAAGGATTCCGGTCTGGTTTAAGAGGCATCTTAACATAGTGCCCTGAATCAGTGAGATATGTGATCTAGCAGTGGTCAGCATGCCAGCCCAGGGATCCTCTGAGGACAGGTAAGACCTTGAGGCAGGCCCTTGGGGTCCTCAGTGTTTAGCAAAGGATCCCAGTAAATCTGCAATGGGTTGTAGTCCACTTGAGCTCAGCAAATGCTCAGAATCCCCTCCCCCAGACTCCAGATTTTAGAATGTTAGAAAAATCGCTTGTCGGCCAGGCATGGTGGCTCACGCCTGTAATCCCAGCACTTTGGAAGGTCAAGGCGGGTGGATCATGAGGTCAGGAGTTCAAGACTAGCCTGGCCAACATGGTGAAACCCCGTCTCTACTAAAAATACAAAAACTAGCCAGGTGTGGTGGTGCACGCCTATAGTCCCAGCTACTCAGGAGGCTGGGGCAGGAGAATCACTTGAACCTGGGAGGCGGAGGTTGCAGTGAGCCAAGATCGTGCCATTGCACTCCAGCCTGGGTGAGAGAGCGAGACTCCACCTCAAAACAAAAAAAAAAAAGAAAAATTGCTTGTCAATTACTAAGCTAGGAACAAAAGCTAAGCGTGGAGCTTTACACAGAAAGAGTCAAAGTCTAGTTCCTACTGAGAACTGGTATTTTATACAGATGACTTATGGGAAATTCAAGAATACATACTGTGAAATCCATGCTCCTCAAACTGATGAAAGGCAAAGAGAAAGATCTGTTCACAATGATCAAGGGATCATACTCTAGACCAGATTAAATGAGCTCAACACTAACCATTCCTGAAATGCAGAGATGTATGTACGGTCAAGGAGTTTTCCACTTTTTAAAAAATATCCATCATTTCAATTTCAAATTTAAAGATGTTGAAAATGTAGAAAATACTTCTGTTATAAAAGGAATTACTAGTAGTTTCCTTCACATAGGAGGCCCCTTATGCATTAAAAAGTAATTGTAATTACATGCCATTCTTCAAATGGCATTATTGCAAAAAGAGAGATGTCTGTGTTCCCCTAGCATGTTGTCATTTTATGACAGCAGTTCCCTGAATTTGACTTGTATTATATTTGTATTATATATACACACACACGTACACACATGTATACGTATATCTTTTCTTTTCTTTTCTTTTCTTTTTTGAGAAGGAGTCTCACTCTGTCACTCAGGCTGAAGTGCAGTGGCACAGTCTCAGCTCACTGCAACCTCCAACTCCTAGGTTCAAGAATTCTGCCTCAGCCTCCCACGTAGCTAGGATTACAGGTGTGCACCACCATTCCTGGCTAATTTTTTTGTATTTTTAGTAGAGACGGGGTTTTACCATGTTGGCCAGACTGGTCTCCAACTCCTGACCTCAGGTGATCTGCCTGCCTCAGCCTCCCAAAGTGCTGGGATTACAGGTGTGAGTCACTGCGCCCAGCCCTATGTTTTGTTTTTTGGAGACAAGGTCTTGCTCTGTCATCCAGGCTGCAGTTCAGTGACACAAACACAGCTCACTGCAGATCTTCTGGGTTCAAGAGATCCTCCTGCCTCAACCTCCAGAGTAGTTGGGACCACAGGCACATGCCATCACACCTGGCTGATTTTTTTAATTTTATGTAGAGATGAGGTCTCACTATGTTGCCCAGGCAAGTCTCAAACTCCTGGCCTCATGTAATCTCAGCCTCCCAAAATGCTGAGATTACAGGTATGAGCCATCATACCTGGCCTGACTTGCGTTATTTTTATTACTATCTCTTTCATTCAATTTTGAGCATTAACATCTTCACTCATTTTATACACTTCTTTCTCTTTTCCCAGAAAACAGAGCTATGCCTTATATAGAGCAGGGCCTTAATAATGTTTGTAAAAGGGATTTCTTTAAAACAATATTGTTGATTAAATGAGTAGGTAGTGAAAGAGGAAGAAAATCAGGAGCAAAAAGGAAAGAAAGAGACTATAAATTAAAGTGCTGAGCACTGCCTCTGCAATGATCTGAGGAATGCCTGTGGCACATCACTTTACAGCAATAGAGTTTGTTGAAAATGGACAATTAGAATTAAATAATTTTGTCCCTCTAAGGCACCTATCATTCAGCCTTGCACATACTGCATTGCTCAGTGATGTACAGTTTGTTTTAATGATAGAAACAGACCTGCTTTCAGATCGACCTAGGAATTAAGTCCTACTCTGCCATTTACTAGCTGGGCAAGTTAATTAAACCCTTAAGCCTCAATTTCTGCATCTGAAAAAAAATGTAAACAATAAAGATACCTATTTCACAGGAATAGGTATCTTTTTTTGAGAACTTGTCTCAAAAAAAAAAGAGTGTCTTCTAAGGACAAAATATGTCTTTTGTTTGAGTACATCTGATGTTGGAACATTTTATTTGAATAGGTACCAATATATCTGAAGGTCCACTTTAAAGGAACTGATGCCTGTAAAATAATTAGCACAGTGCACAGATCCTGGAGTACTGAGCCTGCTTTCGCAGTGCACAGCACCCAATAAATGTTAGCCATTATTATTGCAGTAGGAGTACAATAGCCTTTGTTGAATGTCTGGATGTTTCATACAATATACTCCCAGTTCCCTTACAAAAGTATCACATTGGACCATGTAAAATTGCCTATATGCTGCCATTGGTGTTTTCTCTCTTTCTTTTCCCCCAAATCATATGCGACCATTGCTGACCTTCAAAAACAAATTTCATTTGATCCAACATATTAAACTATTTTGGCTCTCTTTCTTTCGAGATGCTGCTGCCAAAAAAATGCTTATATGAATTTCTTCCAGAAAGTACTCATGAGAATATCATCAGACATATAGAAAATGTTATTCAAGGATGTCTTCTGGCTGGGCACAGTGGCTCGCGCCTGTAATCCAAGTACTTTGGGAGGCCGAGACAGGAGGATTGCCTGAGTCCAGGAGTTTGAGACCAGCCTGGACCACATGGCAAGGCCCCTATCTCTAGAAAAATTTTAAAAATTAGCCAAGCATGGTGGCATGCACCTGTGGTCCCACGTACTTGGGAGGCTGAGGCAGGAGAACTGCTTAAGCCTAGGAGGTAGAGGCTGCAGTGAGCCATATTTGCACCACTGCATTCCAGCTTGAGTGACAGAGAGAGAACTTGTCTCAAAAAAAAAAAAAAAAAAAAAAAGAGTGTCTTCCAAGGACAAAATATGTCTTTTGTTTCAGTACATCTGATGTTGGAACATTTTATTTGAATAGGTACCAATATATCTTCCCTGACTCTGCTACAGCCATATAAGTATCTTTAGAAGCCACAAATACCTATGTTCCGAGCTGGGCTTTTGCCCTGTGAATTATGGTTATAACTTTGTTCTTCCTTCTCTGCTCATCCCACAATCAAAATCTCCAAGTTAAGATTTTATTTTCCTCTCAGTTGAGTCCAAATTTGTGCTAATAGCTATATCATGTAGGTCAATTCAGCCATAAAGATATACCTAAAGTCAATACATTTTTATAAACTATCTTTTCTTTCTTTCTTTCTTTCTTTGTCTTTCTTTCTTTCTTTTGTGTTTCCTTATTTATATAAAGTACCTTTTAACAATAACTAGTTTATAAGTAGATTAAAGGGTTGTCATTCTTCACCCTACTAAAAGAGAGATTCTGAAGAATAAGGTAACATAGGAGACTAGGAGTTGAGCGAGATGTAATATGAAATCTCTTCCAGAAAATATTAGATAGACCTGCCAGGTATTCTACCCACTCAACATTTTTTTTCAATCTTAGGATAGATAATGAATAAAGGAATCAAATAATCTGTATACTTCATTGAGCAGGTAATACATGCAGGCATTCTACTAGGTTCTTTCACGGACATCGTTTCATGGACGTGCACCTCACAACAACACTGTAAAGTAGTGAGGTGCTATTCTGAGCAAATGGGATCTTAGAGAGAGCAAGTGACCTAGCAAGATCACAAAACTAATAAGTGACAAAGCTGAAATTTGAATACACATCATTTAATTTCAACATAGCCTACTTTCCCGGAGACATCATTTCCCCCAAATTATATGCTTTTTAAAATATATTCATTCCCCTAAAATTTGGTTGTATGACCAGAGGCAATTATATAGACTTAATTAAACAGCCACTCAAACTGAAGTTCCCAGCAACCTACATTTTCTCCCTGTGATTAAATATCATCTGCACATCTAAATTGAGAGAAACTGACAAGGAGTGGCAGAGGCACAAAGGTGTTGCAAACCAAGCCAGAATAAGCAAAAATCTGGCTGACAGTCTTGACCCCTGACTCCATAAAGTAGATGGCATTTCATTTATCTTTGGGTCCCCTAGAGTACTTTGTACATTTAAATGATGAATTAAAAATTGACCCCCTTGTGCAATCTCGGACAAGTCAAGCAGTCTCTTTGGAAAAGATGGACCCAGGTGACCTGGCAGAGCTCTGACTCTGTGAGCATCTGTGACCTTCCAGGGCCACTAGTCAACTTGTATAGGGATTACATGAAGGACAAAGAACTTGTGGAGCCATGTTCTTAGCTGCATGATGGTAAGACGATAAGCTATTTTTCCGAAGACTAGCTGTCTTCTGAGAGTTTTTCTCTGGGCCTTACCTGTTTAGAAGAAGTTGGCTAGTACTTCAGTTGTTTTCTTTGCCGTAATAAGAGAGGAGCTATTCCAAGTCAAGATTTGAGACTTGGGGACTTTGGGAAATTGTATTTTCAATTGAGTAATAGCCAATCTATGGTCTAAATTAACATCTAAGGCTTTTTAACCTAAGTACTCTAATTAGCATGAGAGACAATTTACTTTTTTAAGAACTTTGTGATCAGCCACAGGAAAGAAATTTCTTCAAAATCTTATGTTTTTACTCCCCTAAATTCATGCAAATCTTCCCACTACCCTATATTATCTCCATGTTTGTTTTGATATGAAATCATTCTCCGAAATTTTTCAAGTTAAAATAGACCTTTTAAAAAAACTGCCATATTGATCCTGGAACTTCGCTTTCTCTCAAAACACAGCTTTGTACCCTCTAGATACTAGAATGTCCACAGTCTAGTTTAAAAAGCAAGCATGGATCCAAATAGCTGCTACCACCTGTCCAGATTTATGTAAAGAATGAAGTCAGCAAAGCATGCAGCTATTTGTTTCCATGATGCCCAACATTTAATTCAATATTTTAGCATCACATGGATGAATAGTGAGCATGCTGGGCCATCTTTTGAAAGTTGTGTCTAGTTGTCTTCTTTGCAATAAAAAAAAAATGCACTTCATATTATTCTAAGGTTGATATCACTTCTAAATAGAGCCTAACTTACATCTATACCTTCTCACAATGGCAACAGCAACAATAACAAGCATCTCTTGTTTTTCCAATAAATTTTACCATAGACCAAGAAAACAAGATGCTTTTTTTTTTTTTTTTTAATGGAGAGGAGGTTCTTAAAAACTACCTGGGGTAGGGTAGAAGGGAAGGCCATAATATGATGAGTAGAAAACTTTTTAATAAAGAAATTAAGGGCTGAGCGCAGTGGCTCACGCCTGTAATCCCAGCACTTTGGGAGGCCGAGGCGGGTGGATCACTTGAGGTCAGGAGTTCAAGACCAGCCTGGTCAACATGGTGAAACCCCATCTCTACTAAAAATACACAAATTAGCTGGGTGTGGTGGCGAACACCTGTAATCCCAGCTACTTGGGAGGCTGAGGCAGGAGAACCGCTTGAGCCTAGGAGGCAGAGGTTGCAGTGAGCAGAGATTGTGCCTCTGCAATCCAGCCTGGGTGACAGAGTGAGACTCCAAAAAAAAAAAAAGAAGGAAAGAAAGAAAGGAAAGGAAAGGGAATGAAAAAGAAAAAAAAAAAGAAAAAAGAAAAGAAAAGAAATGAAATTAAGAGATTGGCTAGACCAATATTATAATGGATATTTTAGTGCTTAAATTTCTTATACAGCATTCTGGATTTCACAGTATTTCTCCAGATTCGATTTTCCCTTCTCTTTTCTAAACCTCATGATACAATAATGCCAACGCAGACCCTGCGCTGCATTGAGACACAAGTGCTTTGAGGAGATTAGGTTGATTTATGCCCAGTAGATAGGATGGACTTCCTGAGTCTAAGGAGATTAAGAAGAACAAGAACAGAAGGCACCTCTGGAACTTTTTATTTCTAGTGTCCTAATGAATTGAGTAATTCATTTTGTTTTGACTGTATAGGTTTGGTTCAGCCCTACATAGGTACTGTCCTGGTCTGGGGACTAGACTCTTAGCCCCCAGAAGACAGTCGCTTAAAACTGCAGGCAGGCACCTATGAAAACTCTTAGGACAGCACACAGGACTTCAGATCATGGGTCACAGAGGATTCTACCCTCTCTTTGTCTCCATTCCCTCTCTTGTGAAGAAATGAATCAAACCACCCTCCCTCTATCTCCACCCAAAACATCACAGTTTTTAGCCAAATATTTTTCCTCTGCTCCTTAGAAGAGAAAAAAGGGAAGTTCTTTTTGCTGCATTGCCCGGAGCAGCATTTACTAGATAGCCATAGTAATCATGTATTGTAATTATTATTGTAATTATGTCTCTCAAGTGTGGAAATACTATAATCCAACATTTTCAGTCCTAGATCTTAGGTACTCTTTTTCCAATAGACCATCTAGAGTTCTGAATTGTAATCAATTAATAGCAAAGCTACTTAGGAGATAAAAAGTATGGAGGGAGAAAGTAGGGTATAAACTAAGGTTAAGCAAACAAGCTCTATAATCAAACAAACTGTTCAAACCGTGACTTTTCCATTTTCTAGCTATGTGAATTCAGAAAATGTTAAAATTTCTTTAAGCCTATGTGTCTTCATCTGTTAAAAAGGGATGATGATAGTACACCCCTACTAACATGGTTTTATAGATTAAGTGGGCAAATGCATAATAGAGCACTTTTCACCATGCCTTGCGCTTATTATGAAAGAAATGATAATTTTTCATAAGACAGAGGTCCAGCCCCCATCCTTGGGGAACATAAAATGTAATTGGGTCAGGACATATAGATACAGTAAAATACAGTTTGGTAGCACTAAACTCATAATACTGAGCAACGTAAAACGTCAGAGAAAGGAAAGAGAGTGACCTAGGGAGATTTCATAAAAGAACAACATATCCTAGAATTTGAAAATTGGGTATGATTTGGATTAAGCAAAAGAGAGGAGAAAGTATTTCTAGTTGGAAGGAGAATGGAAGTATATGAAGCAGCAGGGAGAATATGAATAAGAGGCCAATGAGTAGACCATGTGGTCTGTAACAGGGATATTTAAGCGCCATAGCAGGATTAGTCTAAAAAAGTCAGCTCCAAGAGAGACTGGAATAATTGGCAGAAGACTGTGAAGGTCAACATTTAAGCAATAGGAAGGCACTGAAAATTTCTAAGCATATAAGCAACATGATAATAGAGAGCAGGATGGATTACAGAGGGAGGAGAAGGGAGATGGGAGAATAGATAGCTATCACAGGAATCCTCATGGAAGATAACAATGGAGAAAGCTGATTAAGGAAATGGGAAAGGACCAAAGCAACAGATAGGAGAGACTCTTTGAAAGATGAACTATCAGTGTGTAGGGACATATAGGATAAAGGAAAAATGTAAATCAAAGTCTCTAGGTTTTGAGATATATTACAGAGTTTATGATTCAATTTCATAATATGCCAGCAACACAATTCTCTTTAAATTATGGCATACATCTGCCTATACAATCCTAAAATTTTTTATTTATTGTCTTATATAATTAATCAATACCCTATTTTACCCATTTTGTAACTTTGAACTTTAAATTTGCTTTATTCATTAATTTGTTCAGCAAATGCTTCTTGGCAACCCTATACAGTAGGCACTGTGCTAGGCACTGGAATTAAAATAAAGATCACCAGGCCAGGCGTGATGGCTTACACCTGTAATCCCAGCACTTTGGGAAGCAGAGGCTGGCGGATCACCTGAGGTCAGGAGTTCGAAACCAGCCTGGTCAACACAGTGAAACCCCATCTTTACTAAAAATTCAAAAATTAGCCAGGCATGGTGGCGGGCACCTGTAATCCCAGCTACTCAGGAGGCTGAGGCATGAGAATCACTTGAATCCAGGAGGCAGAGGTTGCAGTGATCCAAGATTGCACCACTGCACTCCAGCCTGTGTGACAGAGCGAGACTCCATCTCAAAAAATAAAATAAAATAAAAAAGATAAAGTCCCTGCCACTGAGGATTTTTCAGTCTTTGGTACTTGGGAGGTGGGAGAGGAAAGATGAGGAGGTGGCAAATGTATAAATTATAATGCTATATAATCTGCTATAAAATGAAAACATGCACATCATCCCTGAGGTTTCTCAGCAAGTGCCTGAATACTGAATGGAGAAGTTGGGAAAGCATCATATGAAACCAGAGATGCCTTGAGGCCCATGTCATCTTTCCTCTTAGGTCCAATACTCTACTCATGGAAGGAATAAATAAAACTGCAAAGATGCAGTTTTTCTTTCGTCCATTCTCACCTGACCCTGAGGTCCAGATGCTGATTTTTGTGGTCTTCCTGATGATGTATCTGACCAGCCTCGGTGGAAATGCTACAATTGCAGTCATTGTTCAGATCAATCATTCCCTCCACACCCCCATGTACTTTTTCCTGGCTAATCTGGCAGTTCTAGAAATCTTCTATACATCTTCCATCACCCCATTGGCCTTGGCAAACCTCCTTTCAATGGGCAAAACTCCTGTTTCCATCACGGGATGTGGCACCCAGATGTTTTTCTTTGTCTTCTTGGGTGGGGCTGATTGTGTCCTGCTGGTAGTCATGGCTTATGACCAGTTTATAGCGATCTGTCACCCTCTGCGATACAGGCTCATCATGAGCTGGTCCTTGTGTGTGGAGCTGCTGGTAGGCTCCTTGGTGCTGGGGTTCCTGTTGTCACTGCCACTCACCATTTTAATCTTCCATCTCCCATTCTGCCACAATGATGAGATCTACCACTTCTACTGTGACATGCCTGCAGTCATGCGCCTGGCTTGTGCAGACACACGCGTTCACAAGACTGCTCTGTATATCATCAGCTTCATCGTCCTTAGCATCCCCCTCTCATTGATCTCCATCTCCTATGTCTTCATCGTGGTAGCCATTTTACGGATCCGGTCAGCAGAAGGGCGCCAGCAAGCCTACTCTACCTGCTCTTCTCACATCTTAGTGGTCCTCCTGCAGTATGGCTGCACCAGCTTTATATACTTGTCCCCCAGTTCCAGCTACTCTCCTGAGATGGGCCGGGTGGTATCTGTGGCCTACACATTTATCACTCCCATTTTAAACCCCTTGATCTATAGTTTGAGGAACAAGGAACTGAAAGATGCCCTAAGGAAAGCATTGAGAAAATTCTAGGTAGGATGATCCTATGATTTACTTAAATTGGGACACTTCTGAGAGTGAAATGGGATGCTACTAATAATTTTGCTGAAAGGACATGCATAGGTGGGTGTGTGGCTCACGCCTATAATCCCAGCACTTTGGGAGGCCAAGGCAGGCAGATCACTTGAGGTTGGGAGTTTGAGACCAGCCTCACCAACATGGAGAAACCCATCTCTACTAAAAATACAAAGTTAGCTGGCTGTGGTGGTGCATGCCTGTAACCCCAGCTATTTGGGAAGCTGAGGCAGGAGAATCACTTGAACCAGGGAGGCAGAGGTTTCGGTGAGCTGAGATTGTGCCATTGCATCAGCCTGGGTAACAAGAGCAAAACTCTGTCTCACAAAAAAAAAAAAAAAAAAAAAAAAATTGCCAGAAAAAAAACTTTACATTTTTTGTTTTATTTACCAAAATGAAAACTCATGTCAGTGTTCATAACTTTGAAAGAGTACCCCAGTAATAAAAAGGATACTAATAATGGAGGAAAATATTATTTAACAAGTAAAACACAGGAGAAGAAGAAAATGAGCATCATTGCATCTTATGTTCTTTAAGAATCTCTTCTTCAGCATCTTGGAGAGTCATTGACCCTGCTTGAGCTTCCAAGGAGAGAGAGCATTAACTCATAAGATGCTTCATTCCTTACTGGACAACTGTAGTCATTAAGTACTATAACTTACCTTGAGCTAAGGTCTCTATCTACAAACAACTTTCTCCCCCTGGTCTTGTTTTTACTCTAGAGCTCTCTTATATTAATACATAACAGCTCCTCACATGTATTAGGACAGGTTTTGTATCTTCTGTAAATCTTCAGTGCTCTTTTCTCTAAAACAAGTACCCCAACTCTTCCTCCAGGAGGTTATATTTGAACCTTCTCATTATACCAGTCACCTTCTAGATTTTCTCCAGCTCCATATCATTGTGCAAATTTCACCCCCAAATAACCACATTACACTGGAAATATTTTGTTCTGAGGGACTGTTATTTTTCATGACCTGTAAGCTATATTTTCTTCTTCTTTTTTTTTTTTTTTTTTTTTTTGAGACGGAGTCTTGCTCTGTCGCCTAGGCTGGAGTGCAGTGGCTCAATCCTGGCTCACTGCAATCTCTGCCTCCCAGGCTCAAGCAATTCCCCCACTTCAGCCTCCTGAGTAACTGGGATTACAGGTGCACACCACCACGCCCAGCGAATTTTTGTATTTTTAGTAGAGAAGGGGTTTCACCATGTTGGCCAGGTGGGTCTCGAACTCCTCACCTCAAGTGATCTGCCTGCCTTGGCCTCCCAAAGTGCTGGGATTACAGGTGTGAACCACCACACCTGGACACTATGTTTTCATTAAATAATTTTGATCACTTTAGCCACAAAATTTGATATCACATAAAACCTTCATATAGCTTTAAAATAGTTTTCAATTCTGCCTGACCATAATTTATTTTAGTAGCATACATTTAGGACTTTTCATTTAACACGGATAATTTGTATTTTATTGGTTTTCACCAAGTGATGAAAACTGCCAAAATCATCTTCAGGCTTTATCTTATTCTTCATACTTTTGTGTCATGGGCAAAACTGCAAAAACTGCCAAAATGATCTTCAGGCTTTATTTTATTCACCATAGTTTTGTGTCATGGGCAAAACTGCAATCATATTTTATTGCTTTTGTCTAAATTATTGACAAAAATATCAAGCAGAACATGAAGAGGGCAGAGTCTGGTATCATCTTCAGGAATTGTTCAATTAGGTAGACATCTGCTCAGTTAAACTACCTGTTGGGTACTGTGCTAACTACTTGGGCAATGGGATCATTCGTACCCTAAACCTCAGCATCACACAATATACCCACGTAACAAACCTATACATGTACCCTCTGAACCTGAAAGTTGAAAATTTTTCTAAAAAAAGAAAGAAATCTGCTCAATGAATAACATCTGGGGTACATTGTTGCAATTATGGCCCCCCTTGAACTCCACCTGCCTATATCCATGCCTTTAGGCAGTCTCCCACCCCACCCCACCCCCACCCCCACTGCCATCACTCCCGGAGGGCTATGTGACTTGCTTTGGCCAATGAGACATTAGCAAATGCATTGCAAGCATAGGCTTACACTTATATTTTGGGGCCTGCCTTCTCTTGCTGTCCTAAGGCCTCCACATAGCCTGGGCTAGGATGACATCGTGTAGAACAAAGATAAGCTGTCCAAGTTGAAACTACCTAAGCCAATCAGCCCTAATCTACCAGCTGACTTTAGCCACATTAGTAACTCCGGTAAGACTAACAGAGTCCAGCCCAGATTGTTGACCCATAGAATCAGGGCAAATAAATGATTGATATTTTAAGTCATTATGTTTGGAACAGTTCATTTTGCAGCAAAATGTAACTGCTTTGCCAACAAATCTATAATTAGCCATCTCACAGAGGGATATGATGAGAAACCTCAAATCCTTTCATACAATCAAAATACACTGCAGCACTTGTATAAATCTAATCATTTAAAGCTCTTGTTTTTAAAATGAGGTGCATTTGGCATGATTTATCATGAATCACTTTATATGGGCTCATAGTAATCACCAGTCTTTTCAAAATTCTTACAACTTATCTGTTCGATCATTTCCAGAATTCTACTAGGGGTTGGCATTGAGATATCTATCTTACACATATTTTGTATCTGTAGCTTCAGCTAAATGGGAAAAAAATTCAAGAGTTCTGAGTGCCTTGGAAATGGAGAATGTAGCATTAATCTTTGGATACCCATAATAGTGGGTAATACTTATTAAACTCAGTTGATTCACTATCAAAAGACAGATAAAATTTTAGGATGGTGTACTAGTCTTGTCTCTCTTAAAAATTATATGGTCCTTATATAAAGCAACTGTGTCTTATTTATACTTCTTTATCTTTTTTCTATTTTTTAACTTTCTCTACTCCTTGAAAACTTTTTTCTATCATTTACATTCTTCATTGCCTTTTACAGTGAAGCTACTTCATAATTATTGGAATTAAGCAAGACTTTCTTTGGAGATAACTTCTTTCTGGTTCTCAGATTTTTAAAATGTCACTAATAAGGGTACATACTCATTTAAAATATTTTTGAAACCTTTATTGCTAATACTAATTTTTTATTGTTGTATTTGATTCTAGTATCTGTGACTTCAGTGTTCCCTAAGATTACAAATAGTGAAAAATACAAATGGGAAACTATAAAATATCCATTGGAAGGGAGCAGGTAGGTATCATTATTGCATATTAAAGGAAGATCATATACTTTACTGTCTTTTTTTGAGACAAGGTCTTGTTCTGTTGCCCAGGCTGGAGTGCAATGGCACAATCAGAGTTCACTGTAGCCTCAATCTCCCGGGCTCAAGCACCCAAGTAACTGGGACTAAAGTTGCACACCACCATGCCCAGAAAAAAAAAATTTTTTTTTTTTTTAGATGGAGTCTCACTCTGTCACCCAGGCTGGAGTGCAGTGGCACGATCTCGGCTCACTGCAACCTCTGCCTCCCAGGTTCAGGCAATTATCTTGCCTCTGCCTCCTGAGTAGCTGGGATTACAGGTGTGTACCACCATGCCCAGCTAGTTTTTGTATTTTTAGTAGAGATGGAGTTTCACCATGTTGGTCAGGCTGGTCTCAAACTCCTGACCTCATGATCTGCCCGCCTCAGCATCCCAGAATGCTGGGATTACAGGCGTGAGCCACTGCGCCCGGCCAGAAAAATTTATTATTTTTTTTTGTAAAGATGGGCGTCTCACCTTGTTGGCTAGGCTGGTCTCAAACCCTTAAGTTCAAACGATCTTCCCATCTTGGCCTCCCAAAGTGCTGAGATTACAGGCGTGAGCTGCTGCATCCAACCATACTTTACTATCTTTAACTCAATTTTAGCAAGGATTTTTAAAATTTCAGTTACAGAAAATTTTGAGAATTTGAAAATTTCACTTGCCTTATTGATGTTTTTCCACTTTTTTCCAGTGATTCTAGAGAGCTGGGTGCAAAAGCATATTCTGCAGTCATGCCCAGTAAAAAATTCCCAAACTCCCATTTCTCTCATCATCTATTTTGTAGCACTGTGGTATTCAGAAGAAAATGAAAGAGAAATTCTTCTAACCAGGGTAGAAAAGGAATAATGAGAAAGAGATGAGTCAGAAGATACTGGAAAGAACAAATTAGAAAGAGAGATGGAGATAGGGTCAACAGGGGAAAGCAGATATTTGAGGAATCTCTGGGATGTGACTGCTATGGCTTGAATGTGTGTCTCCTCCAAAATTCATGTTGAAACTTAATCCCCATTAGAGTGGCATTAAGAGGTATGGCCAGGTCGGGCACAGTGGCTCACACCTGTAATCCCAGCACTTTGGGAGGCTGAGACAGCCAGATCACTTGAGGCCAGGTGTTCAAGACCTGCCTGGCCAATATGGCAAAACCCCATCTCTACTAAAAATAAAAATAAAAAAATTATCTGGAGCATGGTGGTACAAGCCTGTAATCCCAGCTACTCAGGAGGCTGAGGCATAAGAATCATTTGAACCCAGCAGTTGGAGGTTGCAGTGAGCTGAGATTATACCACTGCATTCCAGCCTAAGCAACAGAGCCAGACCCTGTCTCAAAAAACAAACAAACAAACAAACAAAAAGAGGTAGGGCCTTTGCAGGGAGTGAGTAACTCAGGAGCGCTCCTCATGAATGGGTTAGTGCCTTATAAAAGGGCTGGAGGGAACTGGCTTAGGCCCTTTTTGCCCTTCGGTTCCTTCTTTCATGTGAGGAAATAGCTTTCAAGGCACCATCTTGGAAGCAGAGACCAAGCCGTCACCAGACACCAAATCTGCAGGTGTCTTGATCTTGGGCTTCCCAGCCTCCAGAACTAAGAGGAAATAAATTGTCATTCTTTATAAGTCATCCAGTCTCAGGTATTTATTATAGCAGTGCAAATGGATGAAGATGTAACGAAATTTAGAGAGTTATGAGTTATTGCAATAGGCATCAAGGAGTTGGCTGAGTATTGAAGCATCTTCCATTGCTTCTCTGGAAGGGACAATGGGACTGAGAGCCAGGAGAAATGGCTTCTAGGAGCTGTGTAATGTTGGAAAAGCTGCTTTCATTCTTGAAGACTGCTAATGCTTCTATAACAAAGTATAGCAAATGGGGCAGCAACATAAATTTATTTTCTCACAATTCTGGAGACTAGAAGCCTGAGATCAAGGTATTGGCAGGGTTGATTTATTCTGAGGCCTCTGTCCTTGACTTGCAGAGAGCCGTCTTCTCCCCCTGTCTTTATGTGGTCTTTCTCCTGTTTGTGTCTGTGTACTACTGCCCTGTTTTTATAAGACCAGTCATATTGTATTAGGGCTCACCCTAATGATTTCACTTACTCTTTATTACCTCTTTAAAGGCTTTATCTCCAAATACATTCTGAAGTATTGAGGGCTAGGGCCTCAACATATAAATTTGGGTTGGAGGGAAGACATAATGTAGCCCAAAACAAAGGCTCAATCTCAGTATCTAGAAAACTAGAGGATTATACTTGTTAATATTTAAGCTATGTTCAGGCACTGACTTGCCGTGGCCCCAATCCCTGTTGGACTGAACAAAGGAGGACAAACGCGGGAATAAAGATAAAGAAAAAAGAGTATATTTGGAAGAAGGGGTCAGAGGGCTCCTTGCTTCTAGTGAACAAGGGCCCTGAGTTTTACAGCCCTTTGTATTTATTGGGTAAAGGAGATTGGGAGAAGGGGGGTGGTTGTCGGTCAGCAGCTTGACTCAGTGCAGGCTTGCAAGGCTGCATTCTCTGAACAGTAGTCTCCAGATGTTCCAGTAGATAACCTCAAGGAGCACAGTGCCAGGGAGTGATTGCACTCAGCATATCTTCTGGCAGCAGGCACAGTCATGAGTTTGCCCACATCCTGCATTCATGATAAATAGTTTGCTGTTTGATCATATAGCCTCCAGTGGAATGCTGAGTTAGTCACGACCCACAGGACTTCGGCTCTCTTTTTTCTTTATCTTTATTCTTTTTTTCTTTATCTTTATTACCTATAAAAGAGTATCTTTATCTATCTATAAAAGAGTAAAAATACTCTTTTCTTTATCTTTATTCCCACATTTGTCCTCCTTTGTTCAGTCCAACAGGGATTGGGGCCGCAGCAAGTCAGTGCCTGAATATATCTTAAATATTAACAAGTACAATCCTCTTGTTTTCTAGATACTGAGATTGAGGCTTTGTTTTGGGCTACATTATGTCTTCCCTCCAAACCAAATTTATATGTTGAGGCCCTAGCCCTCAATGCTTCAGAATGTATTTGGAGATAAAGCGTTTAAAGAGGTAATGAATCAAATGACTTTGATTCAGTAATTTAACTCCCACTTTCTATTTACATCTGTCAATATGCTGGCCATTTCTCCTCACATTGGAGAGGCTTCTATGGTACTTTCTACCATACTCTGCTAATAATGGTTTCTTGTCTGCTTCTTAATCAGAAAGCAAAATAGAACAACTTGGGCATGAACAAATGGGGTAGGATGTGAGGGCAATCTGGCTGTGACATCTGTCATCCCATTGATCACCAGAGTTGATTCAGCTGATCTGCCTGGCTAGGTGGGTGTCCTCTTCCTCCTTCACTGCCCCATGTGCGACCCTCTCAAAGCTGCAAGCTTAGTCAAAATGGACGACCTTCCCAGATAGAGGAGGACCATTCTTTGGTCAAGGGTATACAAGTAGCTGCACTCCTCTGCTAGAACCTCTAAACAAGCTCTCCAATGTGGTGGTCATTACCCTTTGTATTTGTTTATTTTCATACTGCCATGTAGAGTTTGAGACCAGCCTGAGCAACATGGCAGAAACCTGTCCCTACCAAAAATACAAAAAATTAGCTGGGCGTGGTGGTACACGCCTGTAGTCCTAGCTACTTGGGAGGCTGAGGTGGGAGGATTGCTTGAACCTGGCAGGTGGAGGTTGCAGTGAGCCAAGATCGCAACCTGGGTGACAGAGTGAGACCCTGTCTCAAAAAAAAAAAAAAAGACTGACATAGAGCATATAAAATACTTTGACTGGGCGCAGTGGCTCACACCTGTAATCCCAGCACTTTGGGAGGCTGAGGCGGGCGGATCACAACGTCAGGAGTTCAAGACCAGCCTGGCCAATATGGTGAAACCCCATCTCTACCAGAAATACAAAAATTAGTTGGGCATTGTGGCGCGTGCCTGTAGTCCCGCTACTTGGGAGGCCTGAGACAGAAGAATCGCTTGAACCTGGGAGGCTGAGATTGCAGTGAGCCGAGATTGTGCCACTGCACTCCAGCCTGGGTGACAGAGAGAGACTCCGTCTCAAAAAAAAAAAAACAAAAAAACTTTCTTAGTTGTGAGTCACTGCTCTTCATTAAACATGTAGGAATATGTACTATGCACAGAGCCTAACATTCAACTATATTTTGTGTGCGTGACTGTCTTCAGGTTTCCAGCCTCTTTGTCACATTCTTGTTTTCAGTGATCCCCGATGGGGGTAGCTTTTAGCTCTACACAAATTCTTTCTTTATCCTTAGTAGCTAGGTGCTTCTGGATAAATGACTCTCAACAGGAAAAGCCTGAGTCTTCTATAGTGTATATCTGTGATAATATGTATTTCTTTCTGTTGACTTAACTAAGGAACTGAGAGAAGTGAGAAACTTCCTAACATGTGTAAGGAAATGTACAAATGTACATTGGCACCCTTATTTACACATCCTTCAAGAAGTAACTCTTAACAATAAAAAAATCAATAAATAAAAGAAGAAGTAAGTTCAGGCAACACCATGATATTCCTACTTTACAGGACGCTTGGAGATTTTACTCCTTTCACTGTGGAAAAAAAATGAAAGGAAAAGGAAGGAAAGAAGGAAGGAAGGAAGGAAGGAGAGAGAGACAAAGAGAGAAAGAGGGAAGAAAGAGAAATAAATGGAAACCCGATTAAAGGTATTTTCTCTCTAGAGAAAGCATGAAGTACATCCTATTTATAATAAAATATCATAAATTTGTTCTGCTCCAGTTGCAATGATCCTACAAGTCTTGGTTACAATCACCAGTCATTCCTTCATTCATTCATTTAACAATTCAGTGGTTATTATTGAGTATTTACTATGTGTGGAAACCTGGAATATAGTGGGAATGCAGCAATAAATGAAACAATTGTTTCCTGTTATCGCAGTGTTAAAAAAAAGAAGAAGAAAGAATAAAAAAGAAACAGAGAAGATCCTTGTCCTCATGAAGCTTACAATCTAATGGAAGAGACACATAATAAATTAAAAAATATAATTACGGACTTTGGTAATTGCAGTGAAGAAAACAAACATAGCAACTCAACAGAAAATAACTGAGTGAGGAACACCTACGTTAGACAAGATTGTATACGCAATGCTTTCAATTTCCTTTATTGTTAACACTCCCATTGTATGTCTGTCACAACTAATTGACCAATATTGACGTATTATTATTAACTAAACTTCACACTTTATTTGGAGTTCCTTATTTTTTACCTAATGTCCTTTTTCTGTTCCAAGAATTCATCTAGGACACCACATTACATTTAGTCATCATGTCTCTTTAGGTTCTTCTTGGCTGGAAGAGTTTATTAGACTTTCCTTGTTTTTGGTGACCTTGACAGTTTTGAGGAATCCTGGTCAGATATTTTGTAGAATGTTCTTCAGAACTGACCTTCTCTGATGCTTAGACAAGGGGTTGTGAGTTTTTGGAAGAAAGAACACAGAGGTAAAGTGACATTCTCATCACATCATATCAAGGGTACATAATGTAAACATAGCTTTTCACTACTGATGTTGACCTTGATCACCTGACAGAGGTAGTGTTTCTCAGATTTCTCCACTGTCAACAAACTCTTTTCCCACTTGTGCATTATACTCTTTGGAAGGAAGTCACTATATTCAGTCCACCTGTAAGGAACGGGTAGGTAGTTTTGCTGCCCCAAATTGAGAAGGGAGGAGTTACATAAATTATTTGGAATTCTACTGCATAGGAGATTTGTCTATTCTTCCTCATTTAAATTTTTATCCAAGCATTTTTTTCTTTTTTCTTTTGTATCAGTTAAAGAATCAATTATGTTTTTATACCAGCATGTGAATATTTATTTTATACTTTAGGTTATAAAGTGTATTGCTTTCTTTACATTGTGAATATATTTATTTATTTATTTATTTATTTATTTATTTATTTATTTATTTTGAGATGGAGTCTCACTCTTTCGTCCAGGCTGGAATGAAGTGGTACAATATCAGTTCACTGCAACCTCCACCTCCCAGGTTCAAGTGATTCTCCTGCCTCAGCCTCCTGAGTAGCTGGTATTACAGGTGCCTGCCACCATGCCTGGCTAATTTTTTTTTTGTTTTGTTTTGTTTTGTATTTTTAGTAGAGACGGGGTTTTGCCATGTTAGCCAGGCCGGTCTCGAACTCCTGACCTCAGGTGATACACCTGCCTCGGCCTCCCAAAGTGCTAGGATTACAGGCATGAGCCACCGTGCCTGGCGAATATTTTTATTTATTACAGATAAGAAGAGAGGGAAGATAAAAGAAATGGAGAAATGGAGCAGTGGAGGAAAGTGGGAAACAAGCAAACAAAAAAGAAAGAAATATAAGAAATCAAAGTTAGGCCTAGGATAAAAGGTTCCACTGAACAAAAGGACCCCTCTGACTCACTCCTCAGGGCTAAGCCTCTGTCTATTAGCCCTAGCTAATATTCAACAGAATTCTTATTCTTGACTCTTTTTTTCAGAAAAACATTTCTGTCTGAGAAGAGGAGCAGGTCAAAAACAATAAAATATTCAAGCACTGAATTTCTCCCAACTGTCTTCTAATTTCATCCTTTTTTAATTTTTATTTTTATTTTATTTTATTTATTTTTGAGACCGAGTCTCGCTCTATCACCCAGGCTGGAGTGCAGTGGCGCAATCTCAGCTCACTGCAGCAACCTCCACCTCCCAGGTTCAAGCAATCCTGCTGCCTCAGCCTCTCAAGTAGGTGGGACTACAGGCACATGCCACTACATCTGGCTAATTTTTTTTTTTTCTGTATTTTTAGTAGAGACAGGGTTTCACCATGTTGGCCAGGCTGGTCTTGAACGCCCGACCTCAAGTGATCCGTCCGCCTCGGCCTCCCAAAGTGCTAGGATTACAGGTGTGAGCCACCACGCCCAGCCAACAATTGGACTATTATTTGGAGTTATTAGAATTGCTTATTATTAGGAAAAAGCTACACACCAATCAGAATGGTGATTATTAAAAAGCCAAGAAACAACAGATGCTGGCAAGGCTGTGGAGAAGTAGGGACACTTTCACACTGTTGATGGGAGTGTAAATTAGTTCAACCATGGTGGAAGACATTGTGGCAATTCCTCAAGGATCTAGAACCAGAAATACCATCTGACCCAGCAATCCCATGACTAGGTATATACCCAAAGGAATATAAATCATTCTATTATAAAGATACATGCACATGTATGTTTATTGCAGAATTATTTACAATAGCAAAGACATGGAGCCAACCCAAATGCCCATCAATGATAGACTAGATAAAGAAAATGTGGTACATATACACCATGGAATGCTATGCAGCCATAAAAAGGAATGATATCATATCCTTTGCAGGGACATGGATGAAGCTGGAAGCCATCATCCTCAGCAAACTAACACAGGAACAGAAAACCAAACACCGCATGTTCTCACTCATAAGGGAGAGCTGAACAATGAGAACACATGTACACAGGGAGGGGAACAACACACACCAGGGCCTGTCCGAGGGGGAAGGGGAGGGACAGCATCTGGACAGATAGCTAAAGCATGCTGGGCTTAATACCTAGGTGACGGATTGATAGGTCTAGCAAACCACTATGGCAAACTTTTACCTATGTAACAAACCTACGCGTTCTGCACATGTATCCTGAAACTTAAAGTAAAATAAAGAAAATAAAGAAAAAAGGTATATTTATTTTTTCAAGGCATCAAGAATCAGAAGAATAAAATAACCAAGATACTATGGCTTTGTATAACATGAGAAAGAGGAAAAGATATATGAAATGATGCAGTCTTAAAATGAGTTGTGGCCGGGTGCGGTAGCTCACGCCTGTAATCCCAGCACTTTGGGAGGCTGAGGCAGTTGGATCATCTGAGGTCAGGAGTTCGAGACCAGTCTGGCCAACATGGTGAGACCCCCCATATCTACTAAAAATACAAAAATTAGCCAGGCGCAGTGGCTCGTGCCTGTAATCCCAGCTACTCAGGAGGTTAAGGCAGGAGAATTGCTTGAACCTGGGAGGCGGAGGTTGCAGTGAGCTGAGATGGCCCCACTCCATTCCAGCCTGGGCGACAGAGCAAGACTCTGTCTCAAAAAAAAAAATGAGCTGTGGAGCCAGGCGCAGTGGCTCACGTCTGTAATCTCAACATTTTGGGAGGCCGAGGTGGGCGGATCACTTGGGGTCAGCAGTTCAAGACCAGCCTGGCCAACCAACATGGTGAAACCCTGTCTCTACTAAAATACAAAACTTTGCCAGGCCTGGTGGCAGGTGCCTGTAATCCCACCACTTTGGGAGATCAGGAGTTCGAGACTAGCTTGTTCAACATGGCGAAACCCCGTCTCTACTAAAAATACAAAAATTAGCCAGGTGTGGTGGTGCATGGCTGTAGTCCCAGCTACTCAGGAGGCTGAGGCAGGAGAATCACTTGAACCCGGGAGATGGAGGCTGCAGTGAGCCAAGATCATGCCACTGCACTCCAGCCTGGGCAACAGAGCAAGACTTCATCTCAAAACAAAACAAAACAAAACAAAAAGATCCAACTATATATCATCTACAAGACACTTAATTTACATTTAAGAACACACGGCCATGTAAGACATGTCTACTTACCCTTCCGCCATGATTGAAAGTTTCCTGACGCCTCCCCAGCCATGCTTCCTGCACAGCCTGCAGAACCGTGAGTCAATTAAACCTCTTTTATTTATAAAAACAAAAAGAAAAGAACACACATAGACTGAAAGTGAAGGATGAAAAAAGATATTCCACGATGATAGTAACCAAAAGTAAGTAGGAGTAGATACACTTATATCAGATAAAATAGACTATAAGTCAAAAATTATCACCAGAGACAAAGACATTACATAATGGTAAGTGTCCATTCAGCAGAAAGATATAATAATTATAAATTTATATGCACCCAACATCAGAACACCTAAATATCTAAATAGATAAAGCAAATAGTAACAGAACTGAAGGGAGAAATAGCAATACAATAGCAGTCAGAGACATCAAGACCCCTCTTTCTTTTTTTTTTTTTTAGATTTATTTTATTTTATTTTATTTTTTTTATTTATTTATTTTTTTAATTGATTATTCTTGGGTGTTTCTCGCAGAGGGGGATTTGGCAGGGTCATAGGACAATAGTGGAGGGAAGGTCAGCAGATAAACAAGTGAACAAAGGTCTCTGGTTTTCCTAGGCAGAGTACCCTGCCGCCTTCCGCAGTGTTTGTGTCCCTGGGTACTTGAGATTAGGGAGTGGTGATGACTCTTAACGAGCATGCTGCCTTCAAGCATCTGTTTAACAAAGCACATCTTGCACCGCCCTTAATCCATTTAACCCTGAGTGGACACAGCACATGTTTCAGAGAGCACAGGGTTGGGGGTAAGGTCACAGATCAACAGGATCCCAAGGCAGAAGAATTTTTCTTAGTACAGAACAAAATGAAAAGTCTCCCCTGTCTACTTCTTTCTACACAGACAGGGCAACCATCCGATTTCTCAATCTTTTCCCCACCTTTCCCCCCTTTCTATTCCACAAAACCGCCATTGTCATCATGGCCAGTTCTCAATGAGCTGTTGGGTACACCTCCCAGACAGGGTGGTGGCCGAGCAGAGGGTCTCCTCACTTCCCAGTAGGGGTGGCCGGGCAGAGGCGCCCCTCACCTCCCGGATGGGGCGGCTGGCCGGGCGGGGGGCTGACCCCCCCACCTCCCTCCCGGACGGGGCGGCTGGCCTGGCGGGGGCTGACTCCCACCTCCCTCCCGGACGGGGTGGCTGCCGGGCGGAGACGCTCCTCACTTCCCAGACGGGGCGGCTGCCGGGCAGAGGGGCTCCTCACTTCTCAGACGGGCGGCTGGGCAGAGACGCTCCTCACCTCCCAGACGGGGTCGCGGCTGGGCAGAGGCGCTCCTCACATCCCAGACGGGGCGGCGGGGCAGAGGCGCTCCCCACATCTCAGACGATGGGCGGCAGGGCAGAGACGCTCCTCACTTCCTAGATGGGATGGCGGCCGGGAAGAGGCACTCCTCACTTCCTAGATGGGATGGCGGCCGGGCAGAGACGCTCCTCACTTTCCAGACTGGGCAGCCAGGCAGAGGGGCTCCTCACGTCCCAGACGATGGGCGGCCAGGCAGAGACGCTCCTCACTTCCCAGACGGGGTGGCGGCCGGGCAGAGGCTGCACTCTCGGCACTTTGGGAGGCCAAGGCAGGCGGCTGGGAGGTGGAGGTTGTAGGGAGCCGAGATCACGCCACTGCACTCCAGCCTGGGCACCACTGAGCACTGAGTGAACCAGACTCCGTCTGCAATCCCGGCACCTCGGGAGGCCGAGGCTGGCGGATCACTGGTGGTTAGGAGCTGGAGACCAGCCCGGCCAACACAGCGAAACCCCGTCTCCACCAAAAAAATACGAAAACCAGTCAGGCGTGGCGGCGCGCGCCTGCAATCGCAGGCACTGGGCAGGCTGAGGCAGGAGAATCAGGCAGGGAGGTTGCAGTGAGCAGAGATGGCAGCAGTACAGTCCAGCTTCAGCTCGGCATCAGAGGGAGACCGTGGAAAGAGAGGGAGAGGGAGACCGTGGGGAGAGGGAGGGGGAGGGGGAGGGGGAGAGAAGACCCCTCTTTCAATAAAGAATAAAACATCCAGACATAAAATTAATAAGGAAACAGGAAACCTGAACAACATTATATATGAATGGGCCTAACAGGCCTGTATAAAATATCCCATCCAACAGCAACAGAATACTCATTCTTCTCAAGTGCATATGAAACATTTTCCAGGATAAATTAACTTGTTAGGTGCTAAAACAAGTTTTAACAAATTCAGGAATACCAAAATCATACCAAGTATCTTTTCTGACCACAATGAAATCAAACTAGAAATCAGTAGCAGAAGGAAAACAGGAAAATTCACAAATATGTGGAAATTAAGCAACACACTTGAGCAATCAGTGGTTTAAAGAAGAAATCAAAAAGGAGATTATGAAGTACTCAGACAAATAAAATTAAAACACAATGTACCAAAACTTACAGAATGTCACAAATGCAGTACAAGAGGGAAATTTATAGCAATAAACACCTACATGAAGAAAGAAAAAGGATAACAAATAAACAAGCTACCTCTAAACCTCAAAGAACTGGAAAATGAGAAAAAACACAAAAGCCGAAGTTCGCCTAAGGAAAGAAATAATAAAGATTGGAGCAGAAATAAATGAGGCAGAGAATAGAAAAACAATAGGAAAAAATCAACAAAACTAAGACTTGGTTTTCTGAAAAGACAAACAAAATTGACAACTCTTTAGCTAGACTAAGAAAAAAAGAAAGAAAACTCAAATAAATAAAATCAGAAATGAAAGAGGAGACATTACAACTGATGCCACAGAGAATAAAAAGGAACAAAAGAGACTACTATCCACAATTATATGCCAATAATTTGGACAACCTCAAAGAATAGATAAATTCCCAAAAACATACAACCTGCCATGACTAAATCATGAAGTAATACACTGAACAGAACTAAAAACCAGTAGGGAGATTGAATCAATAACCAAAAACTTCCCAACAAAGAAGCCCAGGAATAGATAGCTTCACTGGCCAATTCTATCAAACATTAAAAAAAAATTATGCCATTTCTTCGCAATCTTTTCCAAATAATTTAAGATAATGGAACACTCCAAACTCATTTTATAAGGCCAGCATTACCTTCATACCAAAGCCAGAGAAAGACACCACCAAAAAAGAAAACTACAGGCCAGTATCTTGGGTGAATATAGATGCAAAAATCCTTAACAAAATACAAGCAAACCAAATTCAACAGCATATTAAAAGGGGCATATCTTATGACCAAGTGAGATTTATTCTTGTGATGCTATGATAGTTAAATATACAAAAGTTAATTAATATGATATACAGCATTAACAGAATGAAGAACAAAAACCATATTATCTTCTCAATAGATACAGTAAAAGCATTTGACAAAATTCAACGTGTCATGATTTTTAAAAACTCTCAACAAGCTAGAATAGAGGGAAATCATCTCAATATATTAAAGTTCAATGTAACAGAATAGAGAGCCCAGAAATAAACCCAAGCATATGCAGCCAACTAATTTTATTTTTCTTTTCTTTCTTCTTCTTCTTTTGAGACAGAGTCTGGCTCTGTCGCCTAGGCTGGAGTAAAGTGGCACAATCTCAGCTCACAGGAACCTCTGCCTCCCAGGGCTCAAGCTATCCTCCCACCTCAGCCTTCTGAGTAGGTGGGACTACAGGTGCACGCCACCACACCCAGCATATTTTTTGTATTTTTTCTTCAATACAGGGTTTCAGCATGTTGCCCAGGCTGGTCTTGAATTCCTGGGCTCAAGTGATCCTTCTGCCTAGGCCTCCCAAAGTACTGGAATTACAGGCAAGAGCCACCATGCCCAGCCTCAGTCAACTAATTGTCAACAAGATTATACAATGGGGAAAGGATAGTCTCTTCAACAAATGGTGCTGGGAAAACTGGATATCCACATGCAAAAGAATGGAATTAGATCCTTATTTTATACCACATACAAAAGTCAACTCAAAATGGCTTAAAGTTTTAAACATAAGACCCCAAACTGTAAAATACCTAAAAGAAAGCATAAAGGGAAAGCTTCATGGCATTGGTCTTGGCAATTATTTCAATAGTATAACACCAAAAGCACAGGCAACAAAGCAAAAATAAACAAGTTGGGCTGTGTCAAAATAAAAAGCTTCTGCACAGCAAAGGAAACTGTCAACAGTGAAGACACAAGCTATGGAATGGGAGAAAATGTTTGCAAACCATATATCAGATAAGGGGTTAATTTCCAAAATATACATGGAATTCATACAACTCTATAGCTGTAAAAACAAACAAAAAAAAAACTTGATTTTTTTTAACAGGCTAAGGATTTGAATAGACATCTCTCCGTAAAAGACATACAAATGGCCAACAGGTATATGAAAAGATGCTCAATGTCACTAATTATCAGGGAAATGCAAATTAAAACCACAATGATATATCTCCTCACACCTGTTAGGATGACTATTATCAAAAAAAAAAAAGACAAGTGTTTCGAGGATATGGAGAAGAGGGGACCCTTGTACACTGTAGGTAGGAATGCAAAATGGTAGAGCTATTATAGAAAAGAGTATGGAGGATTCTCAGAAAATTAAGAATAAAACTACCACATGATCCAGCAATCCTATTTCTGGGCATTTACCCAAAAGAATTGAAATCAGGATTTAGAAGAGATATCTGCCCTCCCATGTTCCTCGTAACAAGATTCATGATAGCCAAGGGGTAGAAACAATCCGAATGTCCAAAGACAGATGGTTGTATGAAGAAAATGTGGTATATGCATGCAATGGAATATTATTCAGCCTTTAAAAAGAAGAAAATCCTGCAATAAGCAACAACATGGATGAATCTTGAGGACATTTTGCTAAATGAAACTGCATGATTCCACTTATATGAGATACCAAAATAGTCAAACCCATAGAAGCAAAGAACAGACCCATGGATGCCAGGAGAGGGGAGAGAAGGAAATGGGGAGTTGCTAGTCAACAGGTATAAGGTTTCAATAATAAAAGATGAATACAATCCAGAGATCTTCTGTGCAACATTTTGCCTTAAGGAACACTACTGTATTTACACATACATATCTGTTAGCAGGGTAAATCTCATATTAGGTGTATTTACTACAACTAAATTAAATTTTAAAAAAAGATATAATTTGACCCAAAATTTTTAAAGAAATACAGAGTTGTGCCTATGAACAATTCACTACAATATCTAGAAACTGGCATCTTTTATTTAGATATGTTCAGAGTCTTGTTTTTAGCTATTACCTGAGTTATCCTTGTTAGAGTTAATTTAGTACAAATTCAACTTTATTCTTGAGTCTAATGATTATACCTTAAGGTCACAGAGTGTCATTTGAGAATTATTATATTATGACTTCATATCTATCCCTAAAGATCTAAACTTCATTTAATAAGGCCCAGGGTAGTGAATCTGGTGACTGGATAAATATTGAGCAGAAGCCTTGGTCTCCTGACACACCTCGTTCCAATATCAACATTCAAAACACCAGCTTCCATTTCTGGTTCTTGTCCAAGTTTTGAAAGTAATTATTTCTTTTGTTTCCTCTTTTCATAATATCCATGGACTTGGCCTTTGATTATTCCCTCTCCCAGCTCCATTCATTAAGACGCGTGGACCAGGCAATGCTGTAATTCCAGGTGACACACTCCTTTGAACGTGAAAGTAATGACAATTCACATGTGTACATTACTTTGCATATACAAAGCTCTTCCAAGAATACTATGATTTTTAATCCTTTTAACAGCGCCCCTGTGAAACTGACATTATAATACACATTTGATACAGACTGGAAAATGGGGCATCAAGATAGTAAAGGGATTTGCCCAAGGTCATCCAGCTAATAAAAGGAGGAAGTAGCACTTCAACTTAAATATTCTGATTAATTTCAGCTCACATTCAAAACAGCATACAAGTTCCCAAAGTGATCTTGTGTGTATTACATGGTTCTTGTGTGTATTTTTGTGTATTACATGGTTCTAAATATGAAACTCCACAATCTACTTTGCCATATGCCTTATGGCAACCAAATCCCACATTTCATTGGTTGATTTCCTCTCAGTAGATTTGAACACACAGAAAAACAGTAAACCAATCAACCTAATGACTGTAAGCAAATGCTGGGATTATGGCTTCCGTGAAAAATTCACTATTAGTTTCAAAGGTTTGGATCAGTCATTTTGCCCTTAATTGTTTGTCATAGATAGTGTACCCTTAAAGATCAGAAAAGTAGGAAAGACCTTATGTAACATTTCTCCACTATTTCTGGTTATTAAATTCATATACAATGTTAGGATGCTTTTTATATAGGAAAGCTAGGAAAGTTGTGGTGTGTGGATATCTTTCTAAGAATAAAATAGTGACTCTTATTCTTCATTTAATTTCATTCCTTTCTTTCTTTTTTTTTTTTTTTTTTTTTGAGATGGTCTTACTCTATTGCCCAGGCTGGAGTGCAGTGGCACAATCTCGGCTCACTGCAATCTCCACCTACCAGTTTCAAGCGACTCTCCTGCCTCAACCTCTCAAGTACCTGGGATTACAGGTGCATGAAACCACACCTGACTAATTTTTGTATTTTAGTAGAGATGGGGTTTCACCATGTTTGCCAGGCTGGTCTCGAACACCTGACCTCATGATCCACTCCCCTTGGCCTCCCAAAGTGCTGGGATTACAGGCATGAGCCACCATGCCCAGCCCTCTTTTGGGTTTTTACAAAGGCTTCATTATGTATGGCTGGCTGATCAAAATCACTGGTCATTGATGGTCATCAACTCAAGCTTCAGCCTTCTACTCTCCCCAAAGGGTATTACCTTCTATACCGATTTTGTTGAGATTTTTCTACCAAAGTCATCCATTTCAGTTTTCCTTATTATTTTGTATTCTCCTTTTTATCTCAGTCTAGCTAAGGGTTTGTCAGTTTAGAAAAATTTTTTTAATCAACACTTAGTTTTGTTGATATTTTTATACAGATTTTGTGTTCTCTATATGAGTTACTCCTACCCTGCCCTGATCTTTATTTTTTCCTTCCTTCTATTAACTTTGGGCTTAACTTGTTCTTCTCTTTCTCATTCCTCAGGGTAATGTTAGGCCATTCATTTGATATTTTTCTTTTTTCTTCATATAGATGTTTATCAGTATAAACTTCCCTCTTACTACTGCTTTTGCTGCATCCCATAAGTTTTGGTACATCTTGTTTTCATGTTGTCTCAGGATACTTTTTGCTAAGTTGTATTTTAATTTTCATTGGTCTCAATATATTATTTAATTCCCTTTTGATTTCCTATTTGACCCCGTATTTGTTCAAGAGTATGTTACTTAGTTTCCACATATTTGTGAATTTTCACATTTTATTGCTGTTACTGATTTCTAGTCTGATTCCATTGTTGTCACAAAAGATACTTAGTGTAATTTGTTACCTTCTTCAATATGTTAAGGCTTGTTTTGGGACCTAACATATAATCTATCCTGCAAAGGGTTCAATGTGTGCTTGAGAAGAATGTGTGTTACATCTTAATGAATATACATTCATACAAAAATACATACTTTTTTAGGTTTTTTGTCCTTTAACATTTATAGTAGAATTAAAAAAGATTTGCCATCATCATTATAGTGGTAAAATATACCGTTTTTTCCAATATTTACCTTTACCAATGAGTTTCATCCTTTTATTTCAACTTGAAAAATTCCCAATAGCATTTTTTGTAAGGCAGATATGGTGATAAACTCCCTCAGCTTTTGATTGTCTGAGGAAGTCTTTATCTCTCTTTCATTTTTGAGAGGCATGTTTGCCAGATATGGTATAGTTGGTTGGTGTTTTGGTTTTTTTCTTTCACACTGTGTATGTCATCCCATACTCTTCTGTCTTGCAAGGTTTTTGCTAAAAAAAATCTGCTAATAGTCTTATGGAATTCCTTTGTACATAACAAGCCACTGTTTTCTCAGTGCTTCAAGATTCTCTTTGTTTTTAACTTTTGGCAATTTGATTATAATATATCTCAATGTAAGCCTTTTTTAATTCATTATATTTGTTGTCCACTGGGCTTCCTGGATCTGAATGTCTATTTTATTCCCCAGGCTTAGGAAATTTTTAGCCATTATTACTTTGAATAAGCTTACTATTTGTTTCTCTCTCACTCATCCTTTAGGAACTTCCATAATGCATATATTGGATTGCTTGATGGTGTCCCATCAGTCCCTTAAGCTATCATCACTCTTTTTAATTCTTTTTTCTTTTTGCATGTCTGATTGGATGATTTCCAACTATCTGTCCTTGAATTTGGTAGTCTTTTCTTGCACATAACCTAGTCTTCCATTGAAACCCTCTACTAAAATTTTCAGTTCAGTTATTATAGTCTTCAGCTCTATGACTTCTGTTAGATATTTTTTGTATTTCCTATCACTTTGTTGAAGTTCTTACTTTGTTCATACATAGCTCTCCTGACCTTGATACCATCTTTATGACCATTATTTTGAATTATCTGTGAGGTACATCATATATCCTTTATTTCTGGAGACTTATTTTGGTCTTTTGTTTGGAACATATTTCCCTGTTTCTTCATTTTCCTTGACTCTCTGTGTTGGTTTCTGTGCATTAGATAAAACAGCCACCTCTCCCAGTCTTAACAGCCTGGGAAAGTCACAACTTATGGGTGCAGTCAAGACTTTTCCAGGGAGAAATTGTAAGCTGGGTGTTTTTGCCTGCTCACTCTGCACTGAGCCAGGAAGATTAGCTGCTGAAAGTACTCACACACTCTTTTAAAACCACCTCTTTTTCTCTGGCTATGAAGGATGCATAAATGCTAAGCCCCATTAGCTCCCGGAGTTAGGGGATATAAGAGCCAGTTCTTTGGGTGAGAGCTGTAAAAGCTGTGCTCAATGTGTAGAAGAACTCCTTCCAGGGATAGACTGGACACTTAATTTTAATCCTGCAGTGAGCTGAGGAAAGAAGACTTGAAAGTGCCCTTAGCCTGAACAACATGGTGAAACCCCATCTTCACAAAAAATACAAAAATTAGCCAGGTGTGGTGGCGTGCACCTGTAGCCCCAGCTACTCAGGATGGGGAGGCTGAGGTGGGAGGATTGCTTCAGCCCAGGAGGTCAAGGCTGCAGTGAGCCAAGATTGTGCCACTGTACTCCACCCTGGGCAACAGAGAGAGACCCTGTCTCAAAAAGAAAGAAAGAAAGAAAGAAAAGAAAAAAGAAAGTGCCCTTGTGACCTTTTGGGCTCCCAGAGGATAATTAATTACCTGCACTATTGGCTTTCAGGTGCATGCTAGTTAGAAACCCAACTCTCAGGCAGAAGCTAGGGAAGTGTACAGTCAAAACTCTTCCAGGAACCTGAGTAACATAGTGAGACTTCATCCCCACAAAAAAAGTAAATAAAAATTGCCTGGGCATGGTGACCCATGCCTATAGTCCCAGCTACTTGGGAGGCTGAGGCAGAAGGATCACTTGAGCCAGGAAGATTGAGGCTGCAGTGACCCTGGGCAACAGAGCAAGACCCTGTCTCAAAAATAAAAAAATAAAAAAATAAAGCCTCTTCCAGGGAGAAACTGGAGCTACACATTTTTGCCTACTTGTTCTGTGCTGCTATTACAGGAAGTGCTCACGTGCTCATTTATAACTATTTTTTCTGTTCTCTCTAGTCCTCAATGACTTGCAAATGTTGAGTTCCATCTGCTTCCAGAGCCAGATGATTTAATAGCCAATCCCTTGGATGGCAACCATAAAAGTTGAGATGAGGCCAGATGAAGCGACTCACACCCATAATCCCAGCACTTTGGGAGGCTGAGGTGGAAGGATCACTTGAGCCCAGGAGTTTGAGACTAGCCTGGGCAATTAGTGAGACCCTTTCTCTACAAAAAAAAAAAAAAAAAGTTTTTTTTTTTGTTTAATTAGCTGGGTATGGTAGCACACATCTGTGGTCCTAACTACTGAGGAGGCTGAGATGATAGGATTACTTGGGCCCAGGAAGTCAAGGCTGCAGTGAGCCATGATTGTGCTACTGCATTCTAGCTTGCGTGACAGAATGAGACTCTATCTCAGAAATTAAGGAAGGAGGGAAGGAGAGAAAGAGAGAGAGAAAAGGAGAAAGGGAGAAAGAGAAGGAAGGAAGGGGGGGAGAGAGAGAGAGAGAAAGAAGAAAGAAAGAAAGAAAGAAAGAAAGAAAGAAAGAAAGAAAGAAAGAAAGAAAGAAAGAAAGAAAGGAAGGAAGGAAGGAAGGAAGGAAGGAAGGAAGGAAGGAGGGAAGGAAGAAAGACAAGACAAGAA
This sequence comes from Homo sapiens, assembly GCF_000001405.40. Classification (NCBI taxonomy): domain Eukaryota; kingdom Metazoa; phylum Chordata; class Mammalia; order Primates; family Hominidae; genus Homo; species Homo sapiens. Next base: position 59,690,752 of record NC_000011.10, on the reverse strand, counting down.
AAGAAGGAAAAGAAAGGAAAGAAAAGAAAGAGAGAGAAAGAAAGAGAGGAAGGGAGGAAGGGAAGGAAGGAAGGAAGGGAAAGGAAGGAAGGAAGGAAGGAAGGGAAAGGAAGGAAGGAAGGAAAGAAGGAAGGAAGGAAGGAAGGAAACGAGTTGAGATATTATATATCCTCCAGACCATTTATTCCTCAGAGAGAATCTAGGAGCTTAGGATTCATTCATAATTGCAAGGTATTGTGCCCAGGGTGAGGTTTGTGTCACAAGTGAGTTTCAACTTTTCCCACCCATTTTGATATTGCAGTTTCTCAGTGTGTAGGAGTCTCTCAACTACTTTTTTGATTTCTCTCAGAAGAAATTGATCTAGTATAGCTGTTTACTCAATGTGTCTGTGGAAAAAAGGGAAAGTCAGAAGCCCCTTATTCCACGATCTCATTGACATCATGCCTATGGATTTTGATTTTGAATAACATAAGAATGACACAGAGCAAAGAAATAACATGATTAGTAATTAATATTTTAATATAGGATGAATTAAAATATGGAGAGACTTTATGATTGTATAATTATTTTTGAGGAGCTACAATATAAATAGACATTGTGCTGGATGCATTAAGTGAACATTAGCATTTTTGTCCACCCAAAAGAGCTTAACTCATGTAGAAACAATTTGAGTACATCTGATATATGAGAATGGTACAAATTTGTGTGGAATACATAATAGATTAAAACAGAATATCCTCTATAATATTCTAGATCTTCTTCTTTTTTTTTTTTTTTTTTTTGAGACAGAGTCTCACTCTGTCCCTCTGGCTGGAGTGCCGTGGCTCGATCTTGGCTCATTGCAAACCCTGCTGCCTGGATTCAAGAGATTCTCATGCCTCAGAGTCCCAAGTAGCTGGGATTACAGGCATGCGCCACCACACCTGACTAATTTTTTATTTTTAGTAGAGACCAGTTTCACCACATTGGCCAGGCTGGTCTCGAACTCCTGGCCTCAAATAACCCACCCGCCTAGGCCTCCCAAAGTGTCAGGATTATAGGCATGAGCCACCGTGCCCAGCCTCTAGACCATTCAATAGTAAATGATGTAGTAAAATTCTCTTTTGATGATACTGAATTTTTATATCATTCAAGAGATATACAACTATTTTAAAATTTCAACAAACTCTTATAATATTGAAGACACATTTACCAAATGTAAATATCAAGATATCATCAAAAACTTGAGTGGCTGCCATGTCTCTAAAAACACAGTAGAGGCCATATGCAATGTTCTTCATGAAACTCCTGATGAGCTGAGTGATGTCAGCAAGAGGACAGAATAAAAAATACCAGACTTCGTCCCCCAACAAAAAACAATTTGAAGCTACCAATAAATTAAAATAGCCCTGGGAGGGCTTAAGAGCCCCATTAAGAACCAGACACAACACAGTGATGCTAGAAAAGAGAAAAAAAATGTTTCAGTTGGTAACTAGTCAGACATGAACAGGGCAGGAAAGGGCTGCCCCGCTCCCTACCAGGAATGTCAGGCGACCATCAGGTGATGGTCAGGTGGTTGTTAACTGTCTCTCTAAAATAATGATTGATGCAGCTGGCACCAGAAAAAGGCAGTCTTCCAGTAGATAGGAAAAACATGAAAATGATGATCAGTAGCTTCCCAGTGAGATCTCAGGAGTTGGGTAAGTGGGCTAACACATGCTCATAAGAGGCAAAATGGTGAAATTTAACTGCTCTATCACCTTCTAGGGACGTTCAGCTGGTAAGAGAAGAATGCTTCAAGTGAGCATGCATACAACTCCAGTAAACACACTGGGTGCTCCCCTCCCAAGTGCTAGCAGGCCACTGCACATGTGGACAGCCCACCCCAAGGGAAGAATCAGGGGAGAAGGAAGGCAAGACCCCAGAAGTAAGCCAACATATAAAACCCCAAGTCCAAAGGTCAAACCACACACTTGTCTTTCAAGTTGCCTGCTTGGCCCTCTTCCAAGTGTAATTTCCTTCCTTTTATTCCTGCTTTAAAGCTTTTTTTTTTTTTTTTTTTTGAGATGGAGTTTTGCTCCTGTTGCCCAGGCTGGAGTGCAATGGCGCAATCTCAGCTCACTGCAACTTCCACCTCCCGGGTTCAAGCAATTCTCCTGCCTCAGCCTCCCGAGTAGCTGGGATTACAGGTGCCCACCACCACGCCAAGCTAATTTTTTATATTTTTAATAGAAACGGAGTTTCACCATGTTGGCCAGGTTGGTCTTGAACTCCTGACCTCAGGTGATACACCTGCCTTGGCCTCGCAAAGTGCTGGGATTGCAGGCATGAGCCACCACGCCCGACCCTAAAGCTTTTTAATAAACTTTCACTCCTGCTCTAAAACTTGCCTCAATCTCTCCTTCTGCCTTGTACCCCTCAGTTGAATTCTTTCTTCTGAGGAAAGAATTGAGGTTGCTGCAGACCCATACAGATTCGCCACTGTTAACAAAGGCCCAGAAATGATTGCTGATGGTATTGGCTTAGCAGAGACATCTGGAGATGGCTAGAATCAAAAAGGAAGGGTAGGAGATATCTGTATCAGCCATGCAGTGGGTGCCATTGTGGTCCCCTGTGGCCTGCTCTCTGGGGGACCCAAGTACACTTTGCCATCTAGGAACTCAACAGTCTCTGTGACAGCCATAGACTATACACAACTTTCATAGTTGAGGACCCTGTAGCTATAGCCGTGTGTGTGTGTGTATGTATGTGTGTGTGTGTGTGTGTGTGTGTGTGTAGTTATTGCCACCACAGATTCCCTGCACCCCACACAGAAGGAGGTGCTGTTGTATCATTCCAGGAACAAGACTCCCACCTTCCCTCCAACCCCACGTATGTCCCAGACCTCAGAGCTACAGCTACTCTGTGTGCCCCATACTTCAGACCCCAGCTCCATGGCCACTCTACATATACTCATGTTCTAGACGCTGACTGCAGCTGTTTTATGCATACCCATGCTTCAGACCAAGCTCCATGGATTATATCTATTTCTCTTTATTGGCATTTAGATGGCTACCAATTTTTTGCTATTGTAAGTATCACTGTGATAAGCATGGTTATATATAATTCACTGTATGTAACTCATATTCTTCTTTAGGATTAAAATATTTTCAACCTGTAGATACACATTGGCAAATTGCATTTAAAAAACTTACTAATTTCTATTCCCGCAAGCTATTTACAGTGTTCACCTTATCATGGTCAACACTGAGCTGACTAGCTTGCTTTGTCTCTTTTTCTTTCCCTTTTCCTTTCTTCCTCTCTTCCCTCCCTCCTTCCTACTCTTTTTCTCCCTTCCTTCCTTCTTCCTTTCCTCCCTTCCTTCCCTCATTTCCTTCCCCTCTTTCCTTTCTTTCTTTCATTTGTCAATCTGATGGTTTACAATGTCAACTATCTTGTTTACATTTATTTATTAATTAAATTGATCTAATCACATACATTATAGCCATTCACAATTTTTGTATATTTTTCTAAAGTGCTTAAAGAATTTTGAGACTGATTTTGAAGTCTGTATTTTATGTTAACACTCTAAAGTGTGTGTAAAAATCATTTTGAAACTTTGTTATTTTTATGTATGTTTTATTATTATGGAATTCAGTAATCAAAATTTTGCTCTGTGACTTTTCCACTCATCATAAATTTTAAAATTTTATCCTGAAGTCATACAAATATCCATTCATATTTTGTCCCTGCTGCTTTATGATTTAAAATTTTACATGAAACCTATTTATTATTCTGGAATTATTTTGTTGTCTGCTATGCTACAAATCTTGAACTTTTCTACCAGTTATTTTAGCACAATTTTTTAAATTATGTTTCCTTTTTCCATTGAATTGAGGTATCATCTTTATCACATACTAAACACACATTTACCCTAAGGTTTGGTTATTGTTGGCTGCCTTTTGTGTTCCATAAATTAGTCTGCATATTCCTACAATTGTTCCTACAATTCCACATTGTTTGCATCACTGGTATTTTATAACATTTGTATCATAATGTCATAATCTACTTTTTAGTTTTATTGTATTTTCGATTGACACATTATAATTGTATGCATTTATGGAGTTCAATGTCATGTTTTGATACATGTATACAGAGTGTAATGAGCAAATCAAAGTAATTAACATATCTATTACCTTAAACAATTATTATTTGTGGTGGAAACCTTCAAAATCCTCTCTACTAGCTATTTTGAAATATACAATACATTATTGTTAACTATAGTCACCCTACTGTGCAAAAGAACACCAGAACTTATTCCTCCTATCTAACTGAAACCTTGCACCAATTGACCAATCTCTCCTCATCTTCCCCCACCCTCCCCAGCCTCTGATAATCACTATTCTACTCACTTTCTATGATATCAACTTTTTAAAATCACTATTCTACTCTATTTCTATGAGATCAACTTTTTTAGAGTCCATACATGAGTAAGATAACGTAGTATTTGTCTTTCTGTGCCTGGCTTATTTCCCTTAACATAATGTCCCCAGGTTCACATGTGTTGTCACAAATGACTGGATTTTGTTCTTTTTATGACTGAATAATATTCCATTTTGTATATATATCATATACTCTTTATCCATTCATCCACTGATGGATACTTAGATTGATTCCATATCTTGGCTTTTGTGAGTAGTGCTGTAATAATCACGAGAGTACAGGTACCTCCTCAACATACTGATTTCATTTCCTTTGGAAATATAGCCAGCAGTGAAACTGCTGGATCATATGACAGTTCTATTTTTAATTGTTTGAGGAACCTCTATTCTGTTTTCCATAATGGCTATAATAATTTATATTCCCATTATGAGTGTGTAAAGGTGCCTTTTTCTCCACATCTTTTGTTTTTTTTAATAATAGCCACTCTAACGAGTGAGGTGATACCTCATAGTAGTTCTGATTTGCATTTCCCTGATGACTAGCGATGTCGAGCATTTTTTTCATATATCTGTTGGCCATTTGTATGTCTTCTTTTGAGAAATGTCTATGCGTCTCTTTTGCCCATTTTTAAACTGGTTTTTTTTTCTGTTGAGTTATTTAAGTTCCTTATATATCAGATGTATACTTTGGAAACATATTCTCCCATTCTGTAGGTTGTCTCTTCACTCTTGATCATTTCATTTGCTGTTTAGATGATTTTTTCATTTGCTGTGATCCCATTTGTAAATATGTTTTGCCTTTGTTGCCTGTGCTTTTGAGGTTTTCTTTAAAAAAAATTATTGCCCAGACAAAGGTCATGAAGCTTTTCCCCCAGGCCTTCTTCTAATAATGTTATATTCTCAAGGCTGACGTGGAACTCTTTAATCCATCTTAAGTTGATTTTTTTATATGGTAAGAGATAAGGGTCTAATTTCATTCTTCTACATGTAGATACTGAATTTTCCCAGCACCATTTATTGAAGAGATTATCCTTTTCCCAAGTGTGTTCTTGGCACCTTTGTTGAAAATCAGTTGGCTGCAAATGTGTGGATTTATTTCTGGGTCTCATTCTGTTCCATTGGTCTATATTTCTGTTTATGCCAATACCATGCCATTTTGGTTACTACAGTTTTGTAATATATTTTAAAGTCAAGCAATATGATGCCTTCAAAACTTTGTCCTTTCTGCTCAGGGTTGCTTTGGGTATTTGGAGCCTTTTGTGGTTCCATAAAAATTTTAGAATTTTTTTTTTCTATTTCCATGAAGAATATCATTGGTATTTTGATAGGAATTGCACTGAATTGGTAGATTGCTTTGGGTAGTAGAAACATTTTAACAATATTAATTCTTCTAGTCCATAAAAAAATGGAATATCTTTCCATTCATTTGTGTATTCTTCAATTTCTTTCATCAGTGTTTCACAGTTTTCATTGTAGAGATATTTCACCTCTTTGGTTAAATTTATTCCTAAGCATTTTATTTTGTGCAGCTATTATAATAGGATTGTTTTCTAGATTTCTATTTCAGATAGTTTTCCATCACCATACAGAAATGCTACTAATTTTTATATGTTGATTTTGTATCCCACAACTTTACTGAGTTTGTTTATTAGTTCTAGTAGTTTTTTGGTGGAGCCTCTAGGATTTTGTATATACAAGATCACGTCATCTGTAAACACGTAAAATCTAACTTCTTTATTCCCACTTTGGATGACTTTTATTTCTTTCTCTTGCCAAACTCTTCTGGCTACAATTTCCAGTACTATGTTGAATAGAAGTGGTGAAAGTGGGCATCCTTGTCTTGTTCCACATCTTGAACGCTTTCAGCTTTTCCCCATTCAGTATGATGCTAGCTGTGGGTTTGTCAAATATGCCCTTTATTGTGTTGAGTTATATTTTTTCTATACCTAATTTGTTGAGAGTTTTTATCAGTAAGAGATGTTGGATTTTGTTGAATCTTTTCCTGCATCTGTTGAATTGGCCATATGGATTTTATTGTTCGTTTTGTTAATGTAATATTTTACATTTATTGATTTTATACACTGAACCATCCTTGCACTCCTGGGATGTATCCCATTTGATCATAATGAATATTTTTAATGTGCTAGTGAATTTGTTTACTAGTATTTTGTTGAGGATTTTTGTATCTATTTTCATCCAGGTTATTGGCCTGTAGTTTTTTATTGTTGTGTCCTTGTCTGTTTTTGTAATTAGAGTAATGTTGGCTTCATAGAACAAATTTGAAAGAATTCCCTCCTCTTCAATTTTTTGAAATGGTTTCAGAAGAATTTTATTAATTCTTCTTTAAATGTTGGGAATTCAGCAGTAAGGCCATCAGGTCATGGACTTGTCTTTGATAGGAGACTTTTTATGACTGATTGAGTCTCCTTATTCAATATTGTTCTATTCAGATTTTCTATTTTTTTAATAGTTTAATCTTGGTAAGCTATATGTGCCCAGGAATGTATCCATTTTTCTAGGTTATCTAATTTATTAGCATATAATTGTTGATAATATTCTCTTATGATTCTTTGTATTCTCTGGTATCAGTTATAATTTCTCCTTTTTCACTTTTGATTTCATTTATTTGAATCTTTTCTTTTTCTTAGTCTATATAAAGGTTTGTCAATTTGTTCATCTTTTCAAAAAACTTTTGTTGATCTTTTGTATTTTTTTAGTCTCTATTTCATTATTTCTGCTCTGATGTTTATTATATCCTTCCTTCTATTCATTTTTTTTCCTTCTACTCATTTTTGGTTTAGTTTGTTCTCTTCTAGTTCCTTGAGGTGCAACATTAGGGTTAGGCAGCATGTAGTTGGGTTTTAGATAGATAGATAGATAGATAGATAGATAGATAGATAGATAGATAGATATAGATATATAGATGTATATATAGATTCAGCCATTTTATGTGTTTTAATTGGAGAGTTTAATTCTTTTACATTCAGGTAATTATTGATAGGTAAGAACTTATTACTGTCATTTTGTTAATTGTTTTCTAGTTTGTATTGCATATCTTTTCTTTATTCCTCTCTTACTGTCTTCCTTTGTGGTTAAGTGTTTCTCCCTGGCAGTCTGTTTTGATTCCTTTTTATTTTTAGTATATTGATCATAGGTTTTTGTTTTGTGGTTACCATAAGGTTTACAAAAACATATTCATAACATGTTATACTAAACAGATAACAACTTTGATTACTGATGTCACAATTTACATAATTTTATATTGGAAATCCCTTAAAAAGTATTTTAGTTGTTATTATTTTGAGACAAGGTCTCACTCTGTTGCCCAGGCTAGAGTATAGTGGCATAATCTCGGCTCACTACAACCTCTGCCTCCCAGGCTCAAGTGATCCTGCCACCTCTGCCTCCTGAGTAGCTGGGACTACAGGCATGTGCCACCATGTCCAGCTAATTTTTACATTTATTATTTTTTAAAGTCTTATTTTTTACCCGTAATACTAAGGATATAAGTGGTCCCCCTGCCATTACAGTATCAGAATGTTCTGAATTTTACTATATACTTACTTTTACCAGTGAGTTTTGTACTTTTAGATGTTTTCATGTTACTCATTAGCATCCTTTCATTTCAGCTTGAAGAACTCTCTTTAACATTTTTTGTAAGGCAGGCCTAGTAGTGATGAACTTCCTCAACTTTTGTTTGTTTGGGTAAGTTTTTATTTTTCCTTCATTTCTGAAGGACAGCTTTGCTCGGTACACTATTGTCAGTTGACAGGGTGTTTTTTTCCTTTAGTACTTTGAATATATCATCCTACTCTCTCCTGGCCTACCAGGTTTCTGCTGAGAAGTCCGCTGCTAAGTGTATTGCAAAAGTCCCTTTTATGTTGTTACTTTCTCTTGCTGATTTCAGCATCCTGTCTTTGACATTTACCTTTGACAATTTTATCATAATATGTCTTAGGGTGGTCTTATTAGGATTAAATTTGATTGGTGGCCTATGACTTTCTCGTACCTGGATAATTGTATCTTTCTCTAGGTTTGGAAAGTTTTCTGCTATTATTTCTTTAAATAAGCTTTTTACTCCTTTATCTTTCTCTACTTCCCCTTGAATTCCAATGACCCATACATTAGCTCTTTTGATGTTATCCTATAAATCCCATAAGCTTTCTTCATTCCTTTTCATTATTTTTTCTTGTTTCTCCTATGACAGTATATTTTCTGAAGTGGTGGCCTGCCCCTCCACAACCTGTGGGTGTTTCTCCTCAAGTGGGACGAGAGACTGAGAAAAGAAATACGACACAGAGACAAAGTATAGAGAAAGAAAAGTGGGCCCAGGGGACCGGCGCTCAGCATACGGAGGACCTGCACCGGCACTGGTCTCTGAGTTCCCTCAGTATTTATTGATTACTATCTCTGCCATCTCAGAGATGGGGATATGGCAGGATATAGGGTAATGGTGGGGAGAGGGTCAGCAGGAAAACATGTGAGCAAAGATCTCTGTGTCATAAATAAGTTTAAGGAAAGGTGCTGTGCCTTGATGTTCACATAGGCCAGATTTCTGTTTGACTTTACACAAACATCTTGGTGCATTAAAGAGCAGTATTGCCGCCAGCATGTCTCACCTCCAGCCAGAAGACAGTTTTCTCCTATCTCAGTAAATCGGGTTTTACACCAAGATATTCCATTCCCAGGGAGGAGCAGGAGACAGATGCCTTCCTCTTATCTCAACTGCAAAGAGGCCTTCCTCTTTTACTAATCCTCCTCAGCACAGACCCTTTATGGGTGGCGGGCTGGGGGACATTCAGGTCTTTCCCTTCCCACGAGGCCATATCTCAGGCTATCACATGGGGAGAAACCCTGGACAATACCTGGCTTTCCTAGGCAGAGGTCCCTGCGGCCTTCCGCAGTGTATTGTGTCCCTGGGTACTCGAGATTAGAGAACGGTAATTACTTTTACCAAGCATACTGCCTTTAAGCACTTTTTTAACAAAGCATATCCTGCACAGCCCTAAATCCATTACACCTTGAGTCAACACAGCACAATTATCTGCAAGCACAGGGTTGGGGCTAGGGTTACAGATTAACAGCATCTCAAGGCAGAAGAATTTCTCCTAGTACAGAACAAAATAGAGTCTCTTAAGTTTACTTTTTTCTACATAGACACAGTAACAGTCTGATCTCTCTTTTCCCATTTTCAAATAACCTATCTTCAAGTTCACAGATTCTTTCCTCTGCTTAATTCTGCTATTGATGCTCTCTACTAATATTTTTTAATACTCATTGTATTTTTTAGCTCCTAGATTTCTGGGTTTTTTTTAATTGCAATATCTCTGTTAAATTTCTCTGGTAAATTTTTGAATTGTTTCTCTGTGTTTTCTTGAAGTTCCCTTTAGGGTCAGTCACTGGCATCTTATTTTGTTTGGTGAGGTCAAATTTCCCTGCTTATTCTGGATGCTTGCAGATGTGCGTCAATGTCTGTGTATTAGGTATTTATTCTAGTCTTTGCATTCTGGCTTTGTTTGTGCCTGTTTTACTTCAATAGGCCTGTCTAGAAGTTCTAAGCAGCCTGACTTGTGATTCCTAAGCCTGTGGCTGTTGCAGCCACTTCAGCACTAGAGGGGGCCCTAAGCCCAGGTTCATCACAAGTTTTGCAAGGGCTTTGAGGCTGACACAGCACCCAAGCCAGGATGGACCTGAGGAAGATTGAAGGAAGGTACCTAGGCTGTATAGATAAGCTAGCCAGGGACCCAAGCCCAGAAGACTGTCCCAGTGGCCTGGACAGACACCCCTCCCAGCAGTTCCCTGCACAGGCAGGACAATCCCCACATGTGGAAAGAGGGGCTGGAGCTGAGACTGGGCCCCCTCAAGGGCCCCCATGGAACAGAGGTCAGCAAACCCATCCCATTGGCTTAGGTGGGTGTGGGGCCAGACTTGAGACTGGGTCTCAGAATCTGCTGTTGGACAGAGACTGGAAAGCCCATTGCAGAGGCTCAGATGAATGGGTAACTCCTGTGAGATATGGGCAACTTTCCCTTTGGGAAGCAATTTCCCAGCAAGTAGTACTAAGCTGGGACCACAGCTGAGGAGGGGTGGAGACGAGCCACAAGGCAACTTTCAGGTCCAAGCTGCGAAGACCAACGTCAGCAGGCAGATGAGCCTTCCCTGCTGAGGCACTGGTGTGCATGATTCTTCCTGAACCCCCTGGCAGATGGTTTTGGTGGTAGCCTCAAGGCCAGTAGGGGCTGTTGCCAAGCCCCTTGGGGAATGAGGCCATTTCCCCAGGCTTGAATCTGGGAGCACAGTTGATGGGTCTGCCAACAGGGTATGGGTCTGCACTCTCAAAATCACCCTCCTAGGTCTTAGGCTCCATTGGGCTTCCACAACTTTCTACCTGAATCGTGAGGCTTCCACAAAGAGACTTTTTTGTCTGGATGGGTGAAGAATTCTTATTGTTGGGGGATAAAAGCAGGTGACCTCCTATACCACCATCTTGCTGACATCATTCCAACCCTAGAATCTATTTATCTGTCCAGAAAATTTGCCATGATTAAAAGGTCTGTTGTTCTTCTTCAAGTAGGCTGTGGTGGTTCTATAAAATATGTCCACAAATTCTTTGAAACTCCTCCCTTTACACAGTGGAGCCTAATTCCTCTCCCTTTGAATATGGGTTGTACCTAGTAACTTATTTCTAGTACATAGAATGTGGCAGAAGTGACAGTGTGTGACTTCTGAGGGTGGGTCATAAAAGATATTGTGGCTTTAGCTTCTACCTCAGATTACTCACTGTAAAAGAAGCTACCATGTCCTGAGGACAATCAAGAAGCCCTATGGAGATGCTAATGTAGTAAGGAACTGAGATCTCCTATGAACAGCCAGAGAGGAACTGACACCTCTTGCTAACAGCCATGTAAGTGAACCATCTTGAGGACAGATTCTCCACTGCTAGTCAAGACTTCAGGTGTCTGGAGCCCCAGCCAACATTCAGACTGCAATCTCCTGAAACACTCTGAGCCAGAACCACCTAGCTAAGCTGCTCCCAGTTCCTGACCCCCAAAATCTTTGTGAGATAATAACTTATTTTTGTTTTAAGTGCTTGTATTAGTCCATTTTCACACTCCTATAAAGAACTGCCCGGGACTGGGTAATTTACAAAGGAAAGAGGTTCAATTGACTCACAGTTCTGCATGGCTGGGGAGGCCTCAGGAAACTTACAATCATGGCGGAAGGTGAAGGGGAAGCAACGCACCTCCTTCACAAGGTGGTGGGACGCAGAATGAATGCAGGAGGAACTACCAAACACATAAAACCATCAGATCTTGTGAGAACTCACTTATTATGATGAGAACAGCATGAGGGAAACCACCCCCATTATTCAATTACCTCCAGCTGTTCTCTCCCTTGACATATGGGGATTATGGGGATTAAAATTCAAGATGAGATTTTGGGTGGGGATACAACCAAACCATATCACTGCTAAATTTTAGGGTAGTTTTGTATGCAGCAATATATAACTAACAGCATGTTAGTGAACATAGCCCCAGTTGTCTTGGGAGTTACTGAAATGAACACAGAAACCATTGACATAGTTCACCTAGTGACATCTTCATTATTCATCTCTAAGCAGCACATAAAACACAAACTTAAACCTTAAAATTTTTTCTCATTATACTACCAGAAATCATTTTTTATACCCCAATGACTCATACATACCACATACATACCATAGGCTAAAAAATGGCTCCCCAAATATTTCCATGTCCTAATTCCAAGAACCTGTGAATATATTATTTTACATGGTAAAAGGGATTTGGTAGATATGATTAAATTAAGAATCCTGAGATGGGGAGATTATCCTGTATTATCTGGGTGCACACAATGTTATCACAGGATCTTTATAACAAAGGAGCAGGAGAATTGAAGAGAAAAGTATGATAACAAAAGCAGAGAGAGAAAGAGTTTGGAAGATTTATGCTGCTGACTTTGAAAATGGAGGATAGGGCTACAAGCCAAGAAATGCAAGTAACCTCTGGAAGCTAAAAACAAACAACAAAAAACAAATTCTCCCCTAGTGGCCTCAAGGAAGAAATGTAGTTCTGTAACCCATTTTAAAATTCCGACCTATAGAAATATAATTTTGTTACAGAAACAACAACAACCTAACACCTCATTTTATTATACTTCACAGATAATTGTGTTTTTTACAAATCGAAAAATTTTGGCAACCTTACATTGAGCAGGTCTATCAGCACCATTTTCCCAACAGCATGTGTTCACTTCACGTCTCTGTCTCACATTTTGGTAATTCTCACAATATTTCAAACTTTTTATTACATCTATTATAGTGATATGTGTTCAGTCATCTTTAATGTTACTATTTTAATTGTTTTGGGGCACCAGGAACTGCACCCTTATAAGACGGTGAACTTACTAAGTGTTGTGTGTGTTCCACTGACTAGCTGTTCCCTCATCTTTCTCCCTCTCTTTGGGCCTCCCTATTCCCTGCGACACAACTATATTGAAATTAGGCCAATTAATAACCTCACAATCACCTTTAAGTGTTCAAGTGAAAGAAAGAGTCACACATCTCTCACTTTAAATCAAAAGCTAGAAATGATTAAGCTTAGTGAGGAAGGCATGTCAAAAGCAAGATGGGCCAAAAACTAGGCCTTTGGGCCAAGAAGCTAGCCAAGTTGTGAATGCAAAGGAAAAGCTCTTGAAAGGATTTAAAAATGCTACTCCAGTGAACATACAAATGGTAGGAAAGTAAAACAGCATTATTGCTGTTATGGAGAAACTTTCAGTGGTCTGGATAAAAGATCAAACTAGCCACAACATTCCCTTAAGCCAGATCCTAATCCAGACACCCTAACTCTCTCAATTCTATGAAGGTGGAGAGAGGTGAGGAAGCTGCAGAAGAAAAGTTTGGAGCTAGCAGAGCTTGGTTCATGAGGTTTAAGGAAAGAAGCCACCTCCATAACATAAAAGTACACAGTAAAGCAGCAAGTGCTTGATGTAGAAGCTCCAGCAAGTCATCCAGAAGATCTAGCTTCATCATTGATGAAGGTGGCTACATCAACAGATTTTCAATGCAGACAAAATGGCCTTATATTATTGGAAGAAGATACCATCTAGGACTTTCAATGCCTAGGTTCAAAGCTTCAAAGGGCAGGCTGACTCCCTTGTCAGGGGCTAGTGCAGCTGGTGACTTTAAGTTGAAGTCAATGCTTATTTGTCCTTCTAAAAAATCTTAGGTTCCTTAAGAATTATGCTAAATCTACCCGGCCTCTGCTCTGTAAATGAAACAATAAAGCCTGGATAGCAACAGCACATCCATTTACAGCGTGATTTACTGAATATTTAAAGCCCACTGCTGAAACCTACTACTCAAAAAAAAAAAAAAAAAAAAAAACTGGTTTATTTTAAAATACTACTGCTCATTGACAATGCAGCTGGTCACCCAAGAACTCTGATGGAGATGTACAAGATTAATCGTTTTCAGGCCTGCTAACACAACATCCATTCTGCAGCCCACACAGCAATTTCAACTTTCAAGTCTTATTATTTCAGAAATACATTTTGTAAGGCTATAGCTGTCATAGATAATGATTCCTTTGATGGATCTGGGCAAAAGAAATTGAAAACCTTCTGGATACTTCTGGATGACTAGATAAAGGAAAACAAAACAAAACAAAAAAACCTGGAAAGGATTTACCATCCTAAATGCCATTAAGAACATTTGTGAAGCCAGGTACAGGCAGCGTGGCGA